>NC_000002.12:88109144-88414528 GCF_000001405.40 Homo sapiens
GACAATCTGTCCATAGTCACATAGCGAGCTAATGGCAAAGCTAAGACTTGAAGCCTGAGTCTGTTGAATCATAACACCCCAAGCCTGGACTGAGGAAGCGTAAACAATGGGGTGTGCATGTGTGCGTGTGTGCATGCACACAGCCATTTATATTAGAAAGTATTCTGTGTAACATGGAGTGGAGTTAGGGATCACAGGCTCTGGAATCAGACCTCCAGGTTGAGTTCCAGCTTCACCGCTTTCTGGTTGTGTGATTTTGCAAATATTGAATGTATGGCTGTCAGTCTCCTCATCAGTAAAATAGGGGGAAAGGATAGGGTTGTGATGCGTGTTCATGAGTCAATGTGTGAAATGCACTTAGTGCCTGGCAAATGGTGCTGCTGATGTCCTTGGTGCTTTGAAAAGCTGGTTTATTTGAGAGTGACAGGGCTGTCCTCAGACAGTACAGTCTAGGGAAGGTGGACAGACTTTGGTGTTATAAAATGTAGGATGACTATGACATTTAGGACTGGCGTGGTCTCAGACATGGATGTCCTCTTACTATTCAGATCCCAGGTTTCCTCATCTATAAAATGGAAATAATATATTAGCCCCTTAAAATTGGCAGGAGGACCAAGTGAGGGGCAGAGAAGCGGACTAACTAGCTTTATGTTTAGGGTACCGAGCCTGTCAAAGGCAGAGCCTTTGTCAATTTTACTCACAGCTGTATCCTCGGCCTCTGAATGCCTGGCCCTTAAGAAGTATTTCTTGAATGGACATGTGGGAGGATGAGGGCTCTTCTGTGTGTCACACACTGTCATCTTCCCAACCCACGGTAAGGTATGAAGCCACAAAATGGGTGAGAAAACTGACGGCTGAAGCGATTATGTCTCTTGCCTGAGGTCCCACACTAGTATCTGCAGGGGCCAGGGTTCAAATCCAGGTCCCCACTGGGCAGTTCCTGGGAACAAGCATTCTTTTCTGAGAACGGTTCCTTCAGCTACTCTCTCAGGGTTCTGACTCCCTCTCCCTGACAAAGTGGGCCCACTGCCAGGACATTAGGCCCTTGATGAATGAGTGTGTGTGTGTGTGTGTGTGTGTGTGTGTGTGTATTCTGAGGGGGTAGAGTTGAATCTCCGTGGCTGGAAATAATTTACCCCAAGGTATATCAGAGACCAGCATGTCCTAGGGGCTTGCTATCACTGTTTACGGTGTATCTGTGTCCCACAGGCCATGCGGGTGCAGACGGAGATGGAGCTACGCATGTTCCGCCAGAACGAATTCATGTACTACAAGATGCGCGAGGCTGCCCTGAACAACCAGCCCATGCAGGTCATGGCCGAGCCCAGCAATGAGCCATCCCCAGCTCTGTTCCACAAGAAGCAATGAGGACTGCCCAGTGGAGGAGGGGCGATGTGGCTGGGGAGCTAGGGAGAGACTCTGGAGGTGGTGGGTCTCTCGGGAGACCCCTAATGAGGAAGTTGAGGTAATGCTTAACATTGTTGCTGTGAGAATTTACTGCCCTATGTTTCCCAGAGCCATTTTGGCTCAATTCAAGTCTATTCAATTCAAGTTAACTCTAGCCCAGCCCAGATCAACTCCTCCTACAAATATTATTGGATGATAGGCCCTAGAACCCAATAAAGGAGCTCCAAATGTCGTTGGGTGGGGAAGCAAAATGTAGAGAAACATTTAAAGCACACTGTAATAATAAATGCAATTATAAACTATATGGAGGAGGGTGCAGAGGAGGGAATGTGTCTGGTGTGTGATGTGTGTGTGTGCAGTGGGGGTATCACAGAGAGTATGACATCTGAGTTGAGGGTAGCAGGTGCCTGGAGTCTCAGGTGGCTGCTCACCCATCTGTGCAGGTGTCTCTGGGGCTGCTGGTCTCACCTGTGGTCTGCAGTAGACACAATTGGCTGAGCAGGATATGTGATACTGTGTGGTTGGTGTGGAGTTTTGAAGAAGGGGCTGTGTTTGGGCCACGTAGGCTCTACTCAGAGACCTGAAACCACTTCAGAATGGTGCATATGTCGAAAGAGCTGGCTGGGGGCCTTGCCCAAACCAACTGAGGTCTTAAAGTCCAGGGAAAAAAAGTCTGGGTTCCAACTAGAATTCTAGAAATATTTCTAGAACACACAGAGAGGGAATAAGTCCCTCTATCACCCTTATTACCAAGCCTTGTGGTTCCCTGTGATTTTAGATAATGTCTGATATTTTTCTGGCTATTTGCCTAGTAGGATTTAAAAAATATTTTCAAAGTGAAGCTGAGAGAGAATCTTGGAAACACACATACCTGTTGATCATGGGCCCTGCAGAATTGGCCCTTGGGGGCTTTATTTGGTTACATGTGCCTGGGTGGTCTTTACCAGCTTAGACTCTATCATGGGCCCCCATGAAGCTCCATTCTCAATACTGAATAATTATTACTTCCCTTGTTGAGTTTCTTTTTCTGTCATGCCCTGGGGGCTTCTGCTCTTCTCACCAGAAAGAACATTTGAATCTGGATTCTTGTACACCTGGGTTAGACCCTGTTCAGAGGTGTGGCCAATTTATCCCGATCTCCTGGAAGGCTGTTGTGATTTCCATCTAAGAAATGAGGGTCTTGAGAATCAACCAGTCCCAAGATTAGCCTGTTATCCTGTTATCTACTGAGACCCCAAATTTCTCACCAATGTTTTGGGAGATCCTGGAAAAGATCCCTTCAGTTTGGGGTGTCACCAAGACTTCTACACAACCCAGGACTACCATTGACCTCAGAGCTGTACCCCACATCTTGAAGTAAATTGATCCCACCAGGTCCCACGTTTGTTATCTCTGCCTAAATGTTAGCTTCTCCATCCTCACCACATGATGACCTGCTGTGTCCCTCTGAGCACTACCCAGTGGCTGAAAACTCTGCAAATGGGCCACACTTTTGCAAAATACTTGTATCTGACACTTAGGTCTTGTTTGAAGAATTTCCTTTCTGGAAGGTTTTACAAGAAGACTGATAGTCTTTCAAGCCCCCACATCACAGGCTTAGGGACGGCACTAACTTTCTCCCAGGGATCTAACTGGCTAGTTCAAATTATCACTCTTTTACCTTCATATAAAATGTCTCCCCCAAACCTTTTTCCCTTCTTTGTCATTGTTATCTGCTAAGCCCCTGGTCATTTCCCCATATTCGTAGTCTTTTTTTCCATCCTATCTTTCTAATATTTGTTGTCTTTAACAAACTGTGTTCTGTGTCTGTGCTCCTCCTTCCCTCTCAGACCACTGGAATGCAAGTCCTTCTTCCCTTTGGAATGTACTCTGGATCCCTTCCCCTGCTTTGACCCCCAGACTTTGCTCCATCTATTATTGCTTCTCCATCCTGGATCCTTGACATTTGTCACCCCACTGGCCTTCTCAGGTGCAATCAGTAAAAATGCTGAGAACTCTTGGATCTTAATCTTCATGACTGAGTTTTTTTTAGTTGTATAGTTATCATCTGCCTTTCTTCACTTTGCATTTCTTCTTGAATCCATTGCAGATTGACTTCCACTCCCACTCCTTCACTAAAAGGGCTCTTACCAAGATCAAATCTAATGGGTACATTTTAGTTCCTATGTGATTTGGCCTTTCGATGTCAATCATCACTCCCAGCCATTGATTTTGGTGACCCACTTCCCTGTGATGATCTTCTGATCTAGTTTCTCAGGTTCCTTCGCTGGTCCTTTTTCTTTCCCTGCCCCTGACATATTGACATTTCCTGGAGTTGGTTTTGTCCTTGATTCATTCTCATGTCATTCTGCACACAGTCTCTGCATGAACTCAGGCAGACCCTTCATTTAATGACCACCTTAGGGCTGATGATTCTCAAATCTGTATTCCCCGATCTTGCATTTGAGCTCCAGCCCCACTCATCCTCTCGGATGTTCTGCAGGCCCAGCAAACTCATCATGTCCAAAGTGAAACTTTTTCTCTTTCCTGTCTCCTCTCCTCTGATCTGTTCTTTCTTGGAACACCACCCAAGAACGTCACCTCCTCCATCAGATTGTGAGCTCCTGGAGGGCAGGAGCTGTGTCCTTCTATTCATCTTCCTATCCCCAGAACCTTGCACAGATCCTGGAATGTGGTAGGTGCTCAGTAAATGTGTGTTGAATAAATGAATGAATGAATGAACAAATGAATGAATTTGCTTACTTCAAGGCAAAAGAACCATGAAACTGTATTTTGAGTTTCTATGTTATAGCAGTCAGCAAATCCTATTAAATACTTTGTGTTTCCAAGCAAATAAGTGTGGCTTCTTTCTTTCTGACAATCTTTTTAGAGCAGCGCTGTCTAATGGAATTTTCTGTGATGATGGAAATGTATTATATCTGTGTTGTCCAGTACAGTACAGTAGCCACTAGCAGCTTGTGACTATTGAGCACTGGAATATGATTGAAGAACAGAATTTTAAATGTTATTTAATTTCAACTAATTTATACATAGTTAGCCAATGTGGCTAGTGGCTACCACATTAGAGTGTGCAATTTTAGAGAAATACTTCAGTGTCATTTCTAAGAACATGGACACTAAGAAAAACAGTCTAAGTTTGTCTTTATCCCAGCTTTCCTAATCTTATCCTTGTGACCTTAGACTAGTTATTTCACCCATGCCTCAGTTTCCTGACTTCTACCTAGCATAAGTTTACTGTGAGGACTAACTTTTTAAAGAGTAAAGCCCTGAGAACCCAACCCATCATATGTGCTTAGTGACTATTATTAGCTATTATTACACTTTGAGCATTCCAACCTTGCTTCTCCTGGGAAGTTCCTTCTCCCAGTTAGAAGATGAAGGTGAAGGGTTGAGGCAAGCAGGGGTGTGATGGAACTAGCTCTTATCAGCTTGGGAGAGCCGGCAGGGCACATCTCTTCCCAACTCTACATTCATCAACATCACACTGATAACTTAAAATTGGCCATGGTGGGAATATTTAAACCATGGTAATGGCCTAACTTCAGAACACATTAATTTGCAGTGTTGTCAATCTATAAAGGAGCTTCACTACATGGGAGTAGCAAAATAGATAGTAGAAAGATCATTAAAGAAGTCTTCACTTAAACTGGGGTGAAATATGCATCCTGAAACCTCTATTCCTTAGGGCCATGCCAAGCAAGTCTAAGACCTCTGATTACCCTTTAGATGAAGCCATCTGCCCACTGCACCATCAATGTATTGACAAATACATGTATTAAAGGGCAGACATAGCCATTGCTTGGGTGAGTCACAGAGTGTACTTCTCTAAAGGATACCAAAGGGAAAAATATAGTTGGGGGCACATACCAGAGAGAATACCAACATTTCTTCTTATTATTTTTTTAGAGACAGGGTCTCCCTTTGTCACCTAGGCTGGAGTGCAGCGGAGCGATCATGGCTCATTGCAGTCTCGACCTCCCAGGTTCAAACGATTCTCCCACCTCAGCCTCCCAAGCAGCTGGGACCACAAGGCGTGCACTACCACCCCTGGCTAATTTATTTATTTTGTAAAGTTGAGGTTTCACCATGCTGTGCAGGCTGGTCTCAATCTCCTGAGCTCAACTGATTCACCTGCCTGGGCCTCCCAAAGTGCTAGGATTACAGGTGTGAGCCACTGCACCTGGCCAAGAATAACATTTCTGAGGGCAGTTGGAGGTCCAAGCTTCTGGACCAAGGCGTGCACAATTGTGGATAACATCCAGTGCATGAAAGTAAACAGCCCTTCTAGAAGCTCCCTGCCCCTCCTGGCCCAGCATTAATTACATTCACATCCCAGTCTCAACTGGGCCAGGAGGACTCCTCTGTCGTAGAGAAGTACAATAGGCAGCACGGCTGTAAGCCATGGTACTGTTTTGCTCACTCTGGCAGACACTCAGTCCTCATTTCCCAGTCCTGGCCTCCCCAGCTCACGAAGCTTGGTCTGAAAACAATCTGGCCCAAGCACAATGCTACAGTTCCCCAGATGTCTTTAGGAGTTGTGTTTATTTCCCATGGCTGCTGGAACAAATTAACACACACATTTTGTAGCTTAAAACAACACAGATATATCATCTTTCAGTTCTAGAGGTCAGAAGTCCAAAATGGGTGTCACGGGGCTAACATCAAGGCACTAGCAGGGCTGTGTTCCTTCTGAAGGCTCCAGGAGAGCAAGCGTCTTCCTCTAAAATGCCCACATTCCTTGGCAGTGGCCCCCAGCCAGCAATCACATCACTCTGACTCTCCTTCTGTCATCATGTCTCCTCTGCCCCTCCTGCCTTCCTCTTTTACTGATAAGGACCCTTGTGATTCCATTGGATCCACTAGGATCATCCAGAATAATCTCCCTATCTCAAGGTCCTTACCTTAATCACATCTGCAAAATCCCCTTTGTCATGTAAGGTAACACATAAACAGGACTGGGAATTAGGACATGGACTGTTTGGGGGACTTCATTCTGCTTACCACAGCAGTCTTGCTATCGAGTCCTCGGACCCGCCATGCATCCACAGTTGCAAGCCTCTGAGCAGAAGACCTGGGACTTGAATCCTGCAGTCCAGACCCCTGGAGAATGAATATTCCTTTCCATACAGCTCTTTGATGGCCATGTCCAGTTTGCCTTCTTTGTCTTCCCTGTTCACCAAGGCAGGGTTTTAAAATTCTCCCTTTGTAGGTCACAGCCCTTTCTCACTGCTTCCCTTCTGCTCATCTGTGCTGGGCAGGTGTGGAATCGCTTTACAGACCCAGCACCTTTCTGGGGAATGGCCAAGAGCTGGGACAGTGCAAGGGACTACAATTTGAGGCAGCAGATAGAATTCTAGATATGTGGTTTGTGTCCGTCAGTGGCACTTATATTTGGCCTTGGTGGACACTTTCCAGCCCTTTCTCTAGGGACACTGCTCTGCACCAGGAGGCTCTGAGGAGGCGGTTCAGGAGAGGCTGGTGCAGGATGGAGCCTGAACCTGTTACAGCACAGCATTTCCTGACACACAGTCATGGCCCATGAGTCAATGGAGTGCCGGTAGAGATTTAAAAACAATGTGAACAAGAGCCCTGATCTGTAGCATTTGCCGATTTCCTTGGTGTAAACACTCCCGCGAAGGCCGATGTCAAATGCTAAGCTGTATGCTGAATCGGCACCTGGGACTAGGTGGCTCCAACCATACTGCTTGTGACTGAAGCCAGGCAATTGGACCCTTGTTAGGCAACCCTTTCCCTTCTGAACTGGAGGAGGAGGAGTCCTTGCTGTTCTCTAGGAATGCAAGCTTTGTTTGTGACCATGGAGGTGCTGACAATCATACTCTCTGCCATGTGGAGAGGCCCCGGAGACCACAGCTTATATTGATGGAGAAATATTGAGTTGTTATGCAGCTTTGGATCCGTCTGTCCCTTCTAGTTCTATGAGCTAGTGAACCATGTTCCCCCTGCCCCATTTTTATTTTTGACCTAACCCATTTGGGTGGATTTCTTTCACTTGCAACTGAAGGAGTTCCCATTGTGCTGGTTTTTCTCCATTTCTCCCACAGGCCTTCTCCACTCTTCTCTGCCCTGCTTTGTGTCAGAAAGGCTGACTTCTTCTTTCTCATTTAACCAATAAGAAGCACCAGCAGGAGACTGGAATGCAGAAAGACACCCCCGACAACTGCCCAGCCAGCGGTCCAGCTCCCATTGGGTGGTTGTCCTACGGCTCTAGGTCTCCCTGGGCTCCGGTAACGCTGTCCCCTGCATTGTCTCTTCAGGTCTACAGGTGGTGGTGGCTTCCTGCATTGCCGGCTAGGCGCCTCAGCTACCTAATGGGTTCCCTTTACTCTAACCACATCTTTGTAAATAGTCCTTTTGTTACCAGTGGCAAATCCGAATGGGTCCACAGCAGTGTGATTCTTGCCTCCCGAGAGGAAAGCATTCGTCTGAGGGGCATAAGTCAGAGTGAAAGACTGAGGCAAGTTTTAGAGCAGGAACGAAAGGTAAAGTACATTTGGAAGAGGACCAAGCGGGGGACTTGAGAGATCCAAGTGCCCTGTTTGACCTTTGATCTGGGGTTTTATATGTTGGCATGCTCCTGGGTTTTTGTGTCTCTCCTCCCCTGATTTTTCTTTGGGGCAGGCTGTCCGCATGTGCAGTGGCCTGCCAGCACTTGGGCGGGGCTGCACGCGCAGTGTGTTTACTGGAGTTGCGCACATGCTCATCTGAGGTGTTTTTTTCCTCACTAGTTGAAGGTTCCTAGAGGAAGGTCATGTATTAGTTAAGCTCCGCCATTTTGTCTCTTAATGAACATGCTTGAACCCACTTGCCCAAATCCTGAGCTCTTATTGGGAAGCTGCTGACCACCATCTTAAGGGATTTTCTATCTATTGGGAGACTGCTTTTCCCTGGCGCTGGCTGTGACCAATTATTATTTTAGAGAGACAGTTTAACAACTACCTGACCATCACCTGATGATTGCCTGACATTCCTTGGTGGGGGGCCCTCTCCTGCCCTGCTCATGTCTACCTAGCTACCTACTCTAACACTTTCATTAAATTCTCACAGTGTGCGTTAGTTCCTGCTGATACATCTTAACTGATACATCTTGCTAACGCACATCCCAGGTCTAGTAACTAGAGCCCGTGGATTCTAATTCCTAAATATGCTTAAACCTTTTGCTATGTTCCGTCCTCATGGGCACGGCTTTGGTTGAGGCCCCCAGCATCTCTTGCCTGGACCATTGCCTCTCTCTATTCAGCTTTGGTTCTTTTCACTGGTCCTTGACACTGTGGCCAGAAAAATTTTTTTTACAAACCATTTAGTATCATGTTACTCTTAGAGCTTAAAACCCCTCAATGATTCTCTACTGTCTTCAGGATCAAATTCAGACTCATTGCTAGAGTCATAGGATACTCATGGTAGAGATTCTGTTCCTTCTCTGCCTCCTCTTCTGCCAAGCCCCATTTATACACATCTCCCTGTGAAGCAAATACCCTTAGATGCTTTCATACCGCCTCTGAGATGTTTTTTCTAGGCACCACCCCTATCCGGTCTGCAGCAGGGGCTGGAGCTAGTACCCACCTGCATCACAGTGGATGACACTGTCACGCTTATGGTCCCACTGACAGTGAGTCACCCGGGGATCACTGTATCCTCAGGGCTTAGCACTGCCCAGCCCTGCTTTGGCTGAAAGAGGCTAGGCTATGTGGAGAAGATGCATTTAATTCCACATCTCCATGTTTTTCTAGTAAAACATGCTACAAAATCATGGGATGGTCAACATGCCTCTGGTGTATACAGAAAAAGTGCTCTGAAGATAAAGCATGGACTAAGTTAGGCAGCACCCCCGCCCCTTCCCCTGCCCACCAATCACTGTACTTACTCTAATGGCAGTGAGTTTTAAAAAAAAAGGAAATAAAAGGCTACTTTTGTGTGGACATAGATATCCAAACTGGCTCTTTGCAAATTAATGGTCTGTCACCGGGAAACAGCACTTTCTGTTGGTGGGATGCCCACAGGACAGGCAGAGAGGAGGCGTGGAGGGTCCCGAAGTGCGGGAGGGGTCAAGGTAAAAATAGCCCACACCATCAACAGCTGTTTATTCCATTTATTTAAGCAGGCTTCCGGCCCAAAGTTCTCTGGGCACCTGTACAAAATCTAAATTCAACATATAAAATTAATTCTCCTTTTCAGGAAAAAGCACAAACAATCCCCTCAAAAACCCATAGATGTTCTCAGGGGAAGAACCCCTTTAGCGGGGAGACTGGGAATTTTGTCAGATCCCTGGAAGCTTTGCTGAGAAGACCTTGTCTGCATTACTTTCTTCTCCCATGACTCCAGAGTCAAAGCACCTCAGTGCCACTGTCTGTCGGCTTGGTGGGCCAGAGCAAACCTCTTTTCCTCCCTGAGCCTCTGCATCTGTTCTCAGAGGTTCACTTCTCTGGGCACCACAGCTTCTGCTAACAATCTCAGTATCAAACCCAACTGACATCCCCTGAGGAATCTGAGAATGGAAATAATGACATGTTTTATTTGGATGGCATTTGGCTTGCATCATTTCATGGGCTCCTTACAAAAGCCACGAGGGAAGGGATTGTCTTACCCATTTTACAGGAGAGAAAGCTGAGGTCCACAGTTGTAGATTAGTTAACTAGAACCATGTCTTCATGCCCAATATTTTTACTTTGTCATCTGCCTTTAAAAAAATTTATTGCTCATAAAAAATAATAGTTTCACAAAATGAGTTCTTTGCAGAAGATTCAAACGATATAAATAATGCAAAAAGCTCTCGACCTCCCACCAGTTCTGTTCCCAGAGGTAATGGCTATTATTTGGTGTTCTGGATAATGATGTCCAACTATTAGATTTTTTTTCTATGAGTTCACATACATAGATGTATCAACATAATTTTGTTTCATGTTTTAACAACATTTATTTGAATATAGTATACTGTCAATATTATTTCTAAAACTTAGTTTTTAAAAGAAACGCTTTGTCTTAGAGATACTTCTATGTCAGTACATACAGATCTACTTCATTGGTTTACTCTATTGTAGGTTATGACAGAGTATGGCTGTACCACAGTTAATCGAACCCTGTTTTTACTGAGGAGCATTTGTTTCCAGTTTTTGGCGATTACATCCTTTATTCGCTTCTTGTGCATGTGTGTAAACTCTCCTTAAGGGAGACACAACAGTGGCTTTGCTAGGTTTTAGGGACTTCACATTGAAAATATTAATGGATGCTGTCAAAGTTGCTCCATATGGGGTTCACCACTTTATATATATATATATATATATTTTTTTTTAATTTTATTTATTTTTTTGAGACAGAGTCTTGCTCTGTTGCTGAGCCTGAAGTGCAATGGCGTGATCTCGGCTCACTGCAACCTTCGCCTCCCGGGTTCAAGCAATTCTCCTACCTCAGCATCCCGAGCAGCTGGAATTACAGGTGCCCGCCACCATGCCCAGCTAATTTTTGTATTTTCAGTAGAGGTGAGGTTTCACCATATTGGCCAGGCTGGTCTCTTGGCCAGGCTGGTCTCGAACTCCTGGCCTCAGGTGATCTGCCTGCCTCGGCCTCCCAAAGTGCTGGGATTACAGGCATCAGCCACCAATCCCAGCCCACCACTTTATATCTTTACCACCAAAGGCAGAGCTCATCACATCCTTATAAACCCCAGGTGTTATCAACCTTTTAATTTTTTACTAGTTTGATTTTTTAAATGGTACCTCATCTTGTATCCCTCCTCCCTGGTTACTACAAGACTAAACGTATTTTATATTGTGAGATGTCTGTTAATGTCCTTAACTCACCTTTCCATTGACTTGTTGATTTTCTTTTTGATTTGGGGAATATTTTTATATCTATTAACCTTTGTTATGTAAGCCACACCTTTTTTTGAAACTATGTTTATGGTGCCTTTTTTATATAAAACTTTAAGTTTTTGAGGTAGTCAAATTTATTAATCTTTTCCTAGATGGTTTTTGCATAAAAAATCTGGTATAAAAAAGTCTTCTATAATTGGAAGCTATCTACAGTCATATCTATCTCTAACATTTCATATTTATTTAGCTTGTTATTTATTTATTTTTATTATTTTTTTTTTGAGATGGAATCTCGCTCTGTCTCCTAGGCTGGAGTGCAGTGGTGCCATCTTGGCTCACTGCAATCTCCACCTCCTAGGTTCAAGCAATTCTTCTGCCTCAGCCTCCCGAGTAGCTGGGATTACAGGCACCCACCATCATGCCTGGCTAATTTTTTGTATTTTTAGTAGAGACAGGGTTTCACCATGTTGGTCAGGCTGGTTTCAAACTCCTGACCTCAAGTGATCCACCTGCCTTGGCCTCCCAAAGTGCTGGGATTACAGGCTTGAGCCACTGCGCCTGGCCTATTTAGCTTTTTAGTTCATCTGGAGTTTACTTTTGTGAATGGCATATCATAGTGTGCTGTTGTTTTCTTGCTCCCTGTAACTCCCAACTCTGACTTCTTACTGAAGTAATATCATTCTCTAAAGGCAGACTGAAACTGTTTCCTTCAGTCTGCCTTAGTTCTCCAAATAATGGATCTGTTTCTTCCTCAAGGCTGAGAAGAAGTCTCAGGTGAGAGAAGGAGAACAAATATATGGAGAAAATAATAGTGCGAGGCAGGAGGAACGGCATTGCAAAGACTGGTCCAGATAAAACGGCAGAGAGAGGGAGAGAGCACTTTCAGCGGAGCAGTTTGGGAAGACATCTCACAGCAGGTGGTGCTTGAATTGTGAGGGGAGTGGAAGGTTGTTTAGTTCGATTAGAATGTATATTACAGGCTAAAAGAGGTTGGACAGGCTATGACTGTAGGAGTCAGCATCCTTTCAGTTCACAGGCCAAATCTGGCTGCCACCTGTTTCTATACAAGGTACAAACTAATAATGGTTTCCACATGTTCAAATGGTGGAACAAATTAAAAGAAGAGTAATAGTTTATGATGTACAAGTTATATGAAATTCAAATTTCAGTGCTGGTAGAGTTTTGTTGGAACACAGCCACACCATTTGGATGTGGCTGCTTTTGCACTGCAATGGCAGAAATAAGTATTTGTGACAGAGACCAAATGGCCCGCAGAGCTGAGAAAATGTATTCTCTGGATCTTTACAGAAAAAGTTTGCTGACCCATGATATAGGGGCTTGGATGCCAGATTTAGGAGTGTGACTGTTACGTGCTGGACAATGAGGTAGGATGCATTATGGTTGGTGGCCTGTTTAAGGAGGAGGACGCTGTTGTGGGCTGGAGAGTTGCAGGTGAGAGTGGGGCAGGGAGGTGCTACAGGTGGCCTGGGAAACAATCCAAGTAACAAGTAATAGTTTCAACTCTAGAAGTGGGAAGAGAAGAGGGGGAATGTGAATGATTCAGTCATTCATCAAGGCTTACAGTTCTGGGTGCCGAACGGTCTTGTGAAGGTAGAAATGGCAGCTCTGAGGGGTATGAGTACTGTTATTAATTTGCTAGGACTGCCATTGTACCACAAACTGGGAGGCTTAAACAACAGAAATGTATTATCTCACAATTCTGGAGGCCATTAACCTAAGATCAAGGTGACAGCAGGGCCATGCCCCCTCTGGAGGAGTTAGGGAAGGATCTGGTCCAGGACTCTCTCTCAGCTTCGAACAGTTCCTTGATTTGTGGCAGCATAGCTCTAGTCTTCACATGGACACTCCCCATGTGCATGTCTCTGTGTCCAAGTTTCCCCCTTTTATAAGGACGCCAGACATAGTGGATTAGGGGCCCACCTATGGTCATTTGCAATGACCTTATTTCCAAATGAAGTCACATTACAAGATACCGGGGGCTAGAACTTCAACATATAAATTTTGGGGGAATGCAACTCAACCCCTAACAGTTTGGCATAAAGTAGTGTTGAAGGGACTCCTCCCCTTCCTCTACCTTCTGCCCCTGCCCATAGCATGGAGGGAACTTCCACTGAGCCTCCTCTGTCCACTTCTGGCGCCTCTCACTAAGCCCTTTGCTCAGCCTCCCACAGGAGGAAAAGTTTATTGGGCGGGTCAGTGTCGACCTTTCTGCACCTGTCTGCTGGTGGGCTGGTACTGTGGCTGTGCTTGTGGGTATAGCTCTCCTTTTCTGCCCAGTCTTCCTGCTCCCTGTCCCCACAGAGAGCACCCTCAAGGCCAGCCCACTGCACATCCTCTGGCTCCAGCTCCTTGCCCGTGTGCCTGACTGGGAAAGGGCATTCCAGGGCCTTCCTGCAGATCTAGCCACACCTGGCTTTCCTGGCAGAACACCTGGGTGTGCAGCATGGGTTTTGTGTTCAGGGAATTACTCTTCGGATTTGACCTGGTAGTGTGGATCATGTGGATTATCAACATTTACGAAAGTATATTTACGAGAATATGGTGAGCAATAGCACCATCAATGAAAAGGCATTGAGAAGACATTTTTTTTTAAAACAAAGTTCACTTTATTACATTAATTTTACACACTAAAATAATATGAAATGCAGACTTGTTTAAATTCTCTTGCTGATTCTCTTGAAGACAATGTCACCCAATGTCATGGTCTGAAAGCCAGAAAAGAAATTATGAAGTGTTCATCTGATGTTGTATTGTAAAAAACAAAATTAAGCATAAAAAACAAAATTAAGCTTAAAAAACAGCACCAAATATGTTGGCATATGAAACAATTCAAAAATTCGTCTGGTTTCCTGTAGGACCGGAGGAAAGGTTGGCAATGTTTTCCAAAATCCTATGCCAAGTCTTTGTCACTTCTCCTCCTCACCTGGAAAGTCCTCCTGCCTTTGACTGAATTCTTTTCTACATCAATGACTGTTATAGCAAGACCATCCAAACCAGCCCAATCTAATTTCTCAAAATTTCATTGAGTACCTACTATGCACCAAATACATGTTGAGCACCAAGGATACATGTACATGGACACAACTAGGCACACAGCCTGGAAGGCAGTGGGTAGTGCATAATTGTCCTCCTATAGCTGTGAAGCATATAAAAACAGTGGATGCATCAGCTTTTGAGTTTTTAAGGATGTTTCCTCCACCCCTGCCAGTTCTCTTGAATAAGACTGCTGGAATGACATACCATGTCATCAGGGTGAAAAGGAGCCCCTCAGTTTCAGCAGCAATGCAATAGTTGCTGCTTGATGGGTTTGAGCCCTGGATTTAACATTTATTAGCTGATGACTTGGACAGGTCAACCTGTCTATTGAATCCCTCATCCAGCCTCCCTCGAAGGAGACAGGAGGATTAGGTGAGATGGAACCTATCAAAGGGCGTTGGCCAGGACTTACTGCAGGATAGCTCATCTCCTGCTCCCCTGCTCTCCTGGGAATGTGCTGGGGCGGAGGTGGAAACTGCACATTGGGTGGTTGATGCTCACACTCTCTCTAGTTTAAGAATTTTTCCATTTGAATAGAGTGATGACAGCGCCCTGAGGCAGTGTTCTGTTGTCTGTGACTCCCTAAAGCATATTCTGGGGGCAAAGAAGAGTCAGGGGGACATACCTGCAGGAGAAACACTGCACCATTCACCCCCAAATAGGGTACAGGATGTGGCTGGCAGCCAGGCACCAAGGCTGACTGCATAACTGGACTGTGCCAGGCTTGTAAGCTGCCATAATATGACCATGAATGGGATTCTCTTTATAAACGCTAAATGGGCAAAGGCATTTATGAAGCACCCTGGGCATGCAGGGCAGGTGGAGGCCTCTGTGGCTGGTTGGTTGCGCTGAGCAGAAAGGATTAGTGATAATGTGTGTAAACTGCCTGGGACATGATGGATCCTCAGTAAGTGCTGGCAGATACTGACCACAGGAAAGAAGTTTGGGGGTTGGAGGGTGGAGGGGTGGCATTAGGGTATGTGAGCCGCTCCCCATGCTTCACCTCCCCTCTCCCCTCAAGCACTGGGAGCCACACGCTCAGAGCACCACCAACTTACATTGGTGATTATGTCGCCGTTGAGTTCGGTCACAGACTTGATGTTTTTGAAAGTTGTCACCAGTTTATTGTCACCTTCCAACTGAACCACTGTCTGCAGGGAACAGAGAGGTGACCTGTGAGGAAGGGGTGGTGGGGGGCAAGAGCCTTGCTAATGAAGTTGCTTCCTTTGCACAGGTCTCAGCTCATAACAACCAAAATGCTCTGGTTCCTATGATCCCAAGCCTCTAGTTCTCTGGCTCCAAATAGAAGTGAGGTGCATTTAAGAACTAAATAAAATGTCACGACTTCTTTTGTCAGAACTTTAATTCATGGCATGTGATCTAGAAATGAGCATGGAACACCTAAGTGGCCCCAAATACAAATGCTAAAATCAAATCAAGTAAAATCTCAATTCTCCCAAGCTAATGGAGGGAGGTAGTGGCAAAATTCAAATATTGACCAGTAGAGAATACATATTTTGCTTTGGTATGTATTCTTCTTTTTTTTTTTTTTTTAATTGAGATGAGGTCTTGCTATGTTGCCCAGGCTGGTCTTGAACTCCTAGGCTCAAACAGTCCTTTCACTTCAGCCTCCCAAAGTGCTGGGATTGTAGGCATGAGCCACCCGCCCAACCAGGTATGTATTATTCTTCCCAGAGCGTTAACTTTTCATATTGTGGCCTCCTTCCAAGCCCTTATACATCCTGGAAGAGATGACAGGAACCCAGCAGGGAGCCAAAGACCCTGGGCAACATTAAACATTTTGCCTCCAAAAAGAAAATTTGGAAAAGGCCCATAGTTAAATCCCTTGACCATGAGCACATCAAGAATATTATCCTCCTAAAATCATCCTGACCTGTAATGTTCTAATTGGAGAGGCAGAAATAAAGAGTGACCAGAAGAGATAAAAAGCAAACACGCCCAGCCCAATGAACAGAGCTGTCCACGGGGAGGAGAGAAGAGGGCTGCTAGAGCATGGAGTGTTTCAGAGGGAGGAGGAGACGGGCACCCCCATTGCCAGGATCCCCCTGCCACCATCTGCCAACCACTCACACAGCCCACACCCCAGCTGTCATTGCACACCATGAGTTGTGCCCAGCAGAAGTGATGCTGCCCTGCACTGCCTTCAGTCTAGGGAGGTTGACTGTTCTTATTTTACAGATGGGGTGGCTGAAGCCAGAGACTTTGTGACCACCCCTGAAGGCAGGGTCTGAGCACCTGTCTGGGGCCCTGGTATTCTGGTATTGCTAGCACCTCCTTCAAGAAGTCTCTCCCTATCACCACCAGCTCTAGGTTCAGTGAAGGCCAGTTGACTTTGGGCTCAGTTAAGGGTTTTTCACAAACTCCCACTTGCCCCACTCCTGGGCCCTGCTTAGAGGACTCTTAGTGCTAGGAGCACTGGGCCTGGGAGAACCTGAGACTTAGAATCCTGCTGTATGCCTGGTTCTCCCATATCCTCCATATGGGAGAGCTCAGACTTTAGGGGCTGGAACACCCCCCAGACAGTCCCTGGGAAGAGGAGAGCAGCTTCTCTATAAGATTCTTCCCTAAGAGCTGCCTTTGTCTCTCTGCTTCTCCCACATGGGAGGTGGGTTCAGAGATGGTATCTGTGGGTGGAATTGTGAGGTTTGAGCCTTGAGGAATGAGGTCCCAGGGCCAGGTTCCAAGGAAAGTTCTGACAGCAGAAGGGATGCCCTCCTACCTTGACTTTCTCCCCTGTCATTGTCTCCAGCTCACATTCCTCCCCCACCGTGAATTCGTTTTGGATCACTTTGGACCCAGCGGTGATGGTGAACTTGAAGTGCTTCCCATTCTGCACGATTTCCGACACCCCCTTGATATCCTTCCCCTTCTGGATGAGCTCTTCCGGCAGACCTGGTGGAAACCGTCTGAGGTTTAGATATGGGCAGAGGTGGGAGTTTCATGACCGTGGTAGGTAGGTGAGAGAAACGACATGACATGGAGGGACAGAGAAGGGCACTGTGTCTCCCAAGGGGCCACAGAAACTCACTGGGGGCTTGTCAGCAGCATCGGCTGTGGCCTCAGAAAGGAAGGGACAGTGACCTGGCCTGGCCTGCTGCTATCTTGCCAGTCAATTTATAAAAAGGACACTCTTCTGGCCTGAAGAACCGTTCCTCTTGTAAGCACCCTGGTTCTTGCTCACTCTCCTTCCTCATTCCCTCCTCCTTTGATGACTTTGCTCTTGGAGTGTGAGCATTTCATTCCCCATACCCCTGGTGACCAGAGAGTTGATCTTCCAAGCTAGGTCCCTCCTGCAAGTGAAAGGGGAGCTGCTGATAATCATGCCAGGCCAACATACACAAAGCGGCACTGTGCCAGGCAAGCCTGTGTCCACCTCTGCAGTCAAGGCTCTGGAGGAAGACATACCAGCAATCCCTTGCCCTGGGATAGAGCTTTACCAGTTTCAGAACTTGTCTATGCTGTTATACAAATTGAGGTTCACAAAAATTTTGTGGGTGGACAGTGAGCACAGAGGGTCCTGTTGCATGAGGGAGAGATGAGAGACACAGAGGTGGTATGGCTTGCCTGCAGAAGATCCTTCTCTGGCAGCACTGAAGGTCCTTCTCTCCCTGCCCCTGCTGTCTTCAGCACCCTTCTCATTCTTGGCACCCTCCCTTGCCATGCCACACCCTTTGCTTATAGGGCTCCCTCTGCCTGGAGCATGCTCCCTGCCCCCAGTTCCCTAGACACCTGTCTTCCAAAGCTCAGCCTGAGCCTTCTCTTTACCTCCACTGAGCCATCCCCCCATGCTCTCTGTGAGCCACATCCTCCTGTACATGACCCTAGGAGGCACAGGGGTTAAAGCAGGGTCTCTGAGAACCAGTGCCTGCTTCCAATCCTAACTTAAACACTTCCTACTTGCATGACCTTGCTTGTGATTACTAAACCTTTCTGGGCTTCAGTTGCATTAACTGTAAAGTGGGAAAATAATGGTACCCAGCTTAGTTTTTTGGCAAGGAATAGATGGGGTATTGCATATCCCATGGTCAGCACAGTCGCCTGGCACAGTCAGCGCTCCATACACCTGAGGGAATGCCTTATTACCTTTATTTCTTCTCTTCTCTTCCCTGATAAGAAAATGCCTTATTGCCTTTATCATCTGTCTCCCTGGTATCTATCCAGCACAGTGCTCAGTGTGTGGTTGGCCTTGAATCACTGTTTGTTTGAAGAATGAATAAATGCAGGAATAGGATCACACAACGAAGTGCCAATGACATGGCCATCAATCCAGACCACACCCTAGTTCAGTGCTCTTTCCACTTGCCTATGGGGTGGCCTTGTGCAGTGAGGACTTGCTGCAAATAACTCCAGAAGTCAGTAAAATGCCCCCTAGTTTGTGTATATAGCCTGAATCTCTCCCCCCATCTCAACATTTGGACCCTAAATAGCCACTGCTGGTAGAGCTAGACCCTCACTGATGTGACCCACAGCTTTGCCTTTCAGTCCAGCACTCACCGATTGCCTTCATGAAGGCTTCAAAGTTTTCCTGGCTCTGCAGTTGGTACTTGCCGGAGAAACTCATGGTGGCAATAGAGCTCCCTCTTCACGACTGACCTGCGGCTCTGCCGACCAGACTGTCCACTGTAGGCTGTTTTATAGGGGGCTCCCTTCCCTTCGAATAGCGGCCAGAGGTCAGCAGCTGTTGATTCCTTTATGGCCAGGTTCAAACATTAACTCCTGAGAGCAATGGTCAATGATAAAGAACAGGATGGGCACAGCAAAGGTTTGCTGTAATTCAGCAAACATTAATGAATATCAGTCAAGCAGGAAGCCTTATGGCCCTGCAGCCTTTAAGTGACTCTCCGCACCCCACGAAATGTGTGTATATGCAGGTATGTGTATATGTGCACACACATGTGTATGTATATAGATGTGTGCGTATGTGTTTGTACATCGGTGTTTATATATACATATATGTATTTTGTACATAAAGATGTATGAATGTGCATATATGTAATGCATATATACACATTATATGCATGTGTTTATATATGTCTGTACACATATACACACAAGTGTGTGGGTGCATGTGTACACACACAGAAAAATACCAGAGAATTCCTTTGAACTCAAAACCTCACCTTATTTACATAACCTTATGATCTCTTCTCACCCCCATTATTACACAAACTTATTTTTTAGAGTTGTTATCAGCCGCTAGTGTTATTTTGTATTCTGGGAATTCCTCCTTGATGATTATAGGCTCCTCCACAGGCCTTTTTGAGGTGTTAAAGCAGTCCATGCTAAATGGCAGGTGTAAAACATTGAGACGCATTTTATTAGGCAGAGACAAGGCAGGAGAAAGTGGCACCTGCTGACTTGCTCCAGCCCCACTGAGAAGACAGGACAAGGGATCTGGGGTTATGTGTAGGAAACTGGTCTTGTAGGGTTATGTGTAGGAAACTGGTCTTGTAGGGTTATGTGTACAGCACTGGCCTTGGGGAGATGGCCCAGCAGGGCTTCCAGTGGCCTTGGGATGTGCCAGTTTGTTGTGAAGCACAGAGAGGCGTGGTGCCCAATGGGTGCACGTCCCAGTTCCTGCCTCTGAGGCAGCTCCTTACAAGCACCCCCTCACCCCTAGATTCTCTCCCTTCTTTGTCTGGACTTTGGCGTCAACCTTTTCACCTGCAGCCTCCAGCCTTCATCCTCTGGGCCTCCTCTACTCTGTGGTTAGACAGATCATCCTGAAGCATAGGCTGAGTCGGGCCACTGCTCCAGGCATGAGCCTCAGTGGTTCCCATCACTTCAGAGGCCACAGGTCCTGGATGGCCTAGTGTCACGTGACGGGTCATGATGGCCACCCCCAATAACACTTCCATGTCCCTATCATGAGTTCTAATTTTTGGCTTGGAAAATGACTCCCATTGCCTAAACTTCTAGCAGGGCTGCCAGCCCTCAAAAGGCAACTCCAGTCTACCTTTCCATCCTTTTTCCTTCCTTCTCCTCAAGCCACAGTTCCAGCCACAGGGCCAAGTGGACACATCGGGGGCGTCCATGCCACTCTCTCTGCCCTCCGTGGTCTCCAGCATTTGGACATGTTGATCCAGCAAAGCACTTCAGAAGTTCTCTCCTCCACCCACAGTCCCAGTGCCAGGGTCCTTCTACAGCATCCCTGACAGGTGGTGTTAAGGTGTACCCTGCCACAGGGAGGTCCTCACCTTTGGAGCAGTGTGGGCAGAGAACACTCACTAATGGAGTGTCCTGCCATGCAGATTCTGGCACCAGCAGACCTTTCCCTCCAGCACAGAGGGGTGCTCTGGCCCTCCCTGCTTGGCCCTCCTCTGACAGTGTCTAGGACACAAGGTGCCTCCCAGGCCATGAATTGGGGCTGTCCCTGCAGCAAGCGAAGTGGGCCTGCATGCTGAGAACTTATGGCTTTTTATAATCACCACGACTACCTGAACAGCGGGCAGGAAGGGGCGAGGTGGCTCAAAGAAGTATGGGCACACCCACAGTCCTTCTCTCATCTTGCTCTGAGCTTTGATTATACATCTTTTAACATGTCTATTGTACTAAAGGGGTCCATATTAGACCCTGGTCTCCAGATGGGATGCTGATTTTTCATTTTTGTATATGTAAGGAAGTAAAAAATCCATTGTCTTAAGAACTGGCATGAGAATTCCTAGTGTGTGTGTGTGTGTGTGTGTGTGTGTGTGTGTGTGTGTGTAAATGACTGGATTAGCTGCCTGGGAGACAGAGTGTGTGAGACCCCAGACCTCAGACCCGTGTGTCAGCGAGAGCCAAGCTGGTGAAGAGAAGGGCAGCTCCCTCATGCAGGAGACCAGGAGAGGCTGGGTGTGTCTTCCTGTCCCTCCCCCAGACTGCAGAAAGGAGAGAGAGGAATGTGGCAGGCAGGCAGGAGAGAGGCCACCAAGAGGGCATGGGGTGATGGGTCACTGAGATACCCCCAGTGACCGCAAGGCAAGAAGAGCTCCAGGATGGCATTGGCTTTGAAGCTGCTCATTTGCTGCAGTGAATCCCCATCCATCTTTCTTTAATTTCCACCCCAACTATTTCAAAAGCTTCAGTAAAATATAGTGCCTGAATCAATATGTGAGCAAGTGGAAAATGATGCAAGGCTGAGCTTTATTTCTGGATGGATGTGATGAGGCTGAGATGGCACATGCAGAAGCAGTACCAGGAAGTGGAGTGTCTGTGGGGATGCATTCCCTACAGGGTTCCCCAGGTCCCTAGACATCCTAGGAAGGGCTTTGGAGGAATTCAAGGTCATTTTATTTAGATCCCATCTGGGTTACATGTGACACCTAAAGCCTGCACCAATAGCTGGCATATGTCTGTCTAATGACCATGTGAAGGTTCAGCCCAGGGCTAAATTCAGCTCTATACCTGAGATCCTATTCACTACCTACCTAAAGAGCTCTTCTAGCATTTGTCAAGGAAGGAATACGTAAACACTTGCTTAGATGGGGAGCTTAGGAGTTTTGCAGCCTAAAATCAATGAAATAATCACCGAGGAAAATGACCGTGATAGAGTCATTACCATGCCCAACTCCCATCACACCCATCAGTTGCTTCGTTTGGGAGAATCTGCTCCAAGTGCCCATGTTATCTCATGCCCCCAGCTGCCTGCCTGACATCCCGCTCAGATAAAGGGATGTCTGGCTTATACATTCCACAACTAGGCCCTCTCCCCTTGATCGCAAATGTCAAGTATCATGCCCCACACTGCTGCTTTCTGGGATCTACGGAGGGGAGTGGGAAGGAGCGTCATGAAAGCTTCTCCATAGAGCAAGTCAGCACCAACCCCGGAGGCCTCAGGTGAAGTAGGGACCAGGTGCACCTTTCCTGGTGTCTGAGGAACAGCAGGACCCATGAGCTGTCTCCTTGTGGACCACTCTGCCTCACCCTGCACTTCCTGCCTACCCTGTCCAGGCAACGCCTGCAGACTCAGAACAGCATTGGGAATGCAGCTGACCCAGAGGTTGGTCAAGGGCCTGGCACAACCAGTGAAGCCTTGACAGTTTCCCTGGCAGATGGGCAGCCTGACAAGTAAATTGAGCTGATCAACGCCAGGCCAGGACTCCCCCTCTCCCCCAGGTCTGAGATATGGCCATTCTTAGGCAACCCCCGATGACTTCCCTTTGTCTTTTTTTTTTGTGTGTGTGTGAATCTTGAGGGCACAGAGATCAGTAGCCATTTCAAAAACTAATACTCATGAGTTTTCCATAAAGTTAGGAGAGGGTAATGACATCTTCCACCCACTAGCTGAGCAAACACAAGAAGAGATAAGCTTAATTGCAATGACAAAGTTCAAGTGGCTTTCAAGAAAGAAAAAAAGAGACTCCCACTCTGTGGGCACAGCTTTGGAGTGTCCAAAGATTCTGGCCCTGCTCACTCCACACTAGACATCCCCTCTTCTCACATCCCTACTCAGACGGGCAGCGTGCAGGTGTGGGAAAGGAGGGGAGTCACCTCTTGGTGGCCAGGATATGACAGGTGTTCATTTTAGAACAAGCGCCTTTGACCTCAGTGCCTGCAATGCCAGCCTGCCCATTTCCTGGGTGTTTTGAACATAGGAGGTGGCCCGAGGAGCCCATAATTCTGCTACAGGCAGGGCTGCAGAGGGAAAGGACTTGGGTTTGGGCCCAGCTCTTCTTTATACCTGATGTGGAGCCTTGGTGAGCCTCTACTTGCTTATCTGTTAAATGGTCACAACATTTTTTGCCTTGTGAAATAATTGCGTAAACGAATCACAACCACAATGAGATACTATCACACACCAGTCAGAATGGCTACTATTAAAAGTCAAAAAATAACATGCTGGCAAGGTTGCAGAGAAAAGGAACATTTCAGACTACTGGTGAGAGTGTGAATTAATTCAGCCATTGTGGAAAGCAGTGTGGTGATTCCTCAAAGAACTTAAAACAGAATTACCATTTGACCCAGCAGTCCCACTACTGGGTATATGCCCAAAAGAATATAAATTGTTCTACCATAAGGACGCATGCATGAGTATGTTCATTGCAGCATTATTCACAATAGCAAAGACATGGAATCAACCTAATGCCCACCAACAGTAGACTGAATAAAGAAAGCGTGGTATACATACACCATGGAATATGATGCAGCCATAAAAAAGCATGAGATCATGTCCTTTGCAGCAACGTGGATGGAGCTAGAGGCCATTATCCTAAGCAAACGAACACAGGAACAGAAAATTAAATACTGTGTGTTCTCACTTATAAGTGGGAGCTAAACAATGAGAACACATGGATACTAGTAGGGGAACAACAGACACTGGGGCGTAGTTGAGGGTGAGGGTGAGAGGAGGGAGAGGATCAGAAAAAATACCTATTGGGTCCTATGCTTACTACCTGGGTGATGAAATTATCTGTAAACCAAACCCCTGTTACATGCAGTTTACCTAAATAACAAACCTGCACATGTACCCCTGCATCTAAAATAAAAGTTAAAATTTTTTTAAAAAACTTTAAGTGGTTATTGTAAAAATAAAAAAATTTAAAAAGAATTGTGTAAACTGTCAAGTCCTTCAGAAATGTGACACTCATATGACAGGGGATCGGAGCACTTTGCATTTGCATCTGTCAGATGTCCCAGAGGTATGACCAGCGAGGACCAATTTTTCAATCTCCTGGCTTGGGGACGAGCTTCCTTCCCATCTCTCTGGGCCAGTGGGTAGTGCCTCCATTCCCCGGTTTCCTGAAGGTGCAGCTGTGTCTTGTGCAGTGCTGAGGCTTCATCTCCTGCTCCAGATGGCAAAACCCAAGCTCCTGGCCATCTGAGTAATTTTCAATTCTGGCAACCACCTCAGGTGCCCCAGACTCAGCTCACTGCTTACTGCTCTGACTTTTAATTCCTTCTGTGTTCCTAGCATCTGGGATTTTCCTTTTTTCTTGTGACCTCAGCTGAAAAATTATTATGCTTCAACCTGGACACTCTAGCCATGCTGCGGGAAGAGTTTGCATCAGCTTCATTGGCCATGTCGTTGGTCCTGAAAGTCTTGTGTTTTTACTATGTGCTGTTTTCAATCCTTTTGGTAGAATTTCAGGATGTGCAAACCGCAACAAAAAACTATTTAAGGATATTTCTAAGACTTATTTTATATACACCAATTTTGTTTCTTCAATCATGGTAAGTTCTTTAAAGAATTCCCCTGTAACAGCTGTACAGTATTTGGAATGAGACCTGCTCTAAGGAACCATTCAATATCCTTAGCATTTTTAGAGGCTTCCCTGCTAAAAGAACCCATGGGGAGGAGCAAAAATAAAAATATGCTAAACAAAAATTGTGGGTGGTGGTTTGCACTGTTGAATTATACTACACAGAAAAGTGTATTGAATGAACAATCTTTTCCTTTACATGATAACTTGTTAGGAATGTCCTTGTTGTATGACATGAGGCCTTCCCATGATTTACCTTAGGACTCCCACCAAGCTCTCCTTTACATGGTAGAGGGTAGAGCCCGTGGATGGCGTGGCAGGCAGTGGCAATCATGTGTCAGCTGATGTAATCAAGACAGAACCCAAAACTTACCTGCAAGCCTGGTTCATTAGGTTCCTATTTTGGCTGTAAGAGCTAATACTGTTTATTTGTCCCATGTCCCTTGTCCCTGAGGGTTGAATGTCCAGTTGGTGGTTTAATGTCAGCCTGACACTTTAAAGAGAAATATCTCCCAAGCAATCCTGGACCAATTTATCACCCCAGTCCTGCAACCCTGCAACCTCTCTGCTTTAAAGCCATGGGTAATCAACCCTTCAGAGCCACGGCAGCACTGCCCTGGCCTCCTTCAAAACTCAGAGCTTTGGTTCCTCTCCATGAAGCCCTCCTGAGGTCTCTGCCTTCTCTGCACCCCTAGACCAACATCCCCAAAGCAATTTCTATTCTATTCTAATACACTAATAATGATAACAGCTTTCATTAATTTAACACTTGGTGCTTTCTCTGTACTATCTCATTGAATTCTCAAAATAATACTTTAAGACAAGCAATATGTTCCCATTTTTCAGTTGAGAAAACTAAGGTATACAGAGGTCCATAACTGCCTCCATTTGCCCAGATTGGAAGTTGCCAAGTAGAAACACAAATCCAGCCTGCTGGACTCCAAAGCTTGTGTTTTTGACTTTTATTATTTCCATATTATAATTTTTAAAGATATAGCTTGTCTTCTCGCTTAAAAATTCTTCTAGGCTGGAGCTTAGCACTACACTTTTCATGGAGTATATGACTAGAAAATGTTGACAGGACAATAGTCTAGCCACCACTGATTTCTTGAGTCATTCATTGATGGGTTACTGTTGGTTCAGAAATGTCTTTTTATTCCAGAACAAAGAGCCTCACAGTCCATGTGCATGAAGAGAGATCTCAAGAAATTAAAGATCCTGGGGTGGCTGCTGGACTCTTGTGTTTATCAGAGGTTCAGTGTAAAGCATATATACTGAATCCCAATTCTTCAAAGCAAGGATTTACAGTTCTTCCAATACTGTATTTACTGGAATTACCCCATCTGGGTCATGCTGTAATTATGTATCTTGTGTTTCATCATAATCACAAGCATCATCCTATTCCCTCCCCTTGGGTTTCCTTCTTCAACTTCAGATCCTGCTGAAGCCACAAGACATCAGATGACTTATCCACTGCTTAATTATTCACTCATCAAGCATCCTCTGACCTATTATGTGAGATTTGTGCGGGGCTAACATTTTGAATGTATGAAAAACTTGCTATCTAGTAGGAAACATAAAGGGAGTTAAAGCTGCCTTTTGAGTAGGATGAAGTTTGAATAAAACTTCAAAATCTAGATAATATTTGAATTAAGAGCAAGAAGAAATTTTCTGGTCAGGGAAGAAGTCAAGATGCTTTCATGGAGAAAGAGCGAAGCATGCAAAAGCACAAAAATTGCTGCAGAAGCAAGGCCTTGATTCAGGACAGGACAGAGAGGAGCATGGGAGAGTCTGAGTGGGGAGATGGATGTGGGCGCTGGAGAGGGGACCACACTAGCTAGTGAGAGGGAGGTGGACTGGACCATGCTTTCCCAGAGTGGGCATATATCAGCAATTGAGATGGTTTTAGATGGTACGTGGATGAATATTTTTAATATTAATAATTAAGCATTTAGTCCAATATGTGTTAGAAGAATATAGACCAACTTATGATCTCATGGATATTATTGCTTAGAATATGGTCAAGCATTTTTAGGGAATCATTGAGAGAAAAATAGTGCATAAAATAGTACAAGAGCGTTATCAGTCAGAGTCCAATATGGAAGGCAGATATTAACCTAGGCATTTCAAATGAGGGAATTTAATACATGAGATTGGTTACCTGGAGTGGAAAGAGCTGGGAGAGCAGAGGAAGAAGGATTCAAAGCTGCTAATGCCTGGGCTGGAACCCAAGTATCTACAACTGCTTCTACAGTGTCTTCAGTTCTGGATTCAATAAAGTGGCGTCACCTCCACCAGGGTTTGAACCATGAAAAAGGTGCTTCCTCTGCTCGGGCTGCTGGGAGCTAGACCCACTGCATGGCTGCAGCCACAATAGCAACCACTAGAATTTCCAGCAAAGCTGCAGAAGGAAGATTGTCTCTTACTTCTGACTTCTAATTCCCACTGAGCAGGTGATTGGCATATTCTAGTCCTAGCAGAGACACAGCTAGCAAAGAAGTCTGGAAAATACAATGTGTAGACACCATGATCCCCAAATACAGAATAGAGTGATGAAGTGAGGGTTAGGAGCTGAGACATGCAGGTAAACAACTGGCACAAGGACACACAAAGATAAGACAAAAACTAAAATAGTGAATCTGATATGCTAGTGACAAAATTTTGGATTTGCTGCAGTAGGTAATGAAAAGTCAGCAAAAGTTCTCACGCAGAAGAGTGACATGGCCAGATCTGTGATTTTTGAAGATTACTTCCAAGGCAGCAGGAAAGATGGGATGGGGGGAGACCTGGAGGTACAGAAATGGGTTAGGAAACTCTGGCAAAAGTTATGGCAAGAGAGGATGAGGACCTGAATTTGGGAGTAGGCAGGAGGGTATGAATTGGAGGGACATTCTGTAACTGTAACAGAGAGCATTTGGGGGTCCATCATAGGTGGGCATGAGGGAAGAGCAGAAGCTGAAGATACCCCTGGAAGCCCACCTTGGGTGACCATGGGCATGTTAATGGCACCCACTAAGGAGAGCAATGTAGGGAGAAAAGTCATCCTTGCCCCTCCTTTTGCCCCCTTCTCCTAGCTAGAAGCATTTCTCTTCACTCTGAACTGTCCTGCTCTAGATCACTGGGCCTCTTATTTTTTAGACCACTGTATCTTACAACCTCACCTAGGTTATGCCTTCCTTTCCTCTGGACACTAAGGTGCTCGGTGGCAGGGTACAGGGATTCATTTTGTCTCCCCTACTGGTCTTTCCTGGTCCTTGGCACAGACAGGCTCAATACATGTCTGGTGAATTAAGCAATGGCTGTAATATTGGGACAATGGCCATTTGTGTGTTTGCACACTACGCCTCCCCCTCTCCTCCAGTTCCAGTAGATCGTCTGTCCATTGCCACGTGTCCTTAAAGTTCTGAGAGCAAAACCCAACATCTGTGTTGACAGCTCAACAGAAATAGCTAAAGCCAGATGAAAGTTGTTTAGCAGAATTCATTCAGGCTGCTGATCCCTGCACCAGGCTCCCCTTACCCAATGGGATTTCCTGGTTTCTGAAGCTCAGGACAAAATATACACAGTATGGGCTCAGTAAAAATTTATTAAGCTACAGTGAATCAGTCTCTGCTTGAAAATGTAGCATCTTCTCATTTAAACAATTGCTTGAAGGGTCTGTGACCTGGAATAACCAAGAAGTTTGAACTTATTTGGATTCATGAAGAAATAGGTTGGGGGGCAGATAACCAAAATATCTATCACGTTTTTTCACTTGTTTTTTAGAGACGGGGTCTTGCTCTGTTATCCAGGCTGGCTGGTAGCAGTTTTGATTACAGATCAATTACCTAGATTATAGACCATCTGTGATTTGAATGGCTACCGTGTAGCCATTACCAAGGATGAATGAGTTCTGTTGGTAATGACTTGGAAATATTTTCCAAAAATGTACTGTTAAGGTAACAAAAGGTAGTTACAGAAAAATATGTAGAATGATTTTATTTCAGTTAACAACCCAGTAACCAAAATTACGTATGCCATACACCCATACACATCCACAAAGTCCGGAAGGGCACATCCCAGACTGTGAATAGTGGTTACCTCTGAAGAGAGCAGTGGGAAGGGAAGGGGAATATAAAGATACTTTTTACTTGTTTTATTTGATTTTTTCACAATATCTTCACATATTTCTTATATGATTACTTTTTTTTTTAATGAGGCAGTCATTGCTTTGTGAGAAATATTCAGTCCACTCTCTCCCTCTTCCTGAGAAGGATGAGTGCTAGTTCCCAACTGTAGAGATGAGAAAAGCCGCTGCCCAGCCTCCTTCCAGACCTGGACCACAGTCGCTTGTCTCACTAGGACTCAGAGGTGCACTGCTGTAGAGTCACCGCATTCCTCCAGCCGGTCCTTGGCTGTTACAGCCACACACACAGCTAATACTTGCTGAATGCTCACTGCTATTAGGCACACTATATTAATTTTCCCATTTACAGTACATTATAATTCATTTTAGAGATAAGCACTCTGGGGCACAGAGAAGTAAGGGAACTTAGCCAAGTTCTCTCAGGGCAGAAACAGAGGAGCCAGGATTCAAACCCACAGAGTCCAGCTCCAGAGCATGGACCCATCCCTACCAGTCACATTGATGCAAGATGAGAAGTCAGACTCCATCTGATTTCCCAGGTGGATTATGATCCATGGGGATCCACACTCACCAAACTCATAGGAAACTTGTATGGAGACCAGGCCAGATGGATCCATTCATGTCAAAGCTGCTCCGATCTTCTTCTCTTTATTAGTACTAGACCTAGGAGTGATCCCAGTTAGAAGAAACCACTGTAAATCCTTCATCAGGATGCTTCCCATAAATGTGCCAAACATTTGGGACTGCCTCACATAAATGGTACCTCACCAAATGCTCCGTATAGTTTTTGATCTGCCAAGATCTCAGAGTGGAAGATTTCATAACTGAGCTTTCCTGCAGCATGGCCAATAGGCACAGAGGTACCGAAGGCTCCATTCGGTCGGAGGTTGAAGGGAAAATCTTGAGGTGCCCTGAATTATTATCTCTCCCTTTGTGCCTCAAACTCTGGTTGAACTATTAAATTTAAAACATTAGAAAATTTGATTAAGAAGCAAAGTTTTCAGAAAGCACAAAAAGCAAATTTTCTACTGCTTACTTTCAGTCTATTGATCTATTACTAGGAGGATTTCAACTTTTAGGAAATATTAATCATAATATTAAGTCAAGGGTACAATGAGAAAATTGGACAGGGAGGTTTGGGTTTGTAATGACATTTCTTTTTCTATTTTCTTCTGCTTATTACTTGTGTAAGTTTCTTGAGGGCAGGGACTGTTTTTATTTGTATCTCTGGAGCTTGGCAAAGTTGCTGAGATTAGAAGGCACTGAGAATGTGCTTATTGAATGCCTGAGTGCACGGATAAGAATAAAACAAATGTCTCCAGTTTCATCTACAAGTGCTTCTTGGCAGGATCTTTGATTACACATAAAAACAAATGCCTTGCACAGAGTGAAGATGAGAGAATAATTAGAGGTCTACGAGATAGAGCCAAGACTCTATTTAGCAATATTCTTATAAGCATCTCATAGAAACTCTAAAGCCCACTGCCCTAGATGGGAAGTGGCCCCAGGGAAATTGCCTGGGAAGTACAAGATTGCATGATGCAGGCAGAGCTCACAAAATGCACATTGTCCATTGAGAGTGGGAGTGAGACAGATCACCCCATCTGCTGATAGGTGTGTGTATGTGGGACGGGTTAAATCACAGGTTCAACTTTGACCCCAAATTCCTCTTTGACCAAAGCTTTTGACAGTTAGGTTAAATTTCAACTAATATTATTTGACTACACTGCTCCCTTATAACTTATGGGACTGGAAGCTGTCAGCCTTCTTTGGATGTTTTTACTGAAAGTAGCTCTGATGGGAATCGTTTTCCAAAGTCAGTGCAAAGTGAAACCCTAGTGTTTTGGGAAGGGGCAGGATTAGCCATGATAATTAGGATTCAAACCTTTATTTACAGAGATATGTGGGATAAATGGGACCATTCAGGGGTTTCAAACCATTCACTTGACTCCTTTTCCAAATAAGCCAAAGTGAACAAACTCCTGACCCTAGTTTTTGTATATATTTTTGGTTAATATCAATTGAAAGACTGATTCAAGAGACTTCGAATTCCCGAAGACTATAATAAAATGATGAAACCTTATCCTACGTAGCACAGCTCACCAAGACTTACTCATGTCCAACTACCTATTTGGTAGACACAATGTATACACTGACTTCCATTTTACCAGAAAGAAAACTGAGACTCAGAGAGGAAAGTGTCTTGCCTGAGGCCACACAGCCAGGAAACAGCAGAGAAGGCAGGTCTTCTGAGAATAATCCTGAACGGTCTCCACTACGTTGGAGATGCCTCCCTTTCATATCTTTATCCTAAATGCAAGGCAACTACTAACCCAGGAATGTTTCTGCACATATCTATTAATGCAGCAGACACTTTGGTTGCTTCCTAGCATCCAACCCTACCCATCGTCCTTGCTAACAAAACACAATCTTTTTCATATACCAGCAGTGTATGAGGGCTCTAATTTTTCCATGTTTGCCAACTGCTGTTACAACTCCATCTTTAGTATAGCCATTCTAGTGGGTATAAAGTGGTATTGCATTGTAGTTTTAATTTATATTTCTCCCATGACTAATGATCTTGAGCATTTATTGGCCAATTATATATCTCCTTTGGGGAAAAGTCTATTGAAATTCTTTGCCCATTTTAAAGCTAGGTTATTTGTCTTTTAGTTGTTGAGTTGCAAGAGATCGTTATATATTCTAGACACAAGTTCCTTATCAGATATATAATTCGCAAATATTCACTCTCATTTTGTGAGTTGTAATGGTGTCCTTTGAAGCAAAAAAAAAAGCTTTTAATTTGGATTAAATTTAATTCATCATTTTTCTTTTATTATTTGTGCTTTTGATGTTGTATCTAGAAACCATTGCCTAAACCTATAGACCATAAACTTTTAAAGTGTTCATTGATAACAGTCAGGTTGAAATCTATCGTCTTGCTATTTGTTTACTATTTGTCCCATTTAATGTATTCTTTATTTCTTTTCTCTGTCTTCTTTTGGTTTACTAGATATGAAATATTTATTATTTTTGTGATTCCTTTAGGGTTTAAAGTACACATCTTAACTTATCACATGCTATCTTTAAGTGATAATATGTCTTTTCAGATATAGTACAAGAACCTTACAGTTTTCTTTCCTTTCTTTCTTCTTTCTCTTTCTTTCTCTCTTTCTCTTTCTTTCTTTCTTTTTCTTTCTCTCTCTCTCTTTCTTTCTACCTTACAGTAGTTTTCTTCCCCTTCCTCCCTCCTCCCTCTTTTCTTTCTTCCTTCTTTCTTCTTTCTTTCTTTTTCTTTCTTTCTTTCTTTCTTTCTTTCTCTTTTTCTTTCTTTCTTTTTCTTTCTTTCCTTCTTTTTCTTTCCTCTCTTTCTCTCTTTCTTTCTTTCTGAAGGAGTCTTGCTCTGTCACCCAGGCTGGAGATCAGCAGCATGATATTGGCTCACTGCAGCCTCTGCCTCCCTGGTTCAAGTGATTCTCCCACCTCAGCCTCCTGAGTAGCTGGGATTACAGACACCTGCCATCATGCCCAGCTAATTTTTGTATTTTTAGTAGAGACAGGGCTTTACCATGTTGGCCAGGCTGGTCTCAAACTCCCAACCAAAGGTGATCCACCTGCCTTGGCCTCCCAAAGTGCTGGGATTACAGGCGTGAGCCACCGCGTCCAGCCCTTACAGTAGTAGACTTTAATTTCTTCCCGCTAGAATTTTGTGCTACTGTTATCATCCATCTTACCTTTATGTATGTTATAAACTTCAGACTACATTGTTATTATTTAGGTTTAAATGACTATCTTTTAAAGAGATGTAAATAATAATTAAAATTTCATCACATAGTTACCATTTCCTTTGGTATTCATTCATTTTGTGTATCCAGACTTCCATTTGGTATCATTTTCTTTCTTCCTATAAGACTTTAATATTTCTTGTAGTGTGGGTCTGGTGGTTATAAATTCTTTCAGCTTGTTTGTCTGAAACAGTCTTTATTTTGCCTCCATTTGTGAAAGGTAGTTCTACTGATACAGAATTCTGGGTTGACAGAGTTTTTTTTCATTCACTGCTTTAAAGATGTTGCTTCACTCTGTGCTTGTGTTGTTTTCTATGAGAAGTCTTCTATAATTTTTATCTTTATTCTTCTAGGTAACATGCCTTTTCTTTTGGCTGTGTTAAATATTTTTCTCTTTATCATTGATTTTTGAACAATTTGATTATGATGAGCTGTGGTATAGTTTTTTCATGTTTCTTGTGCTTGGGGTTTGTTGAGCTCCTTGGATCTACATGTTAAAGGCTTTGGTTATTATTTCTTCAAATATTTTTCCCATACCTCTTTCTCTCTCCTCTCCTTTGGGGGGTCCAATCAGACTTCTATTAGCCTACTTGAAGTCTTATAGCTCACTGCCTCATAGCTTAGTAGAGAAGGCAGGAAAGCGAGTTGGCTCTTCCAAGTGCAATGTATCATATGCGGAACAAGAGAAATGTCCAAGGGGCTATAGGCACAGAGATAAAGGGCACATGACTTGCCTGAAGGAAAGCTGGTGGGATAAGTCAGAGGAAACTTCACAGAGACAGCTCTGTTTATTTTTAAAATTCTATTTGTCCCTGTGTTTGTCATTTGGTATAGTATTTACTGCTGTGTCCTCAAGTTCACTAATCTTTTCTTTTATAATGTCTAACTTTTTTTTTTTGAGACAGGTCTTGCTCTGTCGCCCAGACTGGAGTGCAGTGGTGCAATCATAGCTCACTGCAGCCTTGAATTCCTGGGCTCCAGTGATCCTCCCACCTCAGCCTCCTGAGTAGCTGAGACTACAAATGTGTGCCACCACACCTGGCTAATTTTTAAATTTTTTTGTAGAGACGGGGTCTTGCGATGTTGTCCAGGCTGGTTTTGAACTCCTGGCCTCAAGCAATTCTCCTGCCTTGGCCTCCCAAAGTGCTGGAATTACAGGCATGAGCTACCATGCTTGGTTGCTAATATTCTTTTAATACCATCCAGTTTATTTTTCATCTCAAACATTCAGACATTGCAGTTTTCATCTCTAAACATTCAATGTGGTTTTGTTTGGTTGGTTTTTAGATATTTTCTATCTTCACTTAACATGGTAAACATATAGAATACAAGAATAGTAACTGCTTCAATATCCTTGTTTTCTATTTTTAGCATATTCATAAATTTTGAAAAGGTACAATTGATTGAATTTTCTACTCTTTATGGCTATTTTTTCCTGTTTCTTTGCATGTTTAGTAGTTTTTTATTGGATGCCATATGTTGTAAATTTTACTGTGTTGAGTAGAGAATAGTTTTGTATCCCATAAATATTCTGGGTCTTTTGCTCTGAGATGCAGTTTAGTTACTTTGAAATACTTTGATCTTTTTAAGTCTTGCTTTTAAGATTTGATAGGCAGGACTGTCTGGCCAGGGCTAATCCTTCACCTAGTACTAAGACAAGACGTTTTAGCATAATGTGTTCAATGCCCATAAATGATGAGATTTTTCATTTGTGCTGGTAGAAACAGGCGCTATTCCTGGCCCTATGTGAGTGCCAGATACTGTTACCCTCTTATCCTTTTGGTTGGTTCTTTCCTTAGCCTTGGATAATTTCCTTGCTGATCTGTTGTCTGGGGACTACTTGAAGATCTGCAGATCTCTGGAGTTCTTACCTGTGCATCTGTCTCCTCTCCAGTACTCTTTTCTGCAAACTCTTGCTGACTTGGTCTTCCTGAACTCTTAGCTCTGTTTCCTCAACTCAAGGAATTAACCACAGTCTGCCTGGGTTTTGCCTAACTGTGCCATAACCTAGAAACTCTCTCAAAGCAATAAGCTGGGGCAATTGTAAGATTCTCATAATTTATTTCCAGGTTCTCAGAGATCAGTTTCCTTCATTGTATGATGACTAGTGTCTTGGAAACTATTTTATGTAGTTTGCTTTTTGGTTGTGCCATGCAGAATGATTAATCTTGGCCAGAAACAGGAGTTAAAATTTTTTTGATAATCATATTATCTTCAAGTAGCGATAATCTTAGCTCTTTCCTTCCAATTCTTCTATATATCATTTCATTTTCTTGCCTTATAGTCTTGGCTAAAACTGCCAGAACTGTGATAACAATAATGGTAATAGTGGATTATCTTGTTTTATTCTAAATTTTAAAGTATTCTTGCATTTTTAACTATGGCGGTTGGTGTAGGTTTTAGCCAATCAATTTCACTTGCTTCCTTATTTTTCATTTGAGTCCAAGGGATCTCCTTAGCGCAAATGTATGCTAAGCATTGTACTTTAGGTGCTGGGTGTAGAAAGAGCCAGGTGATAGAGTCTTTGAGGAAGGGAGCTCAGAGTTTAATAGGGAAGGCAGAAAATCAAGTCAGCTTTTTCAAATGCAGTGTGTTAGATGCTAAACAAGAGATACATCCAGGTTACTATGGGCACAGAGATAAAGGGCATATGACTTGCCTGAAAGAAAGAGAGTGGGAGAAGTCATGGAGGACTTCACAGAAATGGTAATACTTAGGCCTAATATTGAAGGATAAACAGGAGTTCAACAGTCTGACCAAAGGGGAATAGCACTATGGGCAGAAGGAAAAGCATATACCAAGCAGAAACGTGTGAAAGCAAATAGTCAATGTGACTAGAGAAGTGAGTGCTTGAGGAAATAATGGGAATGAAGTCAGGTCTTGATGGTTTTTGGATAATTTTTAACTTTTATTGTGGAGAGTATCTCTTTTCTGAGTTGATCTGTGAATCTTCTCTATTGAAATATAGGGCATATAACCCTGGAAAGTATATTGCCTATTCTCATTGTTTTATGGTTTTTTTTGTGTTAACCAGATGAAGTGATAAAAGAAGTCTAGCAGAATAAGAAGACCTGGGCAGGGCACAGTGAAGAGGGGCATTTTAGCAATCCTGCTTTATACCCCAGTGTTTCCGGTTTTTAAAATTCATAAACCAATAACATTTTCAAAAGAATTTTGGTTGCAAAGATGTTAAAATATAAAACTAATAATTACTATAGATGATCACATCATAATATAAATAACAAAAAAGGCAAGAAAGGCATAATCTGAGCCCGGTTGGCAACCTGATTCTGATTTGCTCTGTAACCCAGTCACGATGTAACAGTTGGGTTTCCAGGTTCAGAATGAAAATATAGAACAGCAGGCTGATAACAAAATTAATATCTTTGGCAGGTAAGTCTTCTTATGTGTGCCTCGCGGTCAAACCAGGTCCTCTCTACTTCTCCACTCCCATGTAGGCGGCCTCCCACTCTAGGATGGGAGGAGTGCAGAACAGAGGTCAGGAGCCCGGTGCCAGCATGTATGTCCCAGTAGGGTGGCTCACACCTTTAGTGACCCTGAGCCTACTTTTCCTATCTAAAAACTTGGCCCTGTGACCATTGACCATTTGGCCATGAGCCACATATCGTAATAGTCTTATTCAGATTGTGAAGCAGCAATCTAATCAACGGCTCTTTTGATTAGACCTGGATAGTATGAAGTCAACACTCAATTCCAGAGGCTTCCAGTGACCCTAGAAAATGGGCAGAGCTGTACCATGGCTCCCCTCTAGGTGAAAGGTCTCGTCAGTCTTGACAAAGTTGACTAAGGACGTTTGAACCTATGACTACACAGATTGCCTCACCTCTTCCCAGTAAGTGTGAACTCTCCCAACCCAGTTTTTCATTTACGTGTCCATGGATGGAATGAGGAATTAGCACCGCAGCCATTATCAAAATCATTACTATAAGAAATTTTGTACTTCTCTAGAAAGGCCATTTGTTCTAGGATCTGAAGGAGAAGGGTAGAGCTCAGGTCACTTCCTCAGGCTGATCCGTTTATCTTTCCTGATAGTCAGTTTCTGATAAATGCAGCCCTTTTGAGATATTTTGCTTTTTTATTGCCCTGGATGTCCTTGGTCACTCAGCACACCCAGGATGCTTAGCTAATATTATCTTGGTGAAGGTGGGGGAGATTGGTGTCCTGTTTGTATCTGCCAAGTTAGTGACCAGCTCTTCATCCCTGCAAAAGGCAGTATGAGGTGCTGGTTCAATGCATATCAGAAGACCACCCACAAGCTGGGATTCTAAACCTGCTGTCTAAAGCAAGTTGTGTCCTCTCCCCAGCCAGCTTGCCCACAGCATCCAAAATCCAGATCATCCATGAATGTCAAAGTTGACAGATCTTTGAGGACATTAATTCTAAGAAATTATAACTAAGAGTCTTTAGGAGCCTAGAGAGCCCAGAAACACCTGAATGTGTAAAATTTCAGATTACATTTTTCTGTTAAGGCTTTCAATAGATTCTCAAACTCAACCTTCCCAAAAGTTCAAGAAGCCTTGACTTAATGCAATCCCTTGTTAACTAATGAGCAAACAGAGAAGTGAAGTAATCTGCACAAGTAACACAGGTAGGAAGGAGTGGAGCTGGAAGAGAACTTGGGGTCTGCTACATTCCACTCTCTACTCCCACTTGGAATCTAGAGCAGAATTCCCCAAAGTGGTCCACTCAGTTCCTATATCAAGTTAAACATTCAGACGTCTAGGTCGATCACAGACCTACTGAGTCAGAGTGTCTCAGGACAGGGCCTAGGTGTTTAGCAAGCTCCCCTGGTGTTTTGGGGACACACTAAAGTTTGGCAATCCAGGACCCTTCCCCAAATTAAAAAACACACAAAAAAGATAAAGTAATGAGATGGCTGTAACCAGTTTCAACTCTTTTAGCTACTTTCTCCACATTTCTAAATGACATGTTTTTATAAGCTTTCTTTCCTCCTCTTCCCCATTTTCCTCCTCATTTTCCTTTTAGCTTAAGATATTATCACCTGATTTATTATCATGGAAATTAAGGATCATGAGACTGATTTGGTTTTCAGGTGCCCACCTGGGCACACCCCTATCATCTCCATTTTCAGGGAATGCTCCAGAATCACAACTGACTTACCCCACTTCACCTGTCACAGCAGGTTCAATCTCTGTTTATCTGGGAAAGCACTGGAGAGCTGCTCTATGACCCATATTCCTAGCTGCCTTCCACAGCTTCCCTGATCCCACAACACACTTAGGAATCATTAACAAACCTCAGTAGGAACATGCAGGTAAGGGAGGGGATCTTTGCATTCTCCTGATTTGCAAGGTCTACCTGCAACCTCTCTGCTACCCTTCTCCTATGCTCCAGTGTTTTCATTCCCCTGCCTGCACACTTTTCACTGTATATCATCTTCCCAATTCATCAGTGTTGATAAAATACTCCATAATTTTTCATTGGTTGTTCTCTCATTTATGTTCACTTTTTTTTAAAAGGGTCCTCTGCTAAGGACTCAGTAGTGTAATATTCTTTGTTTTCTCCACTTAGGATGGGATGGTTCACATTCTCACCACAGACACCTGCAATCCTAGCTACAGGAGAGCCCCTTGGCCCTCACAGGCCCTGAGTGTAGTATAGAGAGCTGCCTAATGTCCCAGAGAAGGAATTTACTCTGGGTCACATCCTCCTCCTGGGACCCAAATGCTACAACATGGCACAATTTTGAGAGTGGAGCCAACACCACACAACATCCTGCTCTGGGATACCTACCCACTCAGAGAGCTGCAGCATTACAACCCTGGCTGGACCCAGCAATGCGGCTGTGTTCCTAGCACCCAAGCCCCTGCAGTGGCCTACACCCCAGGGAACAGAGAGTTCAGCACCTCAGGGAGGCTGCTCCTAGGACATAGGGAGCCAAAACATATGTTCCACAGAATTTGAGAGCCACCTGCTTGGGACCACCGCCATTGACTGTAGTCCCACTCCCTCCAGAGAAGGGGCTGCTGTGTACCTGTATGAGCCATCTGGGGGCCCAAAACCCAGCCTGACTGGGCCACCAGTGCCATCACAGGTGCTCATGCATACTGCATGGGGGCCTGAGGACTGGCTGTCTGCCCAGACCACCACAGCCACTGCATATATCTGCACTTGTTGCCCAGGGCCCAAAGGACTGGCTTTCCTGGACCACCACTGCCATTGCAGACACCTGCATATGCTGCCCAAGAGGCTGAGGACTGGCCTTCCTGGACTTCTACCACCATTGCTCACATTCTTACATACCACCTGGGGGCCCAAAGATTGGCCTGCCTGGCCTGCTGCCACAATCATGCCATCACCACTTTGGACACTCATGTGTCCTAGCCAGGGTCCCAAGAACTAGCTCACCCTAACTGTTGCTGTCATTTCAATTGCCTGATATGCTTCCTGGGGGCTCAAGGACTGTCCTACTCATCTCACTGCTATTGCCACCTGTGTGCCCTGCCCAGGGGTCCAAGGACCAGACTGATCAGGGCTTGCAACCACAACAGATGGTGCTCAGCCACACCACTCAGGGGCCTAAGAACTGGCCTGCCTGGTACCCCAGTTCCCAGGAAAGCCTCACCACAACCTCTACAAACAATAGTAGCCTAAGCCACTGAGAAACTCACTGACACCACTGACATTGATTATAGCCAAATAAATCATGCAGAGTACACTATGGTGCCTACCCAGAACCACAGCAAAAGTACCCTACCCAACCAACACTATGGATATATCTATAGGAAGAAGACTTTCCCTATGAAGGCTATTCCAAAAATTGGAAGAACCAACTATTACACCAGATGCACAAATATCAACATAAGTACACAAGAAACATGAAGAAGCAAGGAAACATGACATGTGAAACACACACACATGCACACACACACTCTAATTCTTCAGTAATAGGCTCCAAAGAAAATGAAATAAATGAAATGCCTGAAAAAGGAATTCAAAATAATGATCTTAAGGATACTCAGTGAGATATAAGAGAACACAGATAGATAATACAAAGAAATAAGAAAACTATTCTATGATTTGAATGGAAAATTTTAAAAAGAAGTCAAAATCATAAAAAAAGAAACAAACAGGAATCCTAGAATCCTGAAACTGAAGAATTTAATGAATGAAAAAAATATATAATACAGCTTCAACAATACCAGATCAAGAAAAAAATGAATTTCTGAATTTGAAGACAGATCTGAAATAACCCAGTCAGACCAAAAAACAAAAAATAAATAAATGAATTAAAAAGAATAAAGAAACCTACATAACATGGGGAACACCATCAATAGAACAAACATTCAAATTTGGAAGTTCCAGAAGGACAATAAATAGGGAAAAACAAAGAAAATCTATTTAATGAAATAATAGCTAAAAATTTCCCAAGTAAATGAAGAGATATAAACATTGACATACAGGAAGCTCAAAGGTACTCAAATAGATTCAATCCAAAAAGATCTTCCTTGAGGCACATCACAGTCAAATTGTCAAAAGTCACAGATATAGAGAGAATTCTAAAAACAGCAAGAGAAAAATGTCAAGTCACATATAAGGACATTTCTATTAGACTAACAGCATATTTCTTATCAGAAACATTATAAGTCAGGAGAGAATGGGATGATATATTCAAAGTACTGGAAGAAAAAAAAGTGGCAGCCAAGAATACTATACACAACAAAGCTATCCTTCAGAAACAGAAGAGAAAAAAAGTTTTTTTTTCCAGAAAAGCAAAACCTAAAGGAATTCATCACCACTAGACTGGCCCTACAAGAAATATTAAGGAAGTCCTACATTTGGAAGTGAAAAAACAATGTCTACCACCATGAAAACACACAAAAGTACAAAACTCACTGAGAGAGTAGACACACAAATGAGAAAAAGAAAGGAATCAAATATCACTGCAGAAAACCACCAAATTGCAAAAGTAAATAATAAGGGAGAAAGAAAGGAACAAAGGATATACAAAACAATAAGAAATCAATGAACAAAATGACAGCAGTAATTTATCACTTATCAATAATAATGTTTAATGTAAATGGTTTAAATTCCCTAACTGAAACATAAAGACAGATGGAATGAATTTTAAAAAAGACCAAACTTTATGCTGCCTACAAGAACTCACTCCACCTAGTTTCAGACACACATAGACTGAAAGTGAAGAGATGGAAAAAGATATTCCATGCAAACAGAAACCAAAATTGTCCAGAAGTAGCTATACTTATATCAGATAAAGAAGTTTTTAAGTAAAAATTTAAAAAGACACTCTTTAGTTTAATTACATCCCATTTGTCAATTTTGGCTTTTGTTGCCATTGCTTTTGGTGTTTTAGACATGAAGTCCTTGACCATGCCCACGTCCTGAATGGTATTGCCTAGGTTTTCTTCTAGGGTTTTTATGGTTTTAGGTCTAACATTTAAGTCTTTAATCCATCTTGAATTAATTTTTGTATAAGGTGTAAGGAAGGGATCCAGTTTCAGCTTTCTACACATGGCTAGCCAGTTTTCCCAGCACCATTTATTAAATAGGGAATCCTTTCCCCATTTCTTGTTTTTGTCAGGTTTGTCAAAGATCAGATAGTTGTAGATATGTGGCATTATTTCTGAGGGCTCTGTTCCATTCCATTGGTCTATATCTCTGTTTTGGTACCAGTACCATGCTGTTTTGGTTACTGTAGCCTTGTAGTACAGTTTGAAGTCAGGTAGCGAGATGCCTCCAGCTTTGTTCTTTTGGCTTAGGATTGACTTGGCAATGCGGGCTCTTTTTTGGTTCCATATGAACTTTAAAGTAGTTTTTTCCCAATTCTGTGAAGAAAGTCATTGGTAGCTTCATGGGGATGGCATTGAATCTATAAATTACCTTGGGCAGTATGGCCATTTTCACGATATTGATTCTTCCTACCTGTGAGCATAGAATGTTCTTCCATTTGTTTGTATCCTCTTTTATTTCATTGAGCAGTGGTTTGTAGTTCTCCTTGAAGAGGTCCTTCACATCCGTTGTAAGTTGGATTCCTAGGTATTTTATTCTCTTTGAAGCAATTGTGAATGGGAGTTCACTCATGATTTGGTGCTCTGTTTGTCTGTTATTGGTTATAAGAATGCTTGTGAGTTTTGCACACTGATTTTTTAGTCTGAGACTTTGCTGAAGTTGCTTATCAGCTTAAAGAGATTTAGAGCCTCTGCACAGCAAAAGAAAACACCATCAGAGTGAACAGGCAGTCTACAGAATGGGAGAACATTTTTGCAATCTACTCATCTGACAAAGGGCTAATATCCAGAATCTACAATGAACTCAAACAAATTTACAAGAAAAAAACAAACAACCCCATCAACAAGTAGGCGAAGGATATGAACAGACGCTTCTCAAAAGAAGACATTTATGCAGCCAAAAGACACATGAAAAAATGCTCATCATCACTGGCCATCAGAGAAATGCAAATCAAAACCACAATGAGATAACATCTTACACCAGTTAGAATGGCGATCATTAAAAAGTCAGGAAACAACAGGTGCTAGAGAGGATGTGGAGAAATAGGAACACTTTTACACTGTTGGTGGGACTATAAACTAGTTCAACCATTGTGGAAGTCAGTGTGGTGATTCCTCAGGCATCTAAAACTAGAAATACCATTTGATCCAGCCACCTCATTACTGGGTATATACCCAAAGGATTATAAATCATGCTGCTATAAAGACACATGCACACGTATGTTTATTGCGGCACTATTCACAATAGCAAAGACTTGGAACCAACCCAAATGTCCAACAATGATAGACTGGATTAAGAAAATGTGGCACATATATACCATGGAATACTATGCAGCCATAAAAAATGATGAGTTCATGTCCTTTGTAGGGACCGGGATGAAGCTGGAAACCATCATTCTCAGCAAACTATTGCAAGGACAAAAAACCAAACACCGTATGTTCTCACTCATAGGTGGGAATTGAACAATGAGAACACATGGACACAGAAAGGGGAACATCACACATCAGGGCCTGTTGTGGGGTGGGGGGAGGGATAGCATTAGGAGATATACCTAATGTTAAATGACGAGTTAATGGGTGCAGCCACCAACATGGCACATGTATACATATGTAACAAACCTGCATGTTGTACACATGTACCCTAAAACTTAAAGTATAATAAAAAAAATTTAAAAAGACAAAGAAGGTCATTATATAATGGTAAAGGGATCAGTTGCATAAGAGGATATAACAATTGCAAATATATATGCACCCAACATTGGAGCACCCAGATATATAAGGCAAATATAATTAGAGCTAAAGAGAGAGACAGACCCCAATACAATAATAGTTAGGGACTTCAACACCCCACTTTCAGCATTAGACAGATCACCTGGACATAAAATCAACAAAGAAATATCAAACTTAAATTCCACAATAGACCAAATGGACCTAATAGACATTTACAGAACATTTTATACATCAGCTGAAGAACAGACATTCTTCTCATGAGCACATGAAACATTTTCTAGAATACACCATATATTTGGCCACAAAACAAATCTCAACAAATAAAGAAGCAAAATCATATCAAATATTGTCTCAGACCAAAATGGTATTAAACTAGAAATCAATAACAAGAGAAACTCTGGATACTGTGCAGATAAAGGAAGCTAAATAATGTGCTCCTGAATGATTATGGGTCAATGAAAATATTAAGAAAGTCAAAAGATTATTTGAAACAAGTTAAAATGGAAGCACAACACTTCAAAACCTATGGGATACAGGAAAAGCAATACCAAGAGGGAAGTTTATAGCAATAAACACCTAATCAAAAAAGAAAGACGACTAAATAAATGACTTAATAATCTACCTCAAGGAACTAGAAAAGCAAAAACAGACCAAACTCAAAATTAGTAGAGGGGAAAAACATAATAAAAATTCAGAGAAGAACAAAGTGAAATAGAGACTAAAACAATAATCAAAAAGATCAATGAAATGAAAAGTTGGTTTTTGAAAAGATAAACAAATTTGACGAGCTATTAGAGGAACCAAGGAAAAAAGAGAGAAGACCAAATGAAACCAGAAACAAAAAAGAAGACATTACAACTGATAACACAGAAATTAAAAGGGTCATTAGAGACTTTTATGAACTATGTGCCAACAAATGCCCACCTAGAGGAAATAGATGAATTTTTGGACACCTATAACCTACCAAGATTGAACCAGGAAGAAATAGAAAACCTGAACAGGCCAATCATCAGTAACACTGAATAAGCACTTAAAAAAAAATCTCCCAAAAAAGAAAAGCCCAGGACTAGATGGCGTTACTACTGAATTCTACTAACATTTTAAAGAACAAGAATTATTTTCAAACTCCTCAAAAAAGTTGAGGAGAAGCAAATTCTTCCTAACGCATTCTATGAGGCCATTACCTTGTCACCAAAACCAAACAAGTACACAACAAACAAACAAAAACTGCAGGTCAGTTTCACTAATGAAAAATTAACATCACTGATGCAAAAATCCTCAACAAAATACTAGCAAACTAAATCTAACAACACATCAAAAAGATAATATATCATGACCAAGTGGAATTTATTTCAGGAATACAAGGATGGTTCAACATACAAAAATCAGTAAGTGTGATACATCTCAACAGAACGACGGACAAAAACCACAAGATCATGTCAGTAGATGCAGAAAAAGCATTTGATAAAATGTAATATTTCTTCATGATAAAAAATCTCAACAAATTAGATATAGAAGGAACACACTTCAACACAATAAAGACCATATATGAGAAACCCACTGGTAATATCATACTGAATGGGGGATGGCCACTTTCATCACTGTTATTAGATGTCATAGACAGAGCAATTAGGCAAGAGAGGAAATAAAAGGTTTCCAAATTGGAAAAAAGAGACTCAAATTATCCCTCTTTGCAGATGATATAATAGTATATATAGAAAAACCTAAAGACTTCACCAAAGAACTCTGAGCTGATAAATAAATTCAGTAATGTTGCAGGATACAAAATCGCCATACAAAAATCAGTAGAATTTTTATACACCAAAAACAAATTGGCTGAAAAAGAAATCAAGAAAACAATCCCATTTGCAATTTCTAAAAAAACTCCATAGGTGTAAATTTAACCAAGAAGGTGAAAGATCTCTACAATGAAAATTAAAAACAGATTAAAGAAATTGAACAGAACAGACAAAAATGGAATGACATTCCATGCTCATGCATTGGAAGAATTAATATTGTTAAAATGACCAGACTGCCCAAAGCAATCTACAGATTTAATGCAATCCCTATCAAAATACCAATGGCATTCTTTACATAAATAGAAAAAACAATCCTAAAGTTCCTGTGGAACTACAAAAGACACTGAATAGCCAAAGCAATTCTTAGCAAAAATAAAAAAGCTGGAAGCATCACAATACTTGACTTCAAAATATATTACAGACCTATAGTAATCATAACAGCATGGTATTGGTATAAAAAGACACATGGGGCCGGGCACGGTGGCTCACGCCTGTAATCCCAGCACTTTGGGAGGCCCAGGCGGCGGATCATGAGGTCAGGAGACCAAGACCATCCTGGCTAACATGGTGAAACCCCGTCTCTACTAAACACACAAAAAATTAGCCAGGCGTAGTAGCGGGCGCCTGTAGTCCCAGCTACTCGGGAGGCTGAGGCAGGAGAATGGCGTGAACCTGGGAGGCGGAGCTTGCAGTGAGCCGAGATTGCGCCACTGCACTCCAGCCTGGGCGACAGAGCCAGACTCCGTCTCAAAAAAAAAAAAAAAAAAAAAAAAAAAGATACATAGACCAGTGGGACAGAATAAAGAGCCTAGAGATGAATCCACATATTTATACCTGATTCTCAATAAAGGCACCAAGAACATACATTGGGAAAGGACATCTTCTTCAATAAATGGTGCTGGGAAAACTGGATATCTACATGCAGAAGAATGAAACTTCATCCTTATGTCTCACCATCTTCAAAAATTAACTCAAAAAATTAAAGGCTTAAATGTAAGACCCAAAACTATAAAACCACTAGAAGAAATCATAAAGGAAACACTTCAGGATATAGGTCTAGGCAAAGATTTTACAGCTAAGACCGCAAAAGCATGGACAACTGAAACAAAAATAGACAAATGGGACTATATCAAACTGAAAAGTTTCCATACAGCAAAGGAAACAAACAAGAGGGAAGAGACAACCTGGAGAACGGGAGAAAATATTTGCAAACTACTCCTCTGAAAAGGCATTGATATCCAGAATATACAAGGAACTCAAACAACTCAACAGCCAAAAGCCCAAATAATCTGATTTTAAAATGGGCAAATGATCTGAATAAACATTTCTCACAAGAAAACCAAATTGCCAACAAACATATGAAAAAAATGCTCAACATCACTAATATCAGGGAAATGTGAATTAAAAACACACGGAGCTATCATCTCACTCCGGTAAGAATGGCTATCATCAAAAAGACAAACAAAAACAAACAAACACTGGTGAAGATGTGAAGAAAAGGGAACTCTTATACCCTGTTAGTGGGAATGTAAACTAACATAGCCATTATGGAGAATAGTGTGGAGGTTCCTCAAAAAACTAAAAGTGGAACTACCATAACATCCAGCAATAATATCCAGTATTTACCCAAAGGAAAGGAAACTAGTATGTCAAGGAGATACCTACACCTCCATGTTCATTGCAACATTATTCACAACAGCCAAAAAATGGAATCATCCAAAGTGTCTATCGACATATGAATGGATAAAGAAAATGTGGTATATGTACACAGTGGAATGCTAGTCAGCCATAAAAAAAATGAAATCCTGTCATTTGCAGCCACATGGATGATCCCAGAGGACATTATGTTAATGGAAATAAGTTGGGCACAGAAAGATAAACATCACATGTTCTCACTCTTATCTGGGAGTTGAAAAAATTGAGCTTATAAAAGGTAGAGAGTAGAACTGTGGTTATTAAGTGCTGAGTAGAGTAGTAGAGAGAGGAAGATAGGGAGAGGTTGGTTATGCATACAAAATTATAGCTCTATGGGAGGAATAAGTTATAGTATTTTGTAGCATTGTAGAGTGAATATAATTAATAATAATTTAGTGTATATTTTCAAAAAGCTAGAAGAGAAAATTCTGAATGTTTACAACATAAATAATACATGTTTGAGATGATGGATATGCTAATTACTCTGATTTTATCCTTACATAGTGTATACATGTGTTGAAGTATTCTGTATCCCATAAATATGTACAATTATTACACATAACTAGAAATGAAAGAAAAAATAAAAATAAAAGAAAAACGAACATTTGTGATTCATGAAAGGAGGTAAAAATAACAACGTTAATAGGAGTTTGGAAGAAGTTGATGGCAACCCTCATGGATGACTTTGAAGGGTTCAAGACTTCAGTGGGGAAAGTAACTGCAGATGTGAAAATCAGCAAGAGAACGAGAATTAGAAGTGGAGCCTGAAGATGTTACTGAATTGCTGCAATCTCATGCTAAAAGTTGAACAGATGAAGAGTTGCTTCTTATGGATCAGCAAAGAGAGCGGTTTCTTGAAATGGAATCTACTCCTTGTGAAGATGCTGTGAACATTGTCAAAATGACAACAAAGGATTTAGAACAGACATAAGTTTAGTTGATAAATTAGCAGCAGGGTTTACGAGAATTGACTCCAATTTTGAAAGAAGTTCTACTCTGGGTAAAATGCTATCAAACAGCATCCTATGCTACAGAGAAATTTTTTTTGTGTGAAAGGAAGAGTCAATGGGTGCAGCATACTTCATTGTTGTCTTATTTTGAGAAATTGCTGCAGCCAACCCAACCTGCAGCAACCACCACCTTGGTCAGTTAGCAGCCATCATTAAGGCAAAACCCTCCTCCAGTAAAAATATTACAACTTGCTGAAGGCCCAGAAGACCACTAGCATTTTTGGCAATAAAGTATTTTTATTTATCTATTTTTATTTTTATTGCGAGACAGGGTCTTGCTATGTTGCCCAAGCTAGACAGGAACTCCTGGTCTCAAGGGATCCTCCTGCTTTAGTCTACTAAGTAGCTGGAACCACAGGCATATGCCACCACACCTGGCTTTAGCAATTAAGTATTTTTATTTTTTAATTTTTAAAAATTCTTTATTTCCATAGGTTATTACTGAACAGGTGATGTTTTGTTGCATGAGTAAGTTCTTTAATGGCGATTTGAGAGATTTTGGTGTACCCATCACCCAAGCAGTATACACTGAACCCAATTTTTAGTCTTTTTTTTTTTTTAGATGGAGTTTCGCTCTTGTTGCCCAGGCTGGAGTGCAATGGCGCAATCTCGTATCGGCGCGATCTTGTCTCATCGCAACCTCCGCCTCCCAGGTTCAAGCAATTCTCCTGCCTCAGCCTCCCGAGTAGCTGGGATTACAGGCATGCACCACCAAGCTCAACTAATTTTGTATTTTTAGTAGAGACGGGGTTTCTCCATGTTGGTCATGCTGGTCTTAAACTCCCGACCTCGGGTGATCTGCCCGCCTTGGCCTCCCAAAGTGCTAGGATTACAGGTGTGAGCCACTGCGCCTGGCCCCCAGTTTGTAATCTTTTAGCCCTCACCCACTTCCCACCCTTTCCCCCTGAGTCCCCAAAGTCCACTGTGTCATTCTTATGCCTTTACATCATCATAGCTTAGCTCCCACTTATGAGTGAGAACATACGTTTGGTTTTCCATTCCTGAGTTACTTCACTAAGAATAATAATCTCCAATCTCTTCCAGGTTGCTGCGAATGCCACTAATTCATTCCTTTTTATGGCTGAGTAGTATTCCATCATATATATATATGTGTGTATATACATATATGTATCATATATATGTATTTGAAATCAGGTGATGTGTATATATATACATATATATATCACAGTTTCTTTATCCACTCGTTGATTGATGGGCATTTGGGTTGGTTCCACATTATTTCAATTGTGAATTGTGCTGCTATAAACATGTGTGTGCAAGTATCTTTTTCATATGACTTCTTTTCCTCTGGGTAGAAACCCAGTAGTGGGATTGCTGGATCAAATGGTAGTTCTGTTAGTTCTTTAAGGAATCTCCACACTGTTTTCCATAGTGATTGTACTAGTTTACATTCCCATCAGCAGTGTAGAAGTGTTCCCTGTTCACTGCATCCATGCCAACATCTATTATTTTTTGATTTTTAAATTATGGCCATTCTTGCAGGAGCAAGGTAGTATTGCATTGTGGTTTTGATTTGCACTTCCCTGATGATTAGTGATGTGGAGCAATTTTTCATATGTTTGTTGGCCGTTTGTATATCTTCTTTTGAGAATTTTCTATTCATGTCCTTAGCCATGACCACTTTTTGTTGGAATTTTTTTTTCTCCTTGTTAATTTGTTTGAGTTGTAGATTCTGGATATTAGTCCTTTATCAGATGTATATATTGTGAAGATTTTCTCCCATTCTGTGGGTTGTCTGTTTACTCTGCTGACTGTTCCTTTTGCTGTGCAAAAGCTCTTTAGTTTAATTAAGTTCCAGCTATTTATCTGTTTTTATTGCGTTTGTTTTTGGGTTCTTGGTCATGAAATCCTTGCCTAAGCCAATGTCTAGAAGGGTTTTTCCAATGTTATCTTCTAGAATTTTTATAATTTCAGGTCTTAGATTTAAGTCTTTGATCTATCTTGAGTTGATTTTTATATAAGGTGAGAGATGAGGACCAGTTTCATTCTCCTACATGTGGCTAGCCAATTATCCCAGCACCATTTGTTGAAAAGGGTGTCCTTTCCCCACTTTATGTTTTTGTCTGCTCTGTCGAAGATCAGTTGGCTGTAAGTATTTGGGTTTATTTCTGGGTTTTCTATTCTGTTCCATTGTTCTATGTGCCTATTTTTATACCAGTACCATGCTGTTTTGGTAACTATGACCTTATAATCTAGTTTGAAATCAGGTAATGTGATGCCTCCAGATTTGTTCTTTTTGCTTAGTCTTGCTTTGGCTATGAGGGTTCTTTTTATGTTCCATATGAATTTTAGGATTGTTTTTTCCAGTTCTGTGAAGAATGATATTGGTATTTTGATGGGAATTGCATTGAATTTGTAGACTCTTTTTGGCAATATAGTCATTTTCACAATATTGATTCTACCCATCCATGAGCATGGGATGTGTTTCCATTTGCTCGCGTCATCTATGATTTCTTTCAGCAGTGTTTCGTTGTTTTCCTTGTAGAGGTCTTTTACTTCCTTGGTTAGGTATATTCCTAAGTATTTTTTTTTTTTGTAGCTATTGTAAAAGGGGTTGAGTTCTTGATTTGATTCTCAGCTTGGTTCCTGTTGGTGTATAAGAGAGCTACTGATTTGTGTACATTAGCAATTAAGTATTTTTAAATTAAGGTAGGTACATTGCTTTTTAGACGTAATGCTATTGCACACTTAATAGACTACAGGATAGTGTCAACATAGCTTTTATATGTACCTGGAAACAAAAAAAATTTATATGACTTGCTGATTTCACTTTATTGTGGTGGTCTAGAACCAAAACTGCAATATCTCCAAGGTAGGCCTGTACTGGAAAAGGAGTCGGGTGACCTTGAAGATGAGCCTCAACTCTATTTGTTCCATCTGTAAAATGTAGGGGAAGGCCCAACCTATCTTCTGATTCTAATATGTTACAAACATTTTAGACAATTGCTGCTTTCCGATCATCATCTACTTAACAGAGAAGCCGAGGGAACAGGAAAAAGGGCTAAAGTCACTGCTACTTGGAGATCAAGGAAAACAAATTAAATATAACATCACTAATGTGGGTACACAATTGGTAGTTAACCAACAGGTAGCAGAGACATAGTAAGGAAAGATAATTCTCATAGAAAAAATTCCAATGCTGATAATTTTCTGGAAAAACATTTATTGTTTCTTCTCCTCCTCCTCTTCCTCCTCCTCCTCCTCCTTTTTCTTCTTTTTTTCTAGCAATAGTTTCCAATCTGCTTTGGCTATAGCAGCCTATAACACCTTAGTATTTTCTTGATTTTCCTTTTTTTTTTTGAGACAGGGTCACACTCTGTTGCCCAGGCTGGAGTGCAGTAGTGTGATCACAGCTCACTGCAGCCTCAACCACCTGGGTCACAGTCTCCTGAGTAGCTGGGACTACAGAACCATGGTGCCATGCCAGGCTAATTTTTGTATTTGATGTAGAGACAGAGTTTCACCATCTTGCCGAGGCTGGTCTCAAACTCCTGGCCTCAAGGGATCTGCCTGCCTCAGTCTCCCAAAGTGCTGGGACTACCGGTGTGAGCCACCGTGCCCAGCCAATATTTGCTTGATTTTTAAACTCTTTTGGCACATGAATATATATGACTTATGCAATTTAACGAATTAAAGAAAATTTTCTTTGTAATCCATACAATTCTATTGCCACTCCTAAGGATTTCCTCCTCCCTCCAAACCAAAACCAGACGTAGGGCTGGTATGTAATAAAACCCTGGTTTCAAGCACTTTTGACCAAGTACTGCCATCTAGTGGCAGTGAGTGTAACCAGCTCGGGTTTTTTGCTGGAACAAGGAACCAGAAAGTTTAATCTCAGGGTGCCAGTACCATGTAGGAAAGAAGGCTGTCAAACACCGCATCAGCCAACTTTCTGCCTGGTGCAGGTGGGTAAACAGAAACTCTCTTCAGTTCCACCTATGACTGCAAACAAAGTCACCGAGGCTAGTTCAGAGGTCACCTCCTCCGAGAAGGCTTCATTGAGTCTCTCACAGGCCCCTCTACTCTCTGTGATGTGCCAGGGCCTGTGCTTGCTTCCCTTAGAGCACTTCTCAGCTGGGCTATGTATGTCCCTCTGTCTGTCCCTCTCCTGCTCTCCAGACTATGGGCTTCTGGAGGGCAGAGGTCTTGTTTCACGCTTTCTTTTATATGCCTAGCGCCTGGCATATAAATAATATATACAAAATTACACATTATACATATATATATATATATAATTATACAATTTATGGAATAAAAATGAGTGAATGACAGAGTAAATGTCCATTACTTTAATAATGTCAGTTCCAAAAGAATGCGACATCTGCTTCTCTTAAATCATTTTGTAGACGTGGCAGATGCTGCAAAGCTTTGCCTAGAGGCTCCTGCAGGAAGAGAGAGCTTCTTCCCCAGCTGCTGGGAACTGCTGGCAGAAGGTCCTCAGCTGTAACCTTCGTTGCAAATTGTGTCAGCTGAAGAAACAGCTCGCCTAAGGCCAGCGCTCCTCCTGGGGCGGCCGTATCCAATACCTGACTAGTGTGGGAGTATGAGGGCCCACAGTTAGAGATTCACCTCTGATTCCTGAAGATGCTGTGATGTTCCTAAGGTCTGCCCTCAGGGGCTTAATGTGTCTTCCTTGTGTTTCCTTCCCCAGGCCCTGAGTAATTCACCCCATCTCTGCACCTGCAGAAACACGCCCCTCCCACGGCCCAGGACACACTTCTAGTGTCCCTGCTCCTTCTGCACTCAGGCAAGCTCAGCTGAGTACTGTGGTTTAATTGGCAATGTTGTCTGTGTTTTCAACTGTTCCTTTTGCCTCTGTATCCCTTTGTGTCTTGGATTGTTTCCTGGGTCTCCAGTGCCTTCCTTCCTTTCCCCTTCCTTTGACAAATAAATACCAAACTTTGTCTCGCGGAGTCTCACATTGTGAGAGATATAGAGTCCACAAGTTCTGAGTCTCCCCAACAGTGTTCGAATAAACGCTGCCCATCTTCACTTCTCAGACAGTAATTGTACCAAGGAGAGAGCTTCTAGACCAGAACCCAGCGAATTTTTTCTGTAAAGGGCCAGACAGTAAACACTTTAGACTTTGCGGCCTACACGGTCTATGTTGCCACTATACAATACTGTACTGTTGGAGTACAAAAGCAGCCATAGGCGATACTCAAATGGTTCCAGTATAACTTTATTTACAAATCAGGCAGTGGGCAGGATTTGGCCCATGGATCATAGTTTGCTGATGCTGTTCTAGGCAGTCAACATCTACTTCCAGCCTGGGCTTGATCTATGGCTGTCTTGCCTGACTCACGTGTTGTCTTCCAATGAGTCTCGGCCTCTTGTAGTCTCAGGCTTGTTCTTCATGACCCAGAACTATGTCATCCAGATGTCCTGTATAGTACCTGTGTCGACTTGAAGTTCACCTAAAGTTTTCCAGTCACCTGAAGTAATAAATTCTATGCTGACCTTGCCCTATTTTATGGTGAAAGGAAACCAGTGACTTTCTCCAGTGTCTGGTAGTGATAAGCCTATGCAGAAGAATTAAGCCCGAGGATTGTTTTAGACAAAGTGCTAAACAAAGAGGGTTGTTTTAGACAAAGTGCTTAGGGAAATCCTTTCTAAACAGGAGAACTTTGAGCAGAAACCTGGCTGCATTAAGAGAGAAGATCTCTAGGGGAAGCCCGATCCAGGCAGAAGGGCAAGTGAATGCAAAGATGTGAGGTGGCGATGTGTTTGTCACGTGGAGGAATAGTCAGGTGCCATGTGGCTTGAGCAGAGCGAGCAAAGGGTAGAGTGTAGGGGATTAAGTTAGACTTTAATCCTACACTTCTAACTGCCTGTGAAAATCAGCTTTCCAAAAACACATGTGCTGTAGCTCTGGTTATTTCCTGAAATATCAATCCCGGCCCGTTGTTATGAACAATGCCAAATTCTGTATTAAGAACTCATGACTTGCCTGGGCACAGTGGCTCACACCTGTAATCCCAGCACTTTGGGAGGCTGAGATGGGCAGATCACGAGGTCAGGAGATTGAGACCATCCTGGCCAACACGGTGAAAACCTGTCTCAACTAAAAATACAAAAAAATTAGCCAGGCGTCGTGGTGGGCGCCTGTAGTCCCAGCTACTCAGGAGGCTGAGGCAGGAGAATGGCGTGAACCCGGGAGGCGGAGCTTGCAGTGAGCCAAGATTGTGCCACTGCACTCCAGCCTGGGCAACAGAGTGAGACCAAAGAACTCATGACTTCACTAGCACATTCATGAGCTTCTGTGTTGGAAATTTTTAGGTATCTGAACAAAGGCTGTTTGCAAACACTGTACTGCAAACATCGTACTGCAAACATCATATTGACATCACTCTTCCTCATCATCCGTAAGAAAGTACCTGTATAAAGGGCTCCTTCTCTACCATGCCCGCAATCCATTAGCTATTTCTTTAGCCACCTTTATTCAAGGCAGCTTGTTAGCTCATTACTCTTCATTATGACAAACAAATGCATAAGTTCTCTAAATACATCCACAGACCACTGGATCAGAATCACCTGGGGCACTTGTTAAAAATAAAGACTCTGGGGTCCCTCTCACTGATCATGTAAATCAGAATCTCAAGGTTGAGCTCACGAATCAGCATTTTAAATAAGCTTCCTAGGTACTTGCTACACAAAGTGTGATCCTCAGACCAGCAGCATGAGTCCCTGGGAACTTTTAGAAATGCAGAATCTGGCCAGGTGCGGTGGCTCATTCCTGTAATCCCAGCACTTTGGGAGGCCAAGGCGGTGGATCACCTGAGATCGGGAGTTCAACACCAGCCTGGCCAACATGGTGAAACCCCATCTCTACTAAAAATATAAAAACTAGCCAGGCGTGGTGATGGGCGCCTGTAATCCCAGCTGCTCGGGAGGCGGAGGCAGGAGAATTGCTTGAACACAGGAGATGGAGGTTGCAGTGAGCCAACATGGTGCCACTGCATTCCATCCTCGGCAACAGAGTGAGACTCCATCTCAAAAAAAAGGAAAAAGAAAAGAAAAAAAGAAATGCAGAATCTCAGGCTCTATGCCAGGTCTAGTGAATCAGAATCCACATGTAACAAAATTCTCAGGTGTTGCCTTTGCCTATTAAAGTTTGAGAAAAACAGGCCTAGATGTTTCTTCTTACATCCTGGAGTGTGAGAACCACTGATTTAATGCTATTAAAGGGAGACAGCAGACTTTTTCAGAATAGGGTCTACACTGAGATTTGGGTCCCAGGAAATGGTTGCTTGGCTTGCCCAGTAGAAAAGGAACTTATGCAGTCTGCAGGTTCCCTTTCTGCATGTGAGACCGCTTCAATCTACAAAGATTTTCTAGTTTTCAATGTATCCAACTGCAGAAGTGTGCCCCCTTTCTGAAGCTTGCAATGTCCTTGCTGACAATTGTTTTCCAGGAGTGTTTATCATGGCCACCGGTTGCGGAATTTCATGTTGGTATCAAATCCACTTTTGCAGGCTGGCTCTGTGCTATTAGTGATATTCAGGTGGCTGGAAGTTTATGCAAGTCAATGTTGTTTTGTACGTGTTTTATTCATTCATTCAACAAGCATGCACTGAGTGTTGCTAGTTACTGTTCTAGGTGCTGAGGAGAGTGTTGAATACAAAAAATAAGTTCCCACTCTCACAGAGCTTCCATTAGAATAGAAAGGGGGAAAAAACTAACAAGCACATGAATCTGATAGCAATAGTGGTATGAGGGCAATAAATCGGCAGCACGATAGAGTGACTATGGGCAGATGGGCTCTTCGGGTGCTCTAAGGCCACTCTGAAGTTTTAAAACTATTATCTCACTCCTAGAAAAGAGAGGTGGCCATCACACCTATCAAAACCAACACTTATTAAGAGTTCAAGTATGTGGCCCAAGGGCTGTAGGCACAGTGGTGAACGGGGCAGGCTTCTGATCTCAAGCAGTTGATGTTCCAGCAGGAGTTGGGCTGGAGGTGGGCAATAAACAAAACAAAATATAAGGAAGGCAACTTCAGGCTGCAGTAAGTGGAATAAGGAAAGAAAGAATGGCGATATCATAGAGAGAAACAGGGAAGGGAGAATGATCAGGAAATGTTCATTGAGAAGGTGATGTTAATGCCGATGCCTCAGTCGTGAGAAAGAGCCCGTCATGGAAGACCCTAGGGAACAGCATTTAATTACAAGGAACAGCAGTGCCCAAAGATGTGAAAAAGCTTGGCTTGTGTTAGAAAGGAAGAAAGCTAAATACTACTCGAGCATCACAGTGGGTGACGGTTGGAGAGTTTCAAGGTGAGACTAGAGAAATCACTCAGGGACACACGGGCTCAGAGATGAATGGTGGAATGGCGATGCGAATTGTGGAGGCTTTAATCACTGGTGTGCTGGGACCAGTTCTGCTGCTGGGAGAATGGACTGTGAGGTGGAAGGGCAGAGATAGTAGGGTGTAGTAGTGGGTAGGAGGTGGAGGTGGTGGTGGTGGGAAGTGGACCATACATTCTGGGGGTAGAACCCATGGGGCCTGCTGACTGATTGAATATGGGTGATACGGGAAAGGGAAAAATCAAGAAGGCCTGCTTGGGGGCCTCAGCAGCTGAGCCAATGGCAGTGCTGCTTACAGAGTGGGGAAAGGGTAGCAGGGAGAATGCAGAGTTCTGTGTAGGGCATGTTGCATTGAAGATGACACGGGCACTTCATTTCATACTCTAGTTTTGTAACAATTGTTTATGCCCCTTACACTTTTTTCTTTTTTGCTTCGCTTCTGTCCTGTCAGTTTCTGATAGAAGAGACGTAGCAGTTAGGATATTGTTTGGCTCCTTGCAAGAGAAAATAAGGTTTAGACAAGCAAGTACAAGGCTTGTTGAGTTGCTCAAGGAAGCCACCAAGGTCCCAGGCCCCTTCTATCTTTCTGCTCTCTTATCATTAATTTGTGGCTTTCTTCTTCATGATACAAGGTGGCAGGTAGCTGTGCCTCCGGACATTGGAAGAAAATTCTCCATGAATATTTCATAGTTTTTCATGGGTCAGGCTTTCTGAACAGAGGAAGTGTTTGGATTGCCATGGCCTTAGAAACCGAAGACAGTATCTCCCTAAAGGTATAGAACTCCTAAGAGATCTGGAGAGTTAAATTCCTCTCTTTTTCCATCTTGGAGACATTTCTTACAATCCAGGATGATCAACCAAGTGATGCCTTCCTCTTCTCCCTTGAAGGGTATTTCTTTAATGAGTAATCTCTCCCTAGAGGGAAGGATGAGCAGATGTACCAGTGGCCTCTGAAACTCCTAATTTGGGGATGTAAACTCTGCTTTTACTTAATTCTATTCAATAGGGATAAATGGGTAGACATGTCTTTCCTATCTGCTTGAACAGAAGTATCTTTGAATTTAACACAAATGCTTTCAGGCATACAGAGCAATGCTTAGCATGGGCCAAGGGAAGGAAAAAGGCATGACTGGAAAACCAGCACCCAGTCCTTATTACAAACATCTCTTATAAACACACACTGCTCAGATGGTGAAAGAACAGCCCCAGAAGTAAAAATAACTACAGAACTGTTTGTCCCCTTCTCAGATGTATTCTGCTGGTTTCTCAAAAGCTATTGAGTAAAACTAGATATCAGAATACTAAAAGGCATCTCTCATCTGTATTAACTCTGCAGAATTCACTGCTATTTAATAAATTCAGCAATGGAAGAATGTATTTGGAACAGTAGGAAAGAGTACATAATATTAATACATATGAGAAGCTCCCAGCAACAGAGGATGCTTTGTTCTCTGAATTTTAGAAATGATTTCTAAAGTTGTTTACTAACGAATTAAATCATGCCTGAATCAGGCTTTCTCTGGTGGTTTTATTCTCCCAGTGGCAGCAGCATGCTCCTTCCCAGGACTCAGTCTACCCTGCAGGCCTTAAAAGCCTTCCTCTCTGGGCAGCTGTTTTGGATAATGCAACCCGACTCCTAGCCAATCAGTTTTTATATTTTTTGTAGATTTCAAATACAATATAATTCACATAGCATAAAATCCACCTCTTTAAAGTGTACAATCCCATGATTTTTAGTAAATTCATACAAATTTGTACATCCATTCTCACTAATTCCAGAAATTTTAATCACCCCTAAAAGAAACTATGGAATCATTAGCAGTCATTCCCTATTTTTCTCTTGCCCAGCCCCTGGCAACCACTAATCTATTTTCAGCCTTTATAGATTTAAGTAAATCTATATGCCCAGAACAAGTTTCTGGGTATTACTTATAAATAGAACCACACAATATGCAGCCTTTTGTGTCAGGCTTGTTTCACCTGCATAATATTTTCACGGTTCATCCATGTCAGTATGTATTCATTCATACTGTTCATCAGTATTTCATTCCTTTTATGGCTGAATAATTTTCCACGGTTTGGATAGATCACATCTGTTTATCCATTTTTCAGTTCATGAACATTTGGGTTGTTTCCACATTTTGGCTATTATGAATAGTGCTGCTACAAACATTCTTACGCTGTATTTTGCATGAACCTATGTTTTCCATTCTCTTGGGTATATACTTAAGAGTGGAATTGCTGGGTCACATTTTGAGGAACTGCCAAATTGTTTTTCCAAAGTGGCTGCAGCAGTTTACATCCTCACCAGTAACGTATGAGGGTTCCAATTTCTCCACATCCTTGACATTTGTTATCTTTTTTGATTCAAGCCATCCTAGTGCGTGACAAGCGGTATCTCACTGTGGTTTTGATTTGCATTTACCTAATGATGAATGATGTTAAACATCTTTTGATGTGCCTATTGGCCATTTGTCTATCTTCTTCAGAGAAATGTCCATTTATGTTCTTTGCCCATTTAAGACTTAGATATTTTTATTATTGAGTTGTAAGAGCTTTCTATATATTCTGGATACTAGATTCTTATCAGGTATATGATTTGCAACTATTTTCTCCCACTTTGTAGGTTGTCTTTTCACTTTCTTAATAGTCCTTTGATGCACAAAAGTTTTAATATCGATGAAGTTCAATTTATCTGTTTTCTCTTTTGTTGCATGTGCTTTTGGTGTCATATTTAGGAAACTGTTGCCTCACCCAAGGTCACGATGATTTAAACCTATGTTTAATTCTAAGAGGTTTATAGTTTTAGTTCTTATACTTAGGTCTTTGATCCATTTTGAGCTAATTTCTGCATATGGTGTGAGGTAGGGGTCCAAACTCACTTATTTGTGTATGGATGTCCAGTTGTCCAGTTATAATTTATTTAAGATTATTCGTTCCCCATTGAATAGTCTTGACATCCTTGTCAAAAATCAATTGATCGTATGGGTATGGATTTATTTCTAGATTCTTAATTCTATCCCATTGATCTGTTTTTCTATCCCTATGCCAGTACCAGGCCATCTTGATTTACATAGATTTGTACTAGGATTTAAAATTAGGAAGTGTAAGTCCTCCAGATTATATTGGCTACTCTGGGTTCCTTGCACCTCTAAATGAATTTTAGGATCATTTCTGCAAAGAAGGCAGTTGGAATTATGCCAGTCAGGTTTTGCTTGACAATTTGGGGCTATTTATTTGGCACTCTTGTTACTGAGTCAGGAACTCAAGAAGTGAGGGTGACTCAGGGTACTTAAACTTAAATATTACCCCATTTCCTCAAACCACCACCACATATATCTGGCAAAATGATGTATCATCAATTTAGGAGTTCAAAAACGCTCAGAGAGAATAGTGTCCTGATTTGGAATGTCATCTTCTCTCTCTTCCGCCCTGCTGTCTTTGCCCAGCTGGGATACCAGAAGCAGCCTGAGTTCTATCCTCTGCCCTGCACAAAGGCTGGAGGACTTTTAGCAGGTTGCTTTCTTCTCCAGAAGTCCAGGCCCTAACCTAATCCTTAGCAAGGGATCTGGTCCCTAACTCCTACATCCAGTGCATGGTGACAAAGGTAAATTCTCCTGTACAGCTTTGGAGAAGCCTCTCTAAAGATAGCTCTACCTGGGTCACACAGAAGAAACAGCACTGCATGGACCCCAGGGCTCTGCTTCAGCATTGGCTGGAAGATCGTTGGCTTCAACGTTATAGACAGCTAAGCACTCTAATCAATAAGGTTGAAAAGAAAAAAACAAGCGGTTGCTAATCCTACAAAAACTAAATGTTGATACCATGTAGAAGTCTCTGAGAACTCCACAACCCTACTGTTGCTTCGCGATTCAGAATTCTTTCTTCCTCATGGGCCAGAAACTTCCTTGCAGAAGTTTCTGTTCTCTGCGGCTGTACTGTTCTTTATGTGCCAGGCAGAGATTCCTAATGAACCCTGTTGTTCCCTGAGCGTTTTGCTTCTCTCTTTTCTGGGGAGTTAAATTACAATTCACAGAAGAGCTTCTGGCCACTCCTCCTGCCCACAGAATCACAAAGGCCTGCAGGCCCGTGTAAGTGTGGCAGAGGGCTTGTGGGAGAGGTCCGTGGAAGGTGCATCTGTCCTTTTGCAGACTCTACTGGTTGAGTCTGTAACACACGCTGTAACACACATGAGTGCTGTAAAACACGCTGCTGAATCTTATTTTTGCCATCGGCCTCAGTTTCCCTGGCCTCTGAGTGATTAAGTACACCTGATAGAAGGGATGAAAACCCTTTGGGGGTCCCTGCCTGGCCTATACCCGTCTCTCTTGGAATGTCCCCTCTGACCCCTGTGTGAACTCTGTGACAAGTCCTCAGCCCCAGCTTGGGACAAGAAGGCCAATCCCATTAGCTGAGCAGTGACCAGTCTCTCCCTCTCTTTCCAGAATCTGAGACCCACCCAGACTAGGGTCAGTCCATGGTAGCTGCATGAACCTGTGTGGCTATGTCAAGTGGGCACCGTGTATGGGCTGAATTTTGGAGAACAGGTAAGTTGAGTAAGCAGAAACCGCAAATGTAGGAGGATGTCAGAGATAGGAGGAAGAAAGAGGGGGGAACAGGCAACATCAGAGGGCCACTGGAGGCCCAGCTGGGACTGCCAGAGTGACCTGGCCTACCCAGGACTAAACCTTTGCCCGAACCTCTCTGGTCTACCTCCTCTAATTTTGCTTCAGTGGGATGGGCCTCAAGAGCTCAATGTGAATCCAGGGGCATTTGGGCATATCTAGAGGGAGTTTTTGTTGTTGCTGTTTTGTTTTTCCTTGAAGTTCTTGCCATTTTTTTCTCTTAAAAGAATGAATGGGGGTGACGGGCTTTTATCCTAGAATAGACCTACGCTTAATAAAAAGTGTTTCTCAAAAAATATGAAGAATTTTCATACCCCCCAAAACCACTGAAAATTTTTTATAAAGAATTTTTGGAGTGGAGCTGATGTCACCTATCTGGTGAGTTCTGAAGTCCTAACATACTAACCGCAGTTTGAGAAGCAAGGCTCTCATGCTCTCCAGCTCTCTGATGCTGCAGACATGAGGCAAGAATCTTAAAGGAACGCAGGGCCTTTCTTCTTCACACCTTGCTGTCCATTTTCTAAACTGAAAAGTGAGGTTCTGTGGGGCTCACAACCCTGCAGCGAAGACTCCGAGGCTGAACGTCAATAAAGCGTTTACTAAAGCGCCTTAAAAAATGGGCCGCGGGGCTGGGCGCGGTGGCTCACGCCTGTAATCCTAACACTTTGGGAGGCCGAGGAGGGCGGATCACGAGGTCAGGAGATCGAGACCATCCTGGCTAACACGATGAAACCCCGTCTCTACTAAAAATACAAAAAATTAGCCGGGCGTGGTGGCGGGCGCCAGTAGTCCCAGCTACTCGGGAGGCCGAGGCAGGAGAATAGCGTGAACCTGAGAGGCGGAACTTGCGGTGAGCCGAGACCGCGCCACTGCACTCCAGCCTGGGCGACAGAGCGAGACTCCGTCTCAAAAAAAAAAAAAAGGGGCCGCGGGAGGGGCACAGGGCTTCCCCCTCGTGATGCTTCCGGGATCGCGCACCGCTGCTCACGCACTCTCCTCTGTCCTGTGTCCTCCGTCCCCCGCCCCCCGCCCCATCCCCAGGTCCTTCCCACTGCGAAGCTGAGAACCCTAGCTCCGGCCCCGACCGGAAGCCCCACCGCACCGTCAGGGACGCGGACTCGGGAGTGCGCACATTCGCAGCCCGGGCAGCCCTGCTGCGCACCGGGCCTCGCGCCCCGCGCCCCGCGCCCCGCGCCCCGCGCCCCGCACCGGTAACGCGCGCCAACCTCGCCGCCCTCCCGGGGTCGTCGCGGGCGAGATTTCTGAGCTCCGGACGCTCTCGCGGCTCCGTTCGGCCCTGATTCCCGCAGGCCCACGTCCGTCGCCCCGCCCGTTTCTGGAACCTTTGGTTCCGGCGCTCGGACTTGAGGAACTTGGGAGGGTGGTGCGGGGGGTTTCTGATGCTTTGCGTTTTCTGCGGGATTTGAGCAGTCCTTTGAGAACCCCGAAACTGAAGTCCGTGGTGTTTTCAGGGGCTGGGAGTGGAATCTCAGGCGCCTGCGAGTCCCTTGAGGATTTAGGCCGCCCTCCTTGGCGGGATGACTGGCACCGGTAGCCTCAGAGAGCCCGGGGTCTGCCTCCACCCCTAGGGGTGCCGTCGGCTCCTGGGGTCCGAGTCTCCGCCCTGTCCCACCCCTTCTCACAAAACCCCTCCACCTCCCTGAGGGGCGCCTGTCTACCCACCTTCTTGTTCCCAGCCTTCGGGCTACTCCTATTTTCCGTATTTATTTATCCTGGTTATTGGTCAGAGTTTTTCTGACCTTCTCTACTCTGGAATAGGGTCCAGAGGAGTGGCAAGGGAAAATTATTAGAATATAAAATCCCAGGGGACACGTAGTCCGGGTCTCCATCCCATGCTTGGAGCCCTCATAGAGCAGCCCAACAACAGCACTTGATTTTCTTCCTCAACTTCACCACCTCCTGTGGTTGCTATTTCCGCCTCTGGCTTACATTGAACCCAACCATGTGTATTTCTCTTTAGCTTTGCTGAATTGGCCTGGGAATGCTGCCCCTGGAAGGCATTGGACAGAACAGGGACAGTCCTGTTGCGTGAGGGGCATGGGTATGTGCTCATCAGGCCAGCTCCTTCCATGACCTGCTCAGAGCCCCGTGCCAGCCCCTCTGTCCTCTGTTCCTGGACAGTTGTTCCATATCCTCCTTCCCAGTGCCCCAGGTGTGATATTCCTTCCACCCAGGGAAGGGCATTTGAAAAATATTTTCTTTCGCTGTACCTTACTGCCTTGCTCGCTCCTGCCCTCACTCCTGCGATGGTTTCTTTGGCAGCTCAGTCGTAGCGTTTAAGTCTGGTCCTATGAAGGCCTTTCTGTTACTCCACGGTCTTGGGCAGTTTGCGTTGGCTCTAACTCTTACCACAGAATTGCAGAAATTCCTCTCTTTATTGAGGGCACCGCTAGCACCTGCCCCCCGACCCTGGTTCTGTTTTGTGAAATACTGCCTGCTTTGCTTATCCACTGCAGTTAACTTTTGGAGTTACCCATATTTCATCTCTTTGACATGGACTCCCATACGGAGTGACCTTGTATCCTAGGTTGCCAGAGAGAGAGTTCTGGCTTATACCATTGTCCCAGCATAATCACTTTCAAAAGATTCATGGTTTGTATGATCAAGTTTGTCTCTGTCTCTAAGTGAGATACACTTAATATTTGTAGTTAAGAGAGTGGCACGTGGCAGCCCACGTGAGACTTGCACGGGGGCCCACAGATGTCAGAGCCACAGACTAGGAAATGAGAATTCCTCCAGGTCAGTGCTCATATGCCTCATGTAGGTAGAGAGCTTTGGGTGGCTTTGCCCTTAGAGGGCAGGGGATCCCCTCCCACCCTGGCACAGAAAGTCCAAGCTAATACTGAGAGCTATGTCTAGTCAAATTCATCCCCATAGTTACTGTGGGGCGTCAAAGCCAGGGCCCCTAAATTCACTGTCATGATCCAGAAGAAGGTGTTCAGAGTTCAAGCCCAGCTCCTTGACATGGCATCTGGCTCCTGGGAAAGTAACTGATGTGGAAGTGTGACCAGTGTTAGGCCTAAGGGGTCCTGGGCTTCCCCAGGAACCAGAGAACTCAGTCCATGCAGGGCCAGTTAGTTTTAAAGACTGCATATCAGCACTTATAACGGTCCTAGGATTAGGCTAAGAGGTAGAACACTGGTTATCCACTAGGATGACCAACCATCTTAGTTTGCCTGGGATTGAGGGGTTTCCTAGGACATGGGACTTGCAGTTTTAAGACCAGAAAACTCCTGGGCGAACTGGGATGAGTTGGTCACCCTCTTCTCAACCCTGGCTGCACGTTAGACTCTCTTGAGGAGCCTCTCATTTAGAGTCTAATTTAATTGATTCAGGTAGTTGTATTTTTTTTAACGCTCTGAGGTTGATTCCAACAAGCTACCACAGTTGAGAACTACTAGGCTGTAGACAGTGTTTCCAATAACCATTGAAGATGTTTGGTTTTTGAGCAGAAGTGGACCGAGACGTCCCTGAAAGGGGTGTATGACTCTGTGCGTTGGTCTTTCGCCTTAGCAAGAGGGATATCAAGCTGGCAGTTGCCTACTATTGCTATTATCTGTCCCCACCGCCAGGCCTTCTTTCTCATTGGTGAGGACCAAGCTTTCTCTTTTCCCGGCATGCTCCGATACCCTCTCCCTGAAGACAGGAGGTCAGTGGAATTGCCTCATTTTGATTGGTGGAATCATGATTTACACAGTTGTAGATGAAGCTGGCATGAGACTTGATACAGGACTGCCATCTCTAGGTCTGGGACATGTGCCCCGGAGACTGGTGGTCTAGAGGCTAACTGTGAGACTGTGTGTGCTTTGGCTTTGCCCGGTGGGGTGTGGGAGCTTGGAGACCAGGTGCTTCTGGGACTGTCCTCTCTGCAGGCCTCCAGGATCATGTGGTATGTCAGCACCAGGGGCGTAGCCCCACGGGTCAACTTTGAGGGGGCCCTCTTCTCTGGCTATGCACCTGACGGGGGCCTCTTTATGCCTGAAGAGCTCCCACAGTTGGACAGAGGGACCCTGTGCCAGTGGAGCACACTCTCCTATCCTGGCCTGGTGAAGGAGCTGTGTGCCCTCTTCATTGGCTCTGAGCTCCTTCCAAAAGATGAATTAAATGGTGAGTGCTCCCACCTGTACTTTCACTCTTCCAGCCCCTGCCAGCTCAGTCTACAGAATTGTAAATCCATCACCAAACCACTAGGAAGTCTCTAGTCACATTTCTTCTCAAACTTTGTTTTATTTCTTTTCCTGACTCTAGAATCCCAGAATTGAAAATATTCTGAAAGATTTCGTCCTGTCTCCAGGGAGATGAATGTTGAAATTTTCTTCAGAGAATTCTTTCTTTCTCTCTCTTTCTTTCTTTTTCTTTAAAAAAAAAAAAACAAAAACCTCTTCAACACTAGGGATTTTAGAATCATCTTGAGTGACTTGAATGTTGGGGTGTTTCCTTCCTTCACATAAAGCACCCAGACCCCCAAATTGCTATTTTATTTTTTGAATGTTAATTCCAGAAAGGACTTCAAGACTGTCCTGGACCAGCTTGTCTTAAGCTCTACTGTGCCTATGGATTCCCTGGGGGATCTTGTTAAAAACCAAATTCTGATTCAGTAGGTCTGGGGTAGGAATGAGAATTCTGCATTTCTGTCAGATGTCCAGATAATACTAGACTACTGGTCCATGAGCCACACTTTAAACAGCAAGAACAAAATCCATAATGTAATGGTGGTGGTTTGGGGTTGGGGAAGAGAAAGGACCACTTAAAATGCAGTCTGATGACCAGCAGTGATGGCATTGCTTGGGCACTTGTTGGAAATCCGAGATTGCCTCAGACTGATTGAACCAGCCTGCATTTTAACAAGATCCCAGGTGCTTGGTTTGCCAGTGACAGTTTGAGAAGCTGTGCTCTAGGACTGCTCCAGTCCTGCCTTAGGGAGGGCTGTATATCAACCATCCAAAGGCTCTGGCGTCACAGGTGTGAGATTTAGTAATGTAAGAAACAAAAAGCTTCCTATCTTTAGGAAGGAACATTAGATGGGATGCGACATTGATGTGTTATGTAGCTATTTAATTGACCCCTGATTGGAATACATGCTCACGAGACAGTCAAACAATGAAGAAGTATAAAAAATGAAAAATAAAGTCTTCTAGTACCAATTCTGGTCACTGAGGAAATCACTATAAGGAATCTATGAACAGTTTGGTGCATGTTTTCCCAGACTTTTTTCTAGGTTTTTACAATTGTATTCAAAAATGGTATCATTTAAGATGAAGATTTTTGGCCTTTTAGTAGCAGGAGTTGGAAACTTTATATTCAGAGACTGAGAGGGAACTTGAGAAAGAGACCAGGCCCCTCATTGGCTATCCACCCCACTACCCTCACAGATCTGATCGACCGAGCCTTCAGCAGATTCCGTCACAGAGAAGTGGTCCATCTGTCCAGGTTGAGGAATGGGCTGAACGTGTTGGAGCTGTGGCATGGCGTCACATATGCATTTAAGGACCTGTCCCTGTCCTGCACAACACAGTTCCTGCAGTACTTCCTGGAGAAGAGGGAGAAGCACGTCACTGTGGTTGTAGGTGTGTTTTTGGGGCACAAACGCAGAATACCTGAGTGCTGTGACTGTAGGGTGTCCACCTATAGGATGCTGTTCATAGAGCCACTCAGGAACTGTGGTACTGGTTCTTCCAGAGCAAGGTTCCTAACATTTTCTGGTGCCATAGACCCCTTTGCCAGGCTGATGGAGGCTATGGAACTTTCTCAGAGTAATGTTTGAAGTGCACAAAATGCTTAAGATGATGTGGTTCACAAGTTCACTTATGTCCTGAATTTTATCCGTGGATCCATGGACCCTAGGTGGAGTGCTAGGTTCATATCATCCAAGTATTTGAAGTAGATGTTGCTATATTTGACAACAGTGCTTTGGGGACCATTTCTTTCCTCGTTCATTCCCTTTGTTCTAAAGGGGGAGAGTTCTCCTTTCTTCCCATCCAGGAACATCTGGGGACACAGGAAGTGCTGCCATTGAGAGTGTTCAAGGGGCAAAGAACATGGACATTATCGTTCTGCTGCCCAAAGGTCACTGCACAAAGATTCAGGAGCTCCAGATGACAACGGTGCTGAAGCAGAACGTACATGTGTTTGGAGGTGTGTGCTGAGGCAGAGGCTCTAGGGACAGTGCAGCCCTGCCTTAATTGGGTTTGCTTTGGGAGATGGACTGGAACAAAATTGCACAGTTGGGTAGCTGACTGTCCTCCTTTCATCATCATATTCGAGGTTGGTGTGTATGCCTTGGCTCAGCTCTGGGCAGGGTTCTGGCTACACAGTAAACTATTGGAGGTGACAGATGCATAAACTGATACCAACAGTACAACATGCTAAGTATGGATTGAAAACCATACCCCAAAAAATGCCACCTCCATGCATGTCCAACCTGCAAGTGTCATGTATGTCAGCAACCATGCAGAGTCATAACCTGAGCCAAGTGATTTGGGTTTTTTTCCAAGACTCTGAAGTTTAGAGGACACCAACATGTTAGATAATTATTTTAAGAGAATGTGTTGCCAGGTGTGGTGACTCATGCCTGTAATCCCAGCACTTTGGGAGGTCAAGGTGGGTGGATCGCTTCAGCCCAGGAGTTTGAGACCAGCCTGGGCAACATGGCGAAACCCTGACTCTATAAAAAATACAAAAATTAGCCGGGCATGGTGATGTGCTTCTGTAGTCCCAGCTACTCCAAAGGCTGAGATGGGAGGATCGCTTAAGCCCAGAAGGCTGCAGTGAACCAAGATCATGCCATCATTGCATTTCAGCCTGGGCAGCAGAGTGAGACCCTGTCTCAAAAAAAAAGGAATGTGTCATTATATGTTGACAGTTCCTGCTGTTCTTTACAGTATGGGAACAACTAAGCCATGCACTGGTTATCTGGTCTAAATATTTAAAATAGGGAACTACTCAGTGGTACCCACCATTGGTTATACTGCTACCTGAGTCACATCATGAGAATCACAGCATTTTGTGCTTGGAGAAAGGCAAAAGCCATCTTTTTTAATATCAGGCCATCTATTCCTAATGGATTTAATCATTATAGGGATTGAGAGTGGAGAAAGATGGGGTGAGTGTGGGTGGAGCTGTACATTTTTATTTTTACCTCTCACACCCCACTGGACCCCAGGTAGCTGCAAGGTGGGGACTTGGATTAAGTTTTGGCCTGGGCGAGCTGTGGCCTTGGGCAGGCTTTCCAGGAGGCCTGGCTTAGTTTGGTCACTCACCTGACAGAACAGCAAGTGTGATGGCAGAGAATGTTCCTTCTACAACTGGCCTGGCTTCCTGTGATAATCCTGTAGAGGTTATTTTTGTATAACATCAGCTTTGACAAGGAGCAAAAGCACAGTGAAAACAAACCTTATCCAAAGGAGCAGCATAAATACCCTCTGTCAGTTTGTTCAAGAGCAAGCGAACTGCCCCTCTGCTCTGTTCTTTAGCAGGTGCATACACTTGCCAGTGAAAAGTCCATGGTTTAGCTAATGCAGGTGTTGGTGTCATCTTACACATTTGCCTTGCTAATTGCTCATATTTGGCTGCATTTTCCTGCAGTTGTTGCAAGACTTTAGTGCACAAGATTCAGGCTCCTGAGGGTCCTTGTTGTACCCTAAGCACCAAAATTGCTAGTTACAGATCTAGGACTGTTTTTTCCTAGAATCAAAGCAGAGAATAGCGTTCTGTGCCTCTGTCCTGCCTCCTACTCCCTTGTCTTTTTTGTACACAGACCTAAGGGTGTGAGTGAAAGCTCCATTCCTGACTTGTGGATTGGAGAACAGTGCCCAGTTGTAAAGTAATGGCAGAAATGTGGAATCTGATGAATGCAATAAATCATTAAATGCTGGACCTGAAGGGGGTGTTTCTGTTGTGTACATGTTCAAGAAAATGAGAAACTAAGACAGCAGACTTCACAGAAATCAGTTTTGTTTATAAACGACACTATTCAGATCCTTTCTTTCCTTTCTAGAGCTTTCTGGTTTGGTTTTAAGGAGGATGTGTGTTAGTTCAGGATATAACAGCAAATATGTATTTTTCTGTAGACTGGTAAGCTTAGGGAGTAGGGATGGACCACTTAGATTATTGTATGTGGACAGCTGGTTTATAAAGTCATTAATTTCCATGTACATTGTATACTTGGTTCTTCTTAAGCACAGAATAATCAGCAAGTGCTAGGTATTTATTGTTATTTGAGATGCTTTTGGCTAGAAGTAGCAAAAAATTCAACTCAGACCAGCTTCAACAAGAATATTTTCCAGCTTCCGTAACTGGAAGGCCAGGGGTGGAGTGGGCTTCCAGTTGTTTGATTCAGTGACTCACAATGCTCTCAGGAACCCAGGTCCTTCCCATTCTCTGCTCTGCCCTCCTCAGTCCTAAGGCTCATTCCTCTTGTGGTCATATGGTGATTGCTTGAGGTAACCAGGTCTCTCCCTTCCTGTTGCTCTTTTTTTTAAAGCAGTGAATCTTTTTTTAGAACCCAGCTAACATGTCCTTGTGGTTCACTGATCGGAATTTATTCACATGCTCATTGTGGAGCCAACCCTGACCCCATGAGAGTACCAGGCACTGATTGGCTTGGTCCTGGCAAAGGAATGGAATCACCATGACTGGCCCCGGCCATTCTGGGTACACACATGGATCTAGAGTCAGTCCCCCAGCTCCATTGCTGCTACACAGTGTTGAAGGGCAGAATGGTTAGCACCCTTAATGCCTTCTCTGGCACGTTTCCCAGTAAATTTCACCCCTCTTCCTTCCAAGTGTAGATCCAATGGAGACATACTCGGGTATCAGATAAGAAATCAATATTGGCTTGGTTGCTCATTGAGCTAGACTGGAGGATATAACTTGTATTAGTGGACAATTCACCATAAATTTATCTGGTAATTCACTCATAAATTACACTGATGTACACACCCAGCTTCAGGGAGGGGAAGTTCTGTCCATGGAAGCTTACCTGCCATGTAGGAGCAGAGAGCAGAACACCTACTCTGTGATCTAAATGAGGGCAGAGGGCAGACCACAGGGGAATGGTGACTGTTTCCACCCTGGCCCCTGATAGAGGACTGTGGAGGAAAGGCTACGTCTCTCACCGTTTTCCAATCAGGCACACAGTTTCTCCTCTGCGGAAGAGTGGGGGAAGTGGGCATGGATTACAAAGAGAAATTCTCCCAGGATCCCAGAAGGTTGCCATTTGCTATCTTATTTTAGATAATGGTAGAAACATTGGAACTGGTTCTGGCTACCCTTTCTGTTCTAAGCTAGGGCAGATATTTAGGAACACAAGAATCTGAGGCATGATTTCTGTCCTTGAGGAGCTTAATACTGAGTCTAGATAGTGAGGCCAAGCTACGTGAAAGTAAAGAAACCTAGGCTGCGCGAAGGTCCCAGGAGGGTGGGCTCAGCCTGGGAGGGCCCTGTCGCAGGTGAGTGCTGACCTCCTGGGGGTTCTACATGCTCCTGACAGCTGCCCTCTTCTCTCCCCCCTGGCAGTGGAGGGAAACAGCGATGAGCTCGATGAGCCGATCAAGACTGTGTTTGCCGATGTGGCTTTTGTCAAGAAGCACAATCTGATGAGCCTGAATTCGATCAACTGGTCCCGGGTCCTGGTGCAGATGGCCCATCACTTCTTTGCTTACTTCCAGTGTACGCCATCCTTGGACACACATCCCCTACCCCTGGTGGAGGTGGTTGTGCCAACAGGGGCTGCCGGTAACCTTGCAGGTAAGGAATCCCCGGGGCACAAATGGGCTTTCCAGAAAAATGCCTGTGGCCCCAGTCCTTCTAGCTGCCCTTTGGCTGCAACTGTGAGGAGAAGGAAGGTGGAGTCCCAGTTCTGAAGGTGATGGGAAACCCCACAGAAGTTCCCAGGAGATTTCCCCCCTCATTGCCTGGGGCAGCATCCTGGGATCCTGCTGCCGGCAGCAGAGGGTGATGGCTTAACCCCACATGCTCCCACAGCCTGACCTGATGTGCTCGCTGGCTCAGCAGAGTGTGGAGAGGCAAGGTCAAGGGTCAGCCGCTATGGCTGGCTGGCAGTGCCCTCAATCAGAAATGTGGACTTTGCTCCCAGCCCTGGCCAGCTACCCAATGTGAGGGCAAGCGGCTTGACTGGCACATTTGTTCCCATTCCTGGACACACCACCCTGACCCCGTGTGAGGTGGAAAGAGTTCTGGACTTGGGGTTCTGGCCCCATTTCTGTCCTTTACTAACTGAGAGGCTGTGGAGCAGTCCTTTAGACTCAACCTTTGAGCTATAAAATGAGATTGTGTCACTCATCCTATCTCCCAGGACTGCCTCGATGAGCGAATCAGATTCCTGTGTGCATGCAAACTTTGTAAGGGCAAAGTGCTGTACAGCTGTGTAGCATTAAAATCATTTTCTCTAATAATCATTAATATTTATCAAGCACTTAGTATGCAACTGGCACAGTTCTAAATGCTTTTCACATATGAACTCATTTATCCACCTGTGGAGAGGACACTTTCCATTTTATAATGAGGGAACAAAGGCACAGAGAAAGGAGTCATGCCCTGGTTACAGAGCTGGGCCAGAAGCGCGACCCAGGTAGTCTGGCTGCAGAGCTGGTGAGGCTAGGGGAATTACTGTTCCTGATAGTTCCGGCAATGGCATTGGTTCTGATGGGCACCAAGGATGGTCTAGCTGAGAGCACGGAAGCATCTTAGTGGTTAGGAAGCTTCCTGACTTCTGCCACTAACAGAAGGGTGGAGAGAACAGCGGGCTGGCAGGCAAAGAGGGATGGGCTTCTTTGCCACTCATGGGATAAAGCCTACCATGCTCCCCATTCCCATCGCCCTCCAATTAGTGATGCACTGAGTCGTGCGGCCAGCCGCCCTCTGCAGCCCAGAGCCTACCACAGTGCTCGATACAAAATAAACACGTGACCAACATTTGCTGAGGGTGTTCCTATCCATCTTTGCTCTGTCAGGAACCAACTCTTTGGCTTTAAGACCCTGGACCTTCCTGAGCCTCCATTTCTCCGCTGTCAGGCAAGGATATCATGATGTTCTCATGAGGATCAGGTGAAATAAGAAAGAGAAAGTTGAGATTAGTAGTTCGAGACCAGCCTGGCCAACATGGTGAAACCCTGTCTCTACTAAAAATACAAAAATTAGCCAGGTGTGGTGGCGCATGCCTGTAATCCCAGTTACTCAGGAGGCAGAGGCAGGAGAATCGTTTGAACCTGGGAGGTGGAGGTTGTGGTGAGCTGAGATTGTGCCATTGCACTCCAGCCTGGGTAACAGAGAGAGACTCAGTCTCAAAAAAAAAATAAAAGTGTTTTGCCAGGTTAACAGTGATGTTGGGTGGTGTGGTTGTCCCTAACTCCCCTTAGCTACTCACCAGAGATAAACTGCTCACGAAAGCACCATATGTAAAACCTTCCTAAACAATGTCACGTGTCCGGGCTGTACACCTCTTAGGGAGAGGAATTCCTTGCTTGTTCCATGCAAACAAGAACTGCTGTTGGGGTGGACTGAGGTTACTGCTCTGGCCTCCCCTGGTGCCTGTGCAGGGAGAGTAGTCTGAAACTGCTGGCTCTAGGAGGCTGAGTCGAGGGAGGGCATGTGCTCCGGACTTAGGCATATTTTGAATCCTGACTCTGACACTTAACAGGCTTTGGACAGGTCATTTAGACCTCTTGGAACATTCATTTCCTCTTCCAAAAATTGGTGTTTTACAGTAGTCAGCCATCTATTAAATACTTTGGCAGCTGGCAGGGGGTTGACACATAAAACAGCCTCAGGGCTGGTGATGCACTCCTAGTCATTCCCACGCTCGCTCTCCTCTCTCCTCTCTCTCCTCTCTCTCTCCTCTCTCTCCTCTCTCTCTCCTCTCTCTCTCCTCTCTCCTCTCTCTCTCCTCTCTCTCTCCTCTCTCTCCCTCTCTCTCCTCTCTCTCCTCTCTCTCTCCTCTCTCCTCTCTCTCTCCTCTCTCTCCCCTCTCTCTCCTCTCTCTCTCCTCTCTCTCCTCTCTCTCTCCTCTCTCTCTCCTCTCTCTCTCCTCTCTCTCCTCTCTCTCTCCTCTCTCCTCTCTCTCTCCTCTCTCTCCCCTCTCTCTCCTCTCTCTCTCCTCTCTCTCCTCTCTCTCTCCTCTCTCTCTCCTCTCTCTCTCCTCTCTCTCCTCTCTCTCTCCTCTCTCCTCTCTCTCTCCTCTCTCTCCCCTCTCTCTCCCCTCTCTCTCTCTCCTCTCTCTCTCCTCTCTCTCTCCTCTCTCTCCCCTCTCTCTCCCCTCTCTCTCCCCTCTCTCTCCTCTCTCTCTTGCTGTGTGTGTGTGTGTGTGTGTCTGTAACAGGTTTATTGCTAAATGATTCACATACCATTCACACATTTTAAGTGTATGATTCAGTGGTTTTTAGTATAATATATTCACAGACTTGTGCAACTATCACCATAACCAATTTTGGAATGTTTACATCACTCTAAAAAGAAACCCTGTACCCATTAGCAGTCACTCTTCACTTTTCTTTAGACCACCTCCTTCGCCAGCCCTTGGTAACCACGAATCTATTTTGTCTCTATATATAGATTTTCTTATTCTAGACATTTTCTATAAAAGGAATCATACAGGATGTGGTCTTTTGTGCCTGACTTCTTTCCCGTAGCGTGATGTTTTCAAGGTTCATCCATGTTGTATCATATATCAGTACTTTTTCGATTGTATGGATATACCATACAGTGGTATATTTTGTTTATCAGTTTATCAGCTGATAGACATTTGGATTGTTTAACACAGCTATTATGAATAATGCTGCAGTGAACATTTGTGTACAAGTTTTCATGTGAACATATATTTTTACTTCTTTTGGGTACATAACTAGGAGTGGCATTTCTGGGTTATATGATAACTCTGTTTAATATTTTAAGGAACTGACAGACTTCAGTTTTCCAAAGTGGCTGCACCATTTTGTCACCACCAGCAATGTGGGAATTTTCCAATTTCTCCACATCCTCACCAACACTTTTTATTATCTGTCTTTTTGATTCCAGCCATCCTAGAGGGTTTGAAGTAATATCTCATGGTTTTTGTTTATATTTCCTTCATGACTAATGATGTTGAACATCTTTTCATGTGCTCATTGGCCATCTGTACGTCTTCTTCGAAGGAATGCCTGTTCTTTTGCCCATTTTTAATTGGGTTATTTGTATTTTTATTATTGAGTTGCAACAGTTCTTTATATATTCTGGATACAAATCCCTTATCAGATATATGAATTGCATTTTTCCCCATTCTGCGAGTTGCCTTTTCATTTTCTTGATAGTGTCCTTTTTAAAGCACAAAAGCTTCAAAAAGCACAAAAGTTTCTTAATTTTGATGAAGCCCAATTTACTTTTTTCTTTTTGCTTTTATTTCTAAAAAGCCATTGTTCTCCTCCTCTCTTGTCTTAAGCTGGGTACATTGCTCAAAAGATAGGCCTGCCCATCCGTCTGGTCGTGGCAGTGAACCGCAATGACATCATCCACAGGACTGTCCAGCAGGGAGACTTCTCTCTCTCTGAGGCTGTTAAATCAACCTTGGCATCAGCTATGGACATTCAGGTAGGCCTGGGGGAGGTGTGCAGATCTGGCCCAGGTGTTGGTTGGGTGGGGCTCGATGGGGCTGAGATCAGTCTGGACCTGAAACTGACTTTCTGCTCAGGTGCCCTACAACATGGAGAGGGTGTTCTGGCTGCTCTCTGGCTCTGACAGCCAGGTGACAAGAGCCCTCATGGAGCAGTTTGAAAGGACCCAAAGTGTGAATCTGCCCAAGGAACTGCACAGCAAGGTCAGTCACTACCCACACACCACAGAGAAAGGAAAGGGTACAGCCACATAGCAGACTTGGGGTTTGGAAGTCTGGTCAAGGGAAGAGGACACCTGTTTCTTGAGTACCTGCTATGAGCCCACCACTTTTACGGCCACTTTACATGGAATAATTTATTGAATGAGGAGAGGTAATAGAGAACATGGTTTAGAGTCAAATGAGCTCAATCCCAAGTGAGCTCTGAGACATTGGGCTAGTTTCCTAAACTCTGTGCCTTGGTTCCTTCGTTTATAAAATGGGGATAATAAGAATGCCTACCTCATAGAGTTGTTGTGAGATTTAAGTCAAATAATATATGTGAAGCACTTTGCATACTTCCTGGTAATATATGGCTTGATACATTAACTTTCTTTTACTTATTATTATTGTTAATTTCCAATAATACTGTCAACTGGAAGCCATTTTGCCCATCCAGTATGAACCGAGACCATTGTTTCCGTTGAGCTCTTCCTTTCTTCCTTTTCCTTCCTCTCTCTTTCCTCCCTCGCTCTCCTTCTTCCCTCTCTCCTTCCTCCTTTCCATCTTTCTTTTTTCTTTCCCTCCCTCCTTCCCTTTCTCTCTCTTATTTTTCTTGGAAAAGGAGAAATTTTATTCCCTTGGAATGATAGGAATCTAATTGGGAAGGATTGTTTTTATTTTAATGCAACCTGGTGATGGTACTTATTCTGTGTTTAAAAAAAAAAAAAGGATTTCTGAAGCTGCCTTTAATTTTCTCTACCACATTCCCACTGAGTGGCCATCCAGACTGTGCATACCTCCAGTGACCAGACTCTCAGTACCTCATACCAGCTCTCACCATTACAAAAGTCTTTACATTGAGCTAGAATCTTCTCCTTCTAGCTTACACAGTCTGATTCTACATCCGAGTGTTTCCAGTATTTAGAGAATCCTCATTTACCAAGTTAGTCTTCCCACTTCCTTTAGTGGTCCCTTGCATGACATAATTTTGCAAGGTCAATATCCACCTTAAAGTGTTGTTTTCAAAGTTGGATGCAGTTCTCTAGGCTGAGCCATACCAATGCAGACTGGAGTGGAATTCCGGCCTTCTGGAATCTGTGCTTCTTTTGATGCACCCAAAGATCAATTTATTTGGTTAATGGTGTGTTTTGACATTCACATTCTTTCTCCTCATATAAATGAGGTGCTCCATGAAGACAGACACCATACCTCCCACTCCTTCATTCTCTCTCTGGCTATACACATAGGAGACACTTCACTTGCTGGAATGGCATTCATGCATTCATGTTATATATCTACTGTGAGCGAGGAACTGTGCTAGGTGCTAGAAACACAAAGACAAGTAAAATACATTCATTGTCTGCTGGGAACCCTAATTCACAGCAGGTAGCTATATGAAAATCTATGATACCAGCCGGGTGAGATGGCTCACGCCTCTAATCCCAGAACTTTGGGAGGCTGAGGCAGGCGGATCATTTGAGGTCAGGAGTTTGAGACCAGCCTGGCCAACATGGTGAAACCCCGTCTCTACTAAAAAAAAAAAAAAATTAGCTGGGCATGGTGGCACATGCCTGTAAATCCTAGCTACTTGGGAGGCTGAGGCAGGAGAATTGCTTGAACCTGGGAGGTGGAGGTTCCAGTGAGCCAAGATCGTGTCACGGTTCTCCAGCCTGAGTGACAGAGAGAGACTCTGTCTCAAAAAAAAGAAAAGAAAAAAAATCTGTGATACTCTATGATCCCTACTGCAGTCAAGTATATGCAGGGTGTTTGGTGTATTGTAAGCATGCAATACATTTTCAGAAGATGATCAAATAAACCAAACACACCGAGGGAGCACAGACAAGGGAATCTTCCTCTGTCTGAAGGAAGTAGGGAGGGCTTCCTGGGGGAGGTGCTCTGTGAGCTGAATAGGAACTGACAGGAAGGAGGTGTGCCAACAACCAAGCACCAGACGTGTGGCTGCCCCGAGCCTTCTGGCTGTGGCAAGTTGTTGAACAAATCTATATTTGCTGATTAGGAGCCAAATCCCAACTAAATGGATTGACATAAAACTCAAACGTATCTTTCCTCCAAGTTGAGTGAGTCAGCTCAAAACTAGGAGGCCAGATTTTTACTGTGAGCCACATCTGAGCCATTCGGTCTGAATGTCCCACTGGATCCCTGGGGTTTGTGTGGATCTGTGGTGGAGAGTGGGGTTTTGTCATCTTTCCCTACATCCCCCCCCCACACCTCATCTTTCTGACCTGGGACCCTTCAGCTTTCAGAGGCAGTGACATCCGTGTCAGTGTCGGATGAAGCCATCACCCAGACCATGGGCCGCTGCTGGGATGAGAACCAGTACTTGCTGTGCCCCCACTCAGCGGTGGCCGTGAACTACCATTACCAGCAGATAGACAGGCAGCAGCCCAGGTACAGGCAATGGGGGCCTGGGCCACTGAGGGACCATTTGAATTTCAGGGGCCCTCTTCTTCTCCAAGCAGTGGGAGAGACAGGACTACGAAAAAATGGCTGTAATGGAGTGTGATGGGTGCTGTGTGGAACTGTGCCTTGGAAACTGTGGGCCCAGAAGAGGGAGCGTGACAGATATCCCAGGGACAGCCATGGTCAGAGGTGGTGGCTGAGCTGGCCTCCAACCAGGAGGAGCAGTTTGCCAGGTAGCGTCATTGTAGCAATAAGTTCAAGGTGCCAATTGTCTGTCTGTGTCTCTGTCCTCCATACCCCCCCATCCCTAAACTTCCTCTGTTTCTTATTCCTCCTCCACCTTCTCCTTTCCCATCTCTCTATTCTCTCATTGTCCTCCGGGTGCCACCTGCCCCCATCCCCACAGCACTCCCCGGTGCTGCCTCGCCCCTGCCTCTGCAGCCAAGTTCCCGGAAGCTGTCCTGGCTGCTGGCCTGACCCCTGAGACTCCCGCGGAGATCGTAGCCCTGGAGCACAAGGAGACACGCTGCACCCTGATGCGGAGAGGTGACAACTGGATGCTGATGCTTCGGGACACCATTGAGGACCTTAGCCGACAGTGGAGGAGTCATGCCCTCAACACCTCCCAGTAGCCTGGCTGGAGGTGGCTTTCTTTAGGCTTCAGATCCCAGGAAGATGCACCTTCTGAGCTGCCTTGTGCACCCTCCCCATTAAGCGTAGGTTAGGAGGTTTCCGGGAGGCTGCTCAGCTGGATCTGGAGCCAGCTGGCTTTGCTCCGTTCCCTGGCTAGTCTGTGCCTGGTCACCAGGGAGGCTGAGTGAGGGGCTGTGAACAGTTGCCGGAAGCACCCCCTCCCTCCCCGGCCCGTGCAGCAGTGTCTGAGCTGTAGTGAAAGTTTCAGGGCCTGCAAAAGAAGAGGCTTGGGCACAGGACTGACCATGGCTCCAGGGGTTTAGGACCCCAGACCTGTGAAGGTGGGAGCAGCTCACCACCTTCACGCAGGCTTTGTATGTTCTCTGAGCCTTAGTTGATTTTGGCCCCCAAACCAAATCCAAAGGTTCTGGCCCACCTTGTCAGAGGCTTCCACCCTGCTCACATGTTGGGAATCCCTGGAATAAAATGCTTGTTCAGTGTGATGGAGCGGCACGTCTCTGGGCAGGTCCCTTCCTAGAAAAGCTGCAGGACTGTGGGCAGCCCTGGGGGCCGCTGAGTGGTGGGCTGAGGTGTGTGCGGCATCCCCCTGCTGCCCTGCATTGGCCCAGGCTTGAGGGGCCAGCAGAGCAGGCATGGGCCAGTGGCCCTGGTGGTGCTGGCATCCATAGAGGTTGAGGTGGGGCTCACCAGATGGAGACCCTGTGGGAAAGCATTGGCATCAATGTGCAAACCGAGTCAAGGCGCCCTGTTGCTCATACATCACTTGGGATTGAGCCCATTTGACTCAGGTTCCAATCCATTTCATCAGATTCTAGTCCTGTGTGGGTTGAGGAGAGTTTTAGACAAACACATGAACGGCAACAGAAGCCCCATGCCTTGGACGCTGGGAGCCCCTAGGAGGGGAGGGGAGGCAGGCATTGGATGGAGGGATTTTTTGCCACTAGAGGACGTTGTTGCCGCCACCCTGGAGGCTGCTGTGAAATGACCTAATGGGCATTTGTCCTCCAGAGCCTCCTTCTCCTGCCTGCCTGAGGTCTGAAGGCGCTGCTCAGCCAGGTGCGATCTCTGCCTGGCATTCCCCATCAGAACATCCCAGCCCTGCATCTCCGTGGGACTAAAGGGAAAGGCCTCTGGCGCCCTCTGCTGAAACACTGGACATTGAGGCACTGCAGTCAGTACCCAGAGGGGGAGGACAGGGATGCTGGACTCCAGGAGGACAGAAGGAGTGTTGTTAAAGGAGTGACAGTGACTCCTTACCAGAAGGAGTGTTCTTAAAGGAGTGACAGTGACTCCTTACCAGCCATGACACTTGGCAGTTCCTGAGACACTTTAACATCCACAGCAGCAGACACTGATGCAGCCCCTGGGGCCACTTACCCATTAGATATGATAGGCCCAATGCTTAGGGGCCACCATTCATTAGAGGCCCATGAAAATGTCTTCGTTTCTCTTAAAACCAAAAGAAAACAGTATAATAGAGCTGGGATTTTATTCATCTTTCTTCTAACACAGTTGTACAATAGAATTTTAAGTATTTTTTTTACAGAGGAAGACACCCATAAAAGCAAAAATGCCTAATACCCACAAAAGTTACTATGCAGCCCTGATAGCACCTACTGTGTGCCAGGTGACATTTTACAAAAATTAGCTCATTTAATCCTGACAGCAATGTGTGAAGCTAGTGCTACTGTTTCCCCCACAATGTTGCGGGTGAGAACACTGAGACTCCGAGAGACGAGATAACTTACCAGGGTGGCAACACGGAACAGAGAGGCTGGAACTTGAACCCAGACCTTGTGGCCTCCAGTTTGGTGTGTAGTTCTCCTCACACTGCCTCCTGTGTCAGCGGGCACGTTCTTATGGGGCTTTCTCTGCTGCCTGCCTCCCTCCATCCTTCCCCAGGCCCTGGCTCTGCTCCTGGGTCCTCCCGCCATCTTCCTTTCTTGGATGGATCTGGGAGCATGGCTGTGCTTCTCCAAGAGTCCTCCAGGGGCTGCTGCAGCCCTGTTTTCCGGGCCTCTTTAACTGGCACTGGGCGCTGCTGTGGGCAGGCCCGTGCAGGTGGCTCCTTCTCTTTTGCTGCCATATTCTGAGGACCTCAGGGCAGGGCCAAGGTCACAGGGAAACCCCATCCCCTGAATGGTTCTGAGACCTATCCAGCTCTGAGAGGCCACCATGCCTGTGAGGGAGGCCAGAATAAGGCCACACCAGGCACAATGCACATCGACAGGAAACCTGAACTGAGGCTACACTGGCCACAGGGAGTCTTGGGGAAATGAGAAAAAGGATGAGAACGAGATGAAGTCTGGAGAAGTGCCCACCCCTGTAACACACACACACACCACGCGAGCTGAATAGTGTCAATTCCATTATATGTTGAATCCACAGTATCTCTGAATGTAACTGTATTTGGAGATAGGGTCTTTAAAAAGGTAATTAAAATGAAGTCTTTATGCTGGGCCCTAAACCAGTAGGACTGGTGTCCCTTATTTTATAAGAGGAAATTAAGACATAGACATGTGGCACAGAGGGAAGACTGCGTGAAGTCAGAGGAAGAAGGCTGCTATCTGCAGGCCAAGGAGAGGGGCCCCAGAATTAAAGCAACGCTGAGGGCACCTCGATCTGAGACCTCCATCCTCTAGAACTGGGAGGAAATAAATTTCTATTATTTAAATCTCACCCAGTCCTGAGCAGACTAATACACACACACACCCACACACACACACACACACACACGCCCACCACTTAATGGAAAAAGCCAGGATCTTAGTACCAGATGAAGTGAGAATCAGGGTGGAGTCTTTTCTGAGTCACCCACTTACTGGTAGTGATCACAACTAAGCCATTTAATCTCTGTGAGCCGTGGTTTCCTCATCTGCATCGAACAATACAGATGATCCCTGACTTAAGACTTTGCAACTTTAGGATGGTGATGGTGCGAAAGCAATATGCATCCGGTAGACCTGAGTTCGTATGCATTCAGTAGACTTCAGATTTTGATTTTTCCCCAGGCTAACGATATGCAGTATGATAGTCTCTTGTAACGCAGGGCAGCAGCAGTGAGCCCAGCTCCCGGTCAGCCCTGTGATCACGAGGATAAATAGCCCATATTCCACAGTGTGCTGTATTGACAGATGACTTTGCCCAACTGTAGGCTAATGTCAGTGTTCTGAGCACATTTAGGCTAGGCCAAATGATGATGTTTCTGTAGGTTGAGGGTATTACCCATTTTCAACTTAGGATATTTTCAACTTACGAAGGGTTTATTGGGATGTAACTATTGTAAGTTGAGGAACATCTGTACTTACCTTGCTGGTTTGCTTTGAGGATTACATGAGATGAGATAATGTATTTCCAAGTGCTGGGTAAACTCTCAAATGCCATACAAATGGTTCTTACTATTAACACAATTATAGTCTGCACTGAACAATTTAGTACTTTTAAGCTATCTTGTATTTTTTACTAATTGCTTTGTGAATTAGTCTTATCTTGCCTGTGATATTGCCTCTTCCTTAAGGATAAAGTTCTTCTGTGGCCCCCCACAGTGCTGATGCAGCTTTGGGCACAGGGTTAGAGGTTGACCTGGCCCAGCCAATATGCCCTGCAATAGGATCTGTTAGGGTCACTGGGGGCCATGTGCCACAGATTAGTCAGTAGTGGTTCTGCTAGCCAGTTAACAAACTATGTTAATTTGCAGTGATGATGAGGATAGTACAATTCCTCTCTTGAGCACCAATGATGTGCCGAGACCTTTATAAAACACTTTCCAAACATTGATTCCCTTAATCCTCATGAGTCTAGGAAGAAGTAGAGATGAGGGAATGCAGCTCAGAGAGGTTAGGTAACTTGTCCAAGGCCACACAGCCAGTGTGTGCTGGAGGAGGGATGTGTAGGCTGGGTATAGGATCTGTGAGCCTAACCACTTGGATAGACTACCATACCAGGAGGAGTGCTTTGGGCCCAGGGCCTCCAAGTTCCCATCAAATCAGTGTGTGGTGGTCTGAAGGCTAGATGGGGAGGTAGAGGGTAGAGGAGAGGGCCCATCATTAGGAGAAGGGCCAGATGCCCTGGGCAGGGGGCATGGAGCCAGGAGCTTTGGGAAGAACTTCCCTCTGACTTAGGGCTGCATGTGGAGCTGAGCTCCTCACTGTGAGGATGGTTGGGAGCAGGTGTCTGGTCAGGGGAGGGTGGTGTTGTAGGAAGAAAGTGAGAGTGGTTCTGGGGATTTCCAGCTGCTGGCAGGGAGGCCCAGCTGGGTGGGCCCTGCTGGAAGAGTAGGGGAGATAGACGAGGCCTGGGAGCATTTGCTGAGTTTTCTCAGCTGTGTCCCCAGGAAAACGGGGTGAGCAACACAGCGAGGGCAGGGCCATCAGCCTCCTGGAAAGAGGACAGGGTCAGCTTCTGTGTTGGGAGCTTACTGCCTTTGCCCAAAAGAGTCTTCCTTCTCAGATCTGCCCTTTCAGATCCCACCCATCAGTCCTCCACAGCCGGGGAGCCTCCCAGGGGCCAAGAGCTGGGCAGATGCTGAGGCCTACCATGTGCTGGGCAGTGTTGGATACCAAGCGAGAGGTAAAAATTAAGAAAAGATGTGGCTGGGGTTGATGGAATTCCATGGCCGTGCCCAGGAGCTGCCCCATGGCTTGAGCAATGTGCTCTCCCATGCAGGCATCCAGGCACCTCTTACCCTTCCACCCCTGCACTGACCTTGGTGTTTGAGAGGTTGGTTTCGGGGTCCGCTTCCCCACTACCCATTCCTCAAAGGCCACTGCCATAAACCCAGGCCCTAGCCCCACATCTAGCCTTCACTGCGAATGCTCAACCGGAGAAGAACCAGTAGGAGGAGCTGCAGGCCCAGAAAGATGCCTGGGTTGGGGGCTGGGGGTGTGTGGAGAAGAACGGTCTGGGTCTTGAATGGCTGCGAGAGCCCAGGGAGCCTTCTAGAGTCAGGACTATTTTCTTCTCCTCAGTGGTGTGGTCATTGCAAAGATTTATCATAAACCCACACCCTGGAGAAGGCACAGGGCCTCCTGTTGCAGGCAGAAGTGTCTTTGCAGCTGGGGAGGGGACTTCCTTCCCCTTGAATGGATGCTCAGGAGCTAAGGTAACCAAGGCCAAGAAGCCCTGCAATAGACGCAGTTGAGAATGGAGGCAGGGCTTGAACTGTTCAGGACAGGGTGAAACTGCGGGAACCTCCCCTTGCTTTGGCCACCAGGGAGGCCATGGAGGTCACCCTCTTGCCCCTTCCCTTCATCTCATCCCTGGCTTGGATCATCGTTTTCCTCCCACCATCCCTTATCCAAGGTTCCCTCCAAACAGGGACAGTGCTTGCTTGTAAAATTGGCTCAATTCAGGCCATGAGGGCTTAGGTGGGTTGAGGCGAGCTCTGTGCAACGGTCCTGCAACTAAAGGTCACTATGACCTGCCACCTGCCCAAAGGGCCAAACACACCCTCCAAATTTTCCAAGCCCAAGATAAACTCAGCAATGATTTGTGTGGCCAGAAGAGGGCAGCATAGTACACCCAAGGTCCTCCCTCCAAAGAGGACTGACCACCCTTCCTGCCCCCACCTCACCCCCAGCCCCACTCCCACACCCCACAGGCAGGCAAGTCTGAGCTTGTTCTCTGGGAATTCGAGGCCCTGCAGGTCGGAGGGCGGGGTGGCGAGGAAATGGGGCCCCAAATATATATTTTAAATTGATTGCTTTTCAGATTTCATATTGGGACTTCCCTCCTTTAAAAGAAAAAAAAAATCACAGAAACCTCCAATGTTGTCTGAAACAGTTTTCGTTTTTGTAATAAAGCTACTTAAACATGTACAAACAAAAAATCAATGAACTCCTTGTACTGATGATAGCTCCCATACAAGGATAAGCCGAAATGAGTATTCAAATTAAATATGGACAAACCTACAAACAAAATTTTAAAAATTCAAAACAATCTCATTCATCTGTGCTATATCACGTGCTGCCCTCAGAACTCCAGTGCAGAGGGACTCTGGCACTTCATTCCTAGGACATGATTTTTGTTGTTGTTTATTCCATATATTTATCTCCCGTTTTGATGGAATAACTTTGCTCTTCCGTCCTTTTCCTATTCTAACCACAGGGAAATATCCCAAGCACAGCATCCCAAGCACATCCCATGTCATATGGTCTTCACTTGTTGCCAGCTTGTCGTATATGTGTCCCTTCTGTCTGCTTCTCCTTACTGGCCTGTGACAGTTGAGATAGTATTTTTAAGGTGGCCAGACTGATGATCCAGAAAATGTCTTTTCTCAGAAAAAAAAAAAAAAAATCAAGATGAAATCATCCCCCACTGCCACACATACACACACAGACACACACACACACATACACACATCATTGATAGAGAATTCTGAAACAGCAAGAATGCGTGCCTGGAGCACCATTTGAGAAACATCATCCCCCCCCAAGCCCTTGCTTCTTACAGATGAGCAAACTGAGGCTCAGAGAGGAGAGTTGCTTTAGCCAAGGTCACACAGCTAATCAGGGTGGAGCAGCTGGAGAACTCAAGGGCCTCTCACTTTGTACAGCAGTGCCTCCTTTCAGCACCCTCAGGCAGCCCAAGACAGGCTGGGCCCTGGGAAAGGAGCCCTGGGGATGCTTGTAGAGATGAGTTCTCCCAGTTTGGGGTCGAGTTTTCTGCAGGTTTCAAGCAGCCATCTTCCAAAGCTCAGAAAATGAAATTGCGTAGACACAGCCACTGCTGCAGATGCGAAGACTTTGTCTCAGATCTCCCTGGAAACCCTAAATCTCTTCTGGACTCCAGGTCTGGCAAGAAGGCCCAAACAAGGGCTCTGTGTGTGTTCTCATTTAGTGATTTTTTTTTTTTTTTTGAGACAGTGTCTTGCTCTGTTGCCCAGGCTGGAGTGTAGTGGTGTAATCTCTGCTCACTGCAACCTCCACCTCCCGAGTTGAAGCGATTCTCCTGCCTCAGCTTCCCAAGTAGCTGAGATTACAGGTGCCCACCACCATGCCTGGCCAATTTTTGTGTTTTTAGTAGAGATGGGATTTCACCATGTTGGCCAGGCTGGTCTCAAACTCCTGACCTGAAGTGATCTGCCTGCCTCGTTCTCCCAAAGTGCTGGGATTACAGGCATGAGTCACTGCACCCAGCCTCATTAACTGATTTTTAAAAAGCCTATTAGTAAGGTCTTTCAGGTATTGAGGCCATACTGGATACTATTATTAGGGCCTTGGGAAAAAAGATCCATTTTTGCTCCAACTCCAGGGGCAGGTTTTTAACATGAAGTCTATTAACCGCCAAGGGGTCCATGGACAGAATTCAGGGGGTCTGAAAACTTGAAGGGGGAAAAAAGCCTGCATTTTATTTTCCTTAGCCTGTAACGAAAGGTTAACACTTCCTTCAAATATACATGTCGACAGCAAACCAGTTAATCCTAGCAACACCTGTGTCTTTGTCAACAATAGAAGTCACAGACCTTTTCACATGACATTACAGCAGTTGTGGGAATCTTGAAATATCATTAACACTCATCATCACTACTTTGATACATTATTAGACCTGACACCATATTGTGTTATTTAAGTATCAAGAAAGAGTATATGTTTCTGTGTTCAAATATTTTAAAATATTTTCATAACTGTCTTTCAATATAATTGGTTTCCTTTCTTCTCCCATGTATTTTATTTTATGCATCTGAAAATATTCCAGACTGTCAAAGGAATTCATGACGCAACAGAAACACCCTTTGTCTTGGGGAAACACATCTGTAAAGAGTTACCTTTTTTTTTTTTTTCTTTGAGACAGGGTCTCGCCCTGTCACAAGGGCTAGAGTGCAGTGGTACAATCTCAGCTGACTGCAGCCTTAACCTCCTGAGCTCAAGTGATCCTCCCACCTCAGCCTTGTTAGTAGCTAGGACTGCAGGCATGTGCCACCATGCCCGGCTAATGTTCGTTATTTTTTGTAGAGATGGGGTTTTGTTATGTTGCCCAGACTGGTCTCGAACTCCCAAGCTCAAGCCATCCACCCACTTTGGCCTCCCAAAGTGCTGGGATTATGGGCATGAGCCACGGTGCCTGGCCAAGAGTTACCAATTCCTGTGCATCAACTATAAATTGAGCACACCTGGGTTCTTTAGGTGTATTATCTCTAAATCTTGCAACAAAGAGGTGTACATTATTATCCCCCTTTTATACATGAGGAAACTGAGGCTCAGAGAGGTGCCTAATATCACATATGCTACAAAACATTATAAACATGTCAAGTATTATCATGGAAATATGGACAAAATGAGGGTAACTAAATGACTGTTTTTGTTCACTGCTATGTTGTCCATGCCTGGCGCTTCCTAGATGCTCAGTAGAGGTTTGTTGAATGACAGGATGAGAAGATATCTAGTAGACTTGCCAGGCACGGGACAGGAAATCCTTCAAAGGAAAGGTGAGCGTCAGGATGAGCCCTGAGCTTCTGGGAAGTGCCGGACTGGTGTAAACCAATCATGGTACCTCATCCTCTATGATAGCTTCAGAAATGGCCTGTTACCTGGTTCTGGCCCTGAGATAGGGAAAACTCATTCAGGACCATAGGTGCCTCTTGCCACTGGGGTGAAAGCCAGTGCAACTTGTAGCCCCTGCAGCCACCTTGTCGCCTATAAGGATAGCAGAGCAGAGATGAGGGGGCAAGGGCCTTGGTGATGCTGAGAACCTCTGAGCTGAGCAGCCCCGCAGCTTCTCACCTCTGCACTTTTTGTCAGGGAGATGACAAGGCTAGTTATATTTGAGCCCGTTTTAGTTGAGTTTTCTGTACCTTGCAGCTAAGGCATCCTAAGTGATGGAGTGCATGTGAAGAGGGAGGCAAGGGTCATCCTGAGAATGGCATCTGTGGTGTGACATGGCTGCCATTCTAATGAGCTTGTGCTTTATCCCAATAGGTGATGGCTTGGGGTGGATGGTCTAGGGGATTGAATGATTAGAGGAAGGGGCCGAGGCCAGGTGCAGTGGCCCACACCTGTAATCCCAGCACTTTGGGAGGCCGAGGCGGGGGGATCACCTGAGGTCAGGAGTTCGAGATGAGCCTGGCCAACATGGCGAAACCCTGTCTCTACTAAAAATACAAAATTAGCTGGGCTTGGTGGTGGGTGCCTGTAATCCCAGCTACTTGGGAGACTGAGGAAGGAGAATCACTTGAATCTGGGAGGTGGAGGTTGCAGTGAGCCAAGATCACGCCATTGCACTTCAGCCTGGGCCATAAGAGCGAAACTCTGTCTCAAAAAAAAAAGAGGAAGAAGAGGGAGGAGGAGGAGAAGGAGAAGGAGAAGAAAAGAAGAAGAGAGAAGAAGAAAAGAAGAAGCCGAAATGGTGTGATTTATGATATAGAGAGATTACTTTGTAGGCAGTGTGGAGGATGGGATACTGCAAAGTGATAAGTAATGGCTAAAAAAAGGTAAAATGGTGCAAATATGGTAAATAAGCAAATTGGCAATGCACCTTATTCTGCTCTCAGATTGATGAAAAAGAGGAATAAAACAGGTAAGCATGTTCATATTGGAGATTTATTGTAAAACTCAACTTCCAGGGAACGCGTTTGAGTTGGTGCAGTCTCATGGATCTCACAGTGGATAGGCTGCTGAGGAGGCTGGAATGGTGGTGTTGAGACCCTGTCAGCACCAGCAGTGACATCAGCATCTTCAAAGAAAGCATGACAGTCTCCTCAGTGCCATTTTAATGCTAGGAATCTTCCCTTCTAGTCTCTACAATTTTTTGAAAATTGATAATTTTTCTACGATTTAAGTGATTACTCTCAATGAACCATCATACCTCATTTTCTCTACTCAGAAATTTTCAAGCATATAATATGAACTATAGTCATCTTGTGGTATGATAGATCTCTTGAACTTGTTCCTCCTATCTAACTGAAACCTCATTTCTATTCTAGATAAAAGAAAGCGTGCTATGTTTTGGCATAGGTTTAGGTAGATGGTTCCAAGCAGAGACCTGTCCTGGGGACGGAGGTGATGCTTTCGGTGGATAGAGGAGTAGCCTGGGAGTCAGGAGGCCTCCTCCCCGCTCCTGCCCCTGCTGCTCTCTGGTTGGATGCCCTCCAATACCTCATCACCTCTCTGCACTGCAGGGCCCTGTCTGTGAATCAGTGGGGCTGGGCTATTCACAGCCCCATGTCCTCTGCTTTCTTTCTCAGTCCCCGTGCCCTTGGACTCTAACAACCCCTCGTTGGGCAGCATCTTTTGCTTGTGCTGGTCCTTCAGAGGGAGAGGATGGGATTCCTCAGAACAAAAAGTGCTGTTCTCCATCTCAGGTTTGGTGTCAACAGACAGTTGAACATCCAGTATTTGGCACCTAGGTAAGCACAAGGAAGCATCCTAAAGAAGGTAGGCCCTGGACAGAAGAGCTGTACACACACACACACACACACACTCACACATTCACACACACACACATTCACACACACACACACATGATATGCACACAGAGACAGACACACGCACACATCAACAGACATGCACAGAGTTGCACACACACACACACACAGACATGTACACATACACATACACTCACACAGAGACACACAGACATGCACACATGCACAGACATGCACACACAGACACATGCACAAAGACACAGACACACAGAGACACGTGCACACACACATACATACACAAATACACACACGCACGCATAAGGAGTGGGACATTAGGCAATTTCCTGTGATGGTTCTGAGCACTCATTGGTACAGTGCTGGGCACCTAGTGAAAAATTCCTAGAGGGAGTGAGTCAAATATGTTACTAAAGGGTGGTAGGTTTTGGCTAAGGGAGGCCTTCAGCTGTTATAGGCTGAAGTGTGTCTCTTCCCTCTCCAAAATTCATATGTTCAAGTTCTAACCCCTAGTACTTCAGAATGTGACTGTGTTTGAAGATAGGGTCTATAAAGAGATGATTGTAATAAAATGAGGTCATTAGGATGTACACTAATCCAACATGACTCATGTCCTTATAAAGAGGAGGTTTGGGCACAGACACGTGTAGAGGAAAGGCCAGGTGAAGACACAGGGAGACGATGGCCACCTGAAAGTCAAGGAGAGAAGCCTGGACCAGATCCTTCCTTCATGACCCTCAGAAGGAACCATCCCTGCTGACACCAACACCTTGATCTTGAAATTCCAGTGTCCAGAACAGTGAGATGATAAAGCCCTGTTGTTTAAGTCTCCCAGCTGTGATACTTTGTAATGGCGGTCAAATCCTAGTTGACTAATACACCAGCCAAGAGGCAAAGCATGCTGGAATGTAGTCAAGAGATCAGCTTGCCTTGACAAGAGAAGGGAAAGGACTAAATTCTGTGGTGTAGCTCCTGTGTGCCGGGTAGGTGCAGGACACACGACCCCATGTGAAGTGCCCCAAACGCTGCCTTCAGATGAGAAACCAGAGGCTCTGAAAAGTATGTTGCATGCCAAAGACCACACTGCTAGGTCGTGGCTTCCCTCTGCCTGCTGTTCACCTCCAACATCATCATTGTCATTTTGGCTGGGCTGGTGCTGCTCACTGTGGCCCACATCCAAGAGCTCTCACTTTGCTGACCTTCCCATCTGTCCACAAACATTTACTCAGCTGTGTAATAGATGCTGTGATGCTCTGCCCAGGTTCCCTCTTTGGGGTCTACACACCTATCTATCCTCCAGCTGCTGGGAATACCAGATGCTCACAGCTTACAGCTGCATCCCTTGGTGGACACTGCCCTGGGTGGCAGGGAGCTGCCTCACCTAAGGCTACACCTCTTCCCAGGGGTCCAGGCTGGGATACAAAGGACAGCTCCTGGGCCCCTACAGGACTGTCTGAGTCCTCTGTTGCAGCTGCTTTGTGAGTCATCTTCTTTCTACCTGTCCTGCCTTCCTCACTTCCTCACGGGTATATCTCCTGAGGGTACACCCCACAAAAGTCTTTGCACACAATTTTCCATCTCCATATCTTGGAGACTCCCCTTCCACCTGAAAAGGTCCGATCTGGAAAGAGCCCTGGCGGGAAGTCAGCACTCTGTGTTCCTGCACTCACTCCGCTTAAGACAGCCTCATGACCAGAGGCAGGACGTCCCCTCCCTGGGCTCAGGTGCCTGATCTATAAAAGAGCCACGGCTTTTTCAGTGTTTTCCTCCAAAGTTCAGTAGAAGAGAGAACAAGACAATACAATCCACCTGCCCTGGTGGTGCAGCTGTTTACAGGGGCTAAACAAATAAAAGTTCTCGCCACATCTAAACTATCCATGCACATTTCCATGCCATTCCTTGTTATGAGTTGGACTGTGACCCCATAAAAGATGATGCAGTCCTAACCCCCAGGATCTGTAACTGTGACCTTATTTGGAAATAGGGTCTTTGCAGATGATCAAGTTTAAGATGAGGTCATTAGGGTGGGTCCTAATCCCATATGACCGGTGCCCTAATGAAAAGGGGCATTTAGACCTGAAGACAAACAAACATAGAAGGAAGATGATGTGAAGACATAGGAAGAATGCCAGCTGCAAGCCCAGGAATGCTTGGGCTACCAGAAGCTGGAGACAGGCTTGGGACAGATTCTCCCCCAGAGCCCTCAAGGGAAGCCAAGCCTGCTGACACTTTGATTTTAGATTCTGGCCTGCAGAACTGTGAGACAATGCATGTTTGTTGTTTAAGCCACCCAGTTTATAATAGTTATGGCAGCCCCAGAAAACTAATAACTCCTTAAAGTATCTTTTTGTCTTTATAAAAATATTTTCCTTCTGGAGCAGTGGCTCACACCACTCCAGGAGGAAGTTACAGGTCAGAGCAGGGGCTTAGGGCTGGGGAGAGCTGGGGTGTTTGAGAATCCCAAAGAAGGTAAATGTGGTTGTGGCCATGCCCCCAAGGACGATGGGTTGAGAGGAGGTCCCTGAGTCCACAGGAACCTTATCAGGCAGACCCTTGTAGGCTCCAAGAAGGGTTTGGATTTTATTCCAAACAGTGGAACAGAATGGTTTAATCTGCATGTTTAAAAGATCAGTCTATACTATATGATCCAGTAATTCCACTTCTGGGTATATACCCAAAGAACTGAAAGCAGGGATTCGAAGAGATATTTGAACTCCCATGTTCACAGCGGTATTACCCACAGTCGCCAAAAGATGAAAGCAACCCAAATGTCCTTCAACAGATGAATGGACAAACCAAATGCAGTATATACATACAGTGGAATATTATTCAGCCTTAAAAAGGAATGACATTGTGACACGTGGATGAATCTCGAGGGTATTACACTGGGTGAAAGAAGTCAGACACAAAAGGACAAATATTGTATGATGGATTCTATTTTTATGAGGGACCTAGAGTAGTCAAATTCATAGAGGCAGAAAAGGGAATAGGTGGTTAGAAGGGACTGTGGGGAGGGGAGAATGGGAAGTTTCATGGGTATGGAGTTTCAGTTTGGGATGATGAAAACGTTTTGGAGATGGATGGCGGTGATGGTTTCATGACAGTGTAAATGTACCTAATGCCACAGAACTGTACACTTAAGAAGGGTTAAAATGGTAAATTTTATGTTATGTGTATTTTACCACAATTTTAAAAAGCAAAAAGATCTGTTTGGTTGCCCATTGGAGAGGGGAGGGAGAAGCAAGCTGGAGAAAAGTGGGCAGCCCAGGCCCTGTCCCCGCTGCTCCTTGCATTAACCGGCTGGCTCCAGACTGTCCATCCAGAGAACGTGCCTAGGTCCCAGCACTTTGGGTGTTAAACCTGCAGCAGAGGCCAGGACTTGGGGGACTTGGCTCAAAGCTCCCCACATTCGAAATGACACTGCAGCCTTGCATCTAGTTGTCATATGTGGCTAAGATGGGGAGGCTATGGGGCAGAGACCTGGGACCACCAGCTGCTGCCCAGACCCCTTCCCGCCTCCCTGGAATGGAGCATCCTGATCTCCTGATCCCCATCAGAAAACTCCTGCAGGCTCCTTCCTGCACCCGGCCCCTGGCGCTGCCTGGGCAGGCCCAGCACAGGGGAATCACCTTGCCCTGGAAAAAAAAAAAAAAAAAAGGCGAGAGAGGGAGAAAAGCAGCACAATTAAAATCTTAGTGTATGAATAATTACATTTTAAAAATCCCCACTTTTTTTTTTACATCAAAAGGAATTCTGTAATCAGAGGTTTAATTTGCAGATTTAGTGGCATTTGGCAGGTTAAAAGTAGGTGCTGTGAAGTGAGTAAGCGTGGGATTTGAGGCTGGAAGCAAAGAATGGGGGGATCTGCTCGACCAGAAATCCTAGCTTTGAGCCGCCTCTGAGCTTCGCAGCCGCACTTCCTCTGCCCAAGCCGCCCTCAACTGAGCCGCTGCGCGGGGGCGGGGAGGAGGTGCCGGTGCCGAATGAAGAGGGACAGAAGTCCAGCCCTCCAGCCCTGTGGCCTCGCTCCCTTCTTCTCCTTAAGAATAGCTTTATTGTTTTTTCCTTCTGATTATTTGATCATTGCAAAAAAAAAAAAATGCTGAACATATAGAAAAGCAAAAAGCAACAGAAAGAAAGAAAACAAAGATCACCTGTAGTTTTCCTGCCTGGAGGGAAGAGTCCCTTTTCCTCTTTCCTAAGATAATGTGGATAAAATCCTGTTGCCAACTGGACTAAGCTTTACAAAAGCACAGTTTTATTACTCTACTTTTCCTTTCCCTCTTCTCTTCTGAGGTTCTCCCTCTTTCCTTCTCCAAGGGAAAAAATGAATCAAAACAAAACAGGAACTTTCACAGATTAAAGTGGGAAAAGGAGGTTTTGGCCCAAGAAACTTCCCGGAGGAGATGCCTCCTGGAAGGGGTTTGGAGCAGGGCAGTCCCTGGGGGTGGGGCCAGAGGGCAACAGAGAAAGAGAACCCTGGGTGGCATCCCACAGGGAAGGGAAGGAAAAGAGGCAGGAGTGGGTTTCCATCCCCTGTCTCAACCAGTCGCTGGGGGCGGGCAGTCCAGGAAGGGGAGCCTTGGGTCAGGTGACATTCCTTAAAGGAGGCCATTTCCACGTAGGGACCAGAGTGCTGGCTGTCCACAAAGAACTCCCAAGAGCTGGTAGTGTGCCCTTCAACCCCAAGGAGGTGTGTGTGTGAGAGAGAGAGAAAGAGAAAGAGAGAGAGAAAGAGAGAGAGGAGGAGGAGGAAGCGGGGAGAGAGAGGAGAGAGGGAGAGAAGAGAGAAGGAGGGAGAGAGAAGCGACAGAGAAGAGAGAGAGGAGAGAGAAAGAGAGAGAGGAAAGAGGAGAGAGAGAGAGGAAAGAGGAGAGAGAGAGGAAAGAGGAGAGAGAGAAAGAGAGAGGAAAGAGGAGAGAGAGAGAGGAAAGGAGAGAGAGAGAGGAAAGAGGAGAGAGAGAGGAAAGAGGAGAGAGAGAGAGGAAAGAGGAGAGAGAGAGAGGAAAGAGGAGAGAGAGAGAGGAAGGAGGAGAGAGAGAGGAAAGAGAGAGAGAGGAAAGAGGAGAGAGAGAGGAAAGAGGAGAGAGAGAAAGAGAGAGAGAGGAAAGAGGAGAGAGAGAGAAAGAGAGGAAGGAGAGAGAGGAAAGAGGAGAGAGAGAGAGGAAAGAGGAGAGAGAGAGGAAAGAGGAGAGAGAGAGAGGAAAGAGGAGAGAGAGAGGAAAGAGGAGAGAGAGAGGAAAGAGGAGAGAGAGAGGAAAGAGGAGAGAGAGAGGAAAGAGGAGAGAGAGAGAGGAAAGAGGAGAGAGAGAGAGGAAAGAGGAGAGAGAGAGAGGAAGGAGGAGAGAGAGAGGAAAAAGGAGAGAGAGAGAGAGAAAGCTGGCGCTCACTAAGGCATACGCGCCAAAGGCTCCTTGAGAAACTGTGTAGTTGCTGGGCTAATTCAGATGTATCCGCTAAGACAAAAGGCATCTGCAGGAAGGGGACGGTAGTTGGGCTGTACTGCAGCCTCTCAAAGCCATGTGGCAATCTGGTAGTTTGAGGGAACAGGACAGGTACTTTTAGGAGACATGAAGGTGGTAGCACAGAGAGACCTTCCTGAGGAAGCTGAAGCTGCTGGCCCCACAGCCGCTCCCTAAGCCCTCGTGGGTGGAATAGCTCGCACAGACACTACAGATGCCTGGCGGATATTAATGGTTACCATTATTTTAGCATGGCCATCTCCTCCCCCAAGAAACTGGAGTTCTGCCTTAAAGCCAGAAAATGGAGATGTAGGTTGAGGAGCTTGTCCCAGGACTCACAGTTAAGAAACGGCTGAAAGGGCTGGGCATTTTGGCTCCCGCCTGTGATCTCAGTGCTTTGGGAGACTGAGGCAAGAGGATCCCTTGAGCCCAGGAGTTTGAGGCTGCAGTGAGCTGTGATGGCACCATAGCACCCAGGCTCAGCAACAGAGCTAAACCCCAGGAAAGAAAGAAAGAAGGGAGGGAGGGAGGGAGGGAGGGAGTTGGGGGGGAGTGGGGAGAGAGAGAGAGAACTTGTCATTCTGAAATATTTTTTACAAGTACAATGTATTGAAGGGACATGAAGATGATTAAAATGTAGTAATGTTATTGGATCTCACTAGACAGCAGAACATGGTCTCACAGATTCTTTGGAGCAAGAAGTTATTGAAGGGAGATTTATATTTTTACTTTAGAATAGAATTGTGAAATTCCAGAAATTAAACTTTTTATTTTGTTAATAACTAAATAGATCAAGATTTAAAAAATATAGATATATCTTTTGGTGTAAAGTATGATCCCTAGAAATTTTTTAAATTGAAGTAAATCTCTGCATTATTTAAAAACCATCTTTCCATTTAATATAAAGAGCAAGGTAGCTGTTTTGGATCTTTGTTATCAGGTTTAATATCAAGTCTATTTTTATATTTTATTTTTCTCACTGCACAATGTAGCAAAGAAGAAAAGATCAACTGCCTATTTTGCAATATTTGTACAGTGCTTTATTGTTATTATTTTTAGCAATTAATTATTTTGTTTTGAACAGCTCTCCTCCCAGCTTTTTAGAAACTGAAGGGTGTCTCTTCATTTGGAGGCTGCCTGACTTTGTGATTGTCTGTCAGAACCAGTTTGGGAGCACGTGATTCTGCTTTTTACTTAAGAACTTCCTATAGAATTACCATATGACCCAGCAATTCCACTTCCAGGTATATATCCAAGGGAATGAAAATCAGTTTGCTGCAGATAGATGTTTTTATTCCCATGCTCACTGCAGCACTATTCATACTGGTGAAGTTATAGAATCAAACTAAGTGTCCATCAACGAATGAATGGGTAAAGAAAATGTGGTATGTATACACAATGGAATACTAGTCAGCCTTAAACAAGATGGAAATTTTGTCATTGGTAGCAACATGGATAAACCTAGAAAAAATTTTGTTTGTTAAGTGAAATAAGCCAGGCACAGAAAAACAAATATCACATGTTCTCACTCATATGTGGGAGTGATATGGTTTGGCTCTGTGCTCCCACCCAAATCTCATCTTGAATTGTAACTCCCACAATTCCCACGTGTCATGGGAGAGACCCAGTGGGAGGTGATTGAATTATGAGGGGAGGTCTTTCCTGCACTGCACTATTCTCATGATAGTGAATGAGTCTCACGAGATCTGATGGTTTTAAAAAATGGGAGTTTGCCTGTACAAGCTCTCTCTTTGCCTGCCACCATCCATGTAAGATGTGACTTGCTCCTTCTTGCCTTCTGCCATAATTGTAAGGCTTCCTTAGCCACATTAAACCTTAGTCCAATTAAACCTCTTTCTTTTGTACATTGCCCAGTCTCAGGTATGTCTTTATCAGCAGTGTGAAAACACACTAATACAGGGAGCTATATCAAAACATCACATTGAATCCCATAAATATATACAATTGTTATGTGTCAATTAAAAATAAAATTCTTCTAGATCCATGAAAATTATGAGGTAGTAGAAATGTTTTCAATACAAGAAATACTTAATTGCCTCACAAATATATTTGGATCTTATGGGTCTGAACATACAGCATGGGTTGATAATGATCATTGAAGAATCACGTAACACAAGGATCAATTATTGTATGCCACACATAGATGGAGCTACATTGGATGTCACATGTTTATGATCAGGTAATGCTGCCTGGGATTCTTCAATAAGGCACACTGTTTTTTTTTAACTTCAATAGATTTTTGGGGAACAGGTGGTGTTTGGTTACATGAATAAGTTCTTTAGTGGTGATTTCTGAGATTTTAGTGCACCCATCACCTGAGCAGTGTACACTGTACTCAACATTTAGTCTTCAACTCCCTCTCACTACCCTTTCCCCTGAGGCCCCAAAGTCCATTATATTCTTCTTTTTTTCTTTCTTTATTATTATTTTTTTGACGAAATTTCATGCTTGTTGCCCAGGCTGGAGTGCAATAGCACAGTCTTGGCTCATTGTAATTTCCACCTCCTGGGTTCAAGCAATTCTCCTACCTCAGCCTCCCAAGTAGCTGGGATTACAGGCACCTGCCACAATACCCAGCTAATTTTTTTGTATTTTTAGTAGAGATGGGGTTTCACCATGTTGGTCAGGCTGGTCTCGAACTCCTGACCTCAGGTGATCCGCCTGCTCCAGCCTCCCAAGGTGCTGAGATTATAGGCGTGAGCCATCACACCAGGCCCATTGTGTTATTCTTATGCCTTTGCATCATCATAGCTTAGCTCCCACTTACGAGTGAGAACATATGATATTTGGTTTTCCATTCCTGAGTTACTTCACTTGGAATAATGGTCTCCAATTCCATCCAGGTTGCTGTGAATGCCTATTTCATTTCTTTTTATGGATGGCTAGCATTTCATGGTATATATATATATACACACACATACCGTAGTTTCTTTATCCACTCATTGATTGATGGGCTTTTTGGCTGGTTCCATATTTTTTCAATAAGGCACACCATTTTTAAAAAGCATATTATCACATAATAATATCAACGGCACCTATATAAATGACCAGTATTTTTCTAAGGCAGAGATTTAAAATTTTTTTAGAGCAAAAGTATAGGTAATATAGCTTTGAGGGTTTTTTTGTGTGTGTGTGTGAAACATCTATTAACATCCCATGGGACATGATAAATTGGTGAAATCATGCTAATTTCACCTGAGATGCAAAAAAATAGCAAATACTCTGGCTGCCTTGGTAAAAGACATGTGCTCTAGAGTATAGCAGAAAGGCCATGAAAGATTCAGGGACCTGCTATGCTGATGAAGTTTTTAAGGGTCTAGTGCTCTGGAACATGGTTAGGATATTCCCTCCAAAGTAAAGGACAACCTATTGTACCTTAAAATTCCTACCACTAAGAAAGAAAAATAGCACTTAGTAGATATCTTGGGGTTTTGGAAGCTGCATATTTCATACTTAGGAATACTGCTGTGACTCATTTATCAGTTGATACAGACATCACTAGCTTCGAGTGGGGTCCAGAGTGAAAACAGGCCCTATAGCAGGTTCAGACTATAGGACAAGCAGCCTTGCTGCTTGGCTCATATAGTCTAGAAGATTGCATGATATCAAATATATCTGTGGCAGAGAAAGATGGAAAGATGCCATCTGGATTGTCCAGCAAACTCCCATGAGAAAGTGGCAGCACAATACTTAGGATTCTAGAGGGAGGTCAAGGCATTTGCAACAGAGAATTATACACCATCAGTTCAAGAACAGCTCCTGACATGTTCCTGGGCCTTTGTAGAAATTGAGCCTCTGACCACAGGAAGTTAAGTAGCCATGAGGCCATGAGCTGGGTATTGTTAGAGCTAAGTCATAAGGTGGCAGGAGGGAGGAGAATGGGCTGGGCAGCAGAAATCTATCGTAAATGAAAGTGGTACACTGGAGACTGGGTCTATGCAGGTTGGGGTAGGGGGCAAGTAAGCCACACAGATAGATGGTCCTGACATCCATATCCCTTACCCCATTGTTCAATGCATCTTCCTCAGTTCACACCTATGGTCTTGGGCAGGAGGGAGGATGCTCCCTATGACCAGCTGACAGAGGAGGAAAAAGTTCAATCTTGGTTGATGCATAAGTCAGCTTAGTGGTAGCTGCAGGCCCAAAGTGGACTGTGGATGCACTACAGCCTCTCTCAGCATGGCCCTAAAAGACAGCAGTCAGGAGATCTCCCAATGGACACCTGGTGTGATATGATGTAATAAGATACACACATTTGGTCTCTGGCCCTGGTTTCTGGCACACAACTCCTAAAACCCTTGGAATCTCCAGAATAAGAATGCTTTTGTATGCTAATGAGGTGACCGTTGGCTCCTAGATAGCTTCAGGATTGAGGCTGGTCACCAGAAGACTTTCAGCCCACCCCTCAAACTCTGGAGACGGGAGAGGGGCTGAAGGTTAAGTTGATCACCAGTAGCCAATGATGTAATCTATCATGCTTACATAATGAAGCCTCTATAAAACTCCAAACAAACAGGTTTGCAGAGCTTCAAGGTAGCTGAACACATGCCTGGAGGGTGGTGCACCCAGGTAGGGCATAGAAGCTCTGTGCCCCTTCTGTCCTGTACCTTGCCCTATGTATCTCCTCCATATGGCTGTTCATCCATATCCTTTGTAATATCTCTTAAAATAAACCAGTAAATGTGTTTCCCTGAGCCTTTCTAGTAAATTAATTGAATCTAACAAGGGGGTGGTGGGAACATTGATTTATAGTTAGAAGCACAGGTCACAACCTAGAGCTTGCAATTGGCATCTGAAGTTGGGGCAGTCTTGTGAGGCTGAGCCCTCAACCTGTGGGATCTAACTCCTGGTAGATAGTGTTAGAATTGAATTTAATTATAAGATACCCAGTTGGTATCTGCTGGAGAACTGCTTGGTTGGTATGTGAGGAAAAATCCCCATATACATATTCGTGACTTCTCTCCATTCCATACACACAGGTGAAGTGTTCTGTGTTAACTGTATAGGAAAAGAAAAAGATACTTTGTTTTTTCCTATATCTCCTACATCTGGTCATTTTCTTTTTGTGGACAGAGCAGTTGCCTAAAGAAAGAGTAAACATAGACTTCTGGACTGTGGTGAATTGCTTGGCTGGCTTGTTAGGAACCTGAAAGAAGCAACATTGGAAGATCAGGGACAAAGAACTTTGGAGAAAAGGTTTGTGGATGGATCTATGGGAGTGGCCCAAAGTGTGAGGATTTTTTTTTTTTTTTTTTTGAGATGGAGTCTTGCTCTGTCTCCCAGGCTGGAGTGTAGTGGTGCGATCTTAGCTCACTGCAACCTCCACCTCCCAAGTGTAAGCGATTTTCCTGCCTCAGCCTCCTGAGTAGCTGGGATTACAGGCACGTGCTACCATGCCTGGCTAATTTTGTACTTTTAGTAGAGACGGGGTTTTTCCATGTTGGCCCCTGGTCTTGAACTCCTAACCTCACGTGATCTGCCTGGCTTGGCCTCCCAAAGTGCTGGGATTACAGGCATGAGCCACTGTGCTCAACCACGTGTGAGGATCTTTATATTGACCCCTTAATGCTCAGCAACGAGCTTTCACTGCAAAAGAGGGGACTAAACAACTGAGCAATTAGGATCACTCAGCCAATGGATCTCAGCCTACTTCTGTCCTCAGCTAGCTCAGTGTTTGCACAATGGCTCATGAACGGTAACCGGGGTGGCAGGGATGGAAGTCATGCATGGGACCAACAGCATGGGTATCATCACACCAAGGCTATTTCCTGCTTTCCATAAATATGTATGTGACCCAAATCTGATCACGCTTCTAGAACCAAATACTAGTTTACAGGGAATACAGAGGAGGGAGAGAAGAGAAGAACACTTAAGTCACACCAGAGGGATCCAATCGGGAAAATCCAAACTATGAGTAACTCCATAGGACAAATGCCTGAATTTCTTCAACAAATAAATTGTAAGATGAGATAGAGAGATTATAGATTAAAAGACTATCTAAAAATTTATCAACAGATTGAAATGTGTGGTCCTTACTTGGATCATGATTTAAAAAAAAAAAAAAGGAAAAATTCTGACGTTTACCAAACAATTGGAAACATAAACCCCAAAGAGATATTTGATTATATTAAAGAGTTGTATTTAATTTGGGGGGTATGATAATAGTATTGTGATTATGTTTTGAAAAGAGAAAGAAATCTTAATCTTTTAAAGATACACACAGAAATACTTACGAATGAAATAATACAACGGTTGGGATTTGTTTCAAATAAAACTAGAAGGAGAACTTGGGTGGGGTATAGATAAGGTATCACTGGCCAGGGGTTGATGGTTGTTGTCAGGGATGAATAATAGATAATTAGGGTGTATTAGTTCCTTCTTGCACTGCTATAAAGAAATACTGAGACTGGGTACTTTATAAAGAAAAGAGGTTTAATTTGCTCATGTTTCCTCAGGCTGTGCAGGAAACACAGCAGCATCTGCTTCTGGGGAGGCCTCAAGGAGCTTACCATCATGGCAGAAGGCAAGCGGGGAGCCAGCACTCCACGTGGCCAGAGCAGAAGGAAGAGAGAGTGAGGCAGGAGGTGCTACTCACTTTTAAACAACGAGATCTCATGAGAACTCTATCACAAGAACAGCACCAAAGGGATGGTACTAAACCATTCATGAGGACTCCACCCCACAGTCCAATCACCTCCCACCAGGCCCCGCCTCCAACACTGGGGATTACAATTTGACGTGACGTTTGGTGGGGACACAGATCCAAACCATATCATAGGGGTTCATCATACTCTTCTGCCTCCACTTTTTACCTAATATAAATTCCCCACTGAAAAATGTTGTGTGATCTGGACCCATTTCCTCATCTGTAAGATATAGATCAAGGAGACACTCTTCAACCTCCCTCAGGGAATGTTATAAAAGTAGAACTAAGATAATAGATATGGAAGAAAAAGGGAAAAGTTAAAATTATTACGCAAATTTAAGTTAAATAATATCATAGATGAAATGCTAAGCAGGGCTTGACGTAAGCCAGTGAGCGTAATAATGGCAAGAACTTCCCCTCACCTCCCCACCTTCCGTCTAGACGGAATCTCTGGGATTCTTCAAACTGGACTCTGGGACTCTCTAAGCGTCTTGCTGCTACTTTCTCCAAAACAGCTCTGCTTGTCTGTTTGTTATAATGGGTTCAGGACCCAATTAAGACTTTCAAAGCCCTGAATACTGATTACTGCCAAGGTTGTGGTGCCGCCGTTCCTACATACAGCTTGTTTTTAATTGCTTCCATGAAAGTAACTCATTTTCAGGTATGCCAATTGAAAGATTTCAGCTCATTTATTCGAATGGAACTTCTCTCTCTCCTTTTCCCTACTTTGCTGAGGCTCTGAGGATGTGCTTTGTATGCTTTTTGGGTAGTCACAGCATTGATTGGGTTTCACAGAATATTTCATTTAAAAAGGAGGTTTCACTGCTTAAACTTTAGATCAAATCAGATGTCTATTTAATCCTCTCTCCAATAGCTCACCAAGCATTTCTCCAGTCTTGGCTTAAAAACCTTCCATACAGGAGATTTACGCTCTCCACAGAGCGACCCTGGCACCTCTTCCGATGTTTGTTAGAAAGTCTTACATCCAGGCCAAACACCTTCAGTTCTTCCTCTGCCCTCAGGCCTCCACTGAGTAGATTTAATCCCTCTTCCACTGTCTGGCCAGCTCAGCCAGGCATACGGCCAAGTCTTTGGAGTCAGCCTGTCCCTTCTCCTTCTCTCCCACCCTGACTCCACAGTCTCCTCAGTTAGTTACAGTAATAGTAGCCACAATGGACAGAACTCGCCACGTGCTAGGTACCAAAGTCACACAGCTGGAGGGTTTTAGCGCAAAGTACTAGTTTCTCTGATTCTGGGGTCCATGTTACTAGCCTCTACATTATGATTTTAACTTCTTATCTAGTATAAAACAGCCTCAAAGTGCTGCCTCCTGAAAACATTCAGAGAATAATAGAATAGAAAAAAATTCTCAGGTACTCTCTGGCCTTTGACAATGGAGCATTGCCTACAACCTGAAATATTGAATCAAGAAGTCTCCATTGTGAATTTGAAGTCCTTCTGAGTTGGGTAAACGTGGTGGATCTGGTCTGCTTCTCCTTTAAGGGGACATCCCTTGGTATGGACAGAGCTGAGGCCACTGTGACCTGTGGCAGCAGGGAGGGAGGAGTCCTTGGATCTACTGAGTGCTCTTTGGATGTCACTGAAGTCTGCAGTGATCCATGGTGGCATTTGTCCTGTAGGAAGTTCATGACTGGGGTATTGAATGGGAGTCATTGACACCTCATTAAAGTCCAGGGAGGTGGTGGCATCTGGTTGTCTAGCTTCAGTCCCTGTCAGCACTCTGGCTGCAAGGAAGGCTGGGTAAGCAATTTCTTGGGTTTCTGCCTCCTTAGTGTGAGATGGGCTCTTTTCAATAAGATTCATAAGGTGGGGAATTTCTATAACATAGGAAGGAGGATCAAAGCTAAGAACTGACAAAGGTCTATACTCCCAAAGTCGTGATAGTCCGCAGGCCTCTTCATTTAATGAATCAACAAATATTTACAGAGTCCAAGGTCCCTGTAAAGCACAGTGAATGGAAGGTGACTGTCACGTTAGCCCAAACCTCAGACCTCCAAGAGCTCAAGGGTTCTCAGATTCTATATGCACCAAGCCCCAACATGGCTCTATTTTTAAGACCAGGGTAAGAGTTGAGAGTGGAGGAGGATTAAAGTGACTTGCCCTATCCTCACAGATTTAGGATGCCTAGCTAAAATTCCCAAACCCTCATCCTACTGCAAAACTTACACGCTATCAAGGTGGTATTTCTAAAACATATATAAAATTGCATCATCTCCACAGCTCAGAAATCATGGATGAATCTCCATTACCAGGAGAATAGCCATTCATTATTCACTCATTCATTCACTTGTTAATTTCAAGCTAAAATCTGGCCTGAGAAAGCCTCTGTACTCCTACACTTGGGTTCTTATTGTTGAACCATAACCTAATTTAGTGGGTAGGCAGACTGAAAACCTAATTTAGGAGTATGCCTCTGTAACAATAGCTAAGTCTCAGCCAACCCCAGCAGTCATACTTCAATCACTCACAGGCAGCCAACTGTTCAAATCACATGCAAATAAGACAAATGCTGAGCTGTAAACACTGTGGCTGTTTCTGTACCTGGTCATTTTCTGTCTGCCACTTTCCTTTTTCTATTCATAAATTTGCTCCCACCACGTGGCAACACTGGAGCCTCTCTGAACCTATTCTGGTTTGGGAGGCGGCCTGATTCACTCGTTTTTTTGCTCAATTAAGCTCTGTTAAATTTAATTTGTCTAAGGTTTTTCTTTTAACACACTCAAAGTTTATTGGTGCCTATTATGTACCAGTTACAGTGCCAGACACTTGAGATCTAAAGATGAAAGCCAGCTAGGCACGGTGGCTCACACCTATAATCCCAGCATTTTGAGAGGCCAAGGAGGGGGGATTGCTTGAGCCCAGGAATTTGAGATCAGCCTAAACAACATAGTGAGAGCCCCATTCCTACAAAAAATAGAAAAAAAATTAGCCCGATATGGTGGTGCACACCTGTATTCCCAGCTACTCCGGAGGCTGGGATGGGAGGATCGCTTGAGCCCCAGAGGTTGAGGCTGCAGTGAGCTGTAATTGTGCCACTGCACTGCAGGCTGGGTGACAAACTGAGACTCTATCTCAAAACATTTTTTTAAATGAATAAATAAAAAGAAAAAAGGATGAAAGCCATGGACTCTGCCCTCAAGGAGCTCAGGGCATAGCTGAGGAGATGGCTATAAACCCAATTGCATCTGGAGAGACAGGACCACATGCATCAGAGTATGCACGGTCCCTCTTGCTGAATTGCCCTCCTGAGTACAGCAAATTAACCCCACTCCCATTACCACTCCAATCCATGTATCCTGCTAAATCCTGAGCTGCTTTCACATCAATATAGACTCTTCACTGGGAGACTCTCCATGTTCCTCTGTGTGTCCTGAATGCTGGAATCTCCTGGAGACCTGTGTGGGGAGAGAGGAGGTGGGGCCCACGGCATTTTTATTGTTTGTCTTCTTCAGTTTCTAACAGAGCAACTCCTCTGATTTCTCTTTAAAAAAATCAGCATGTGTTCAGTAATGTCTTTTGGGAAGATTAAAACACATTTTAATTTTTTCAGTGCCTCAGTGTGATGGGGTTGCTCCCCAAAGCCACACTGACCCTGCCCTGCACCTCGTAGGCACCGAGTGACCATCTGTGAGGTTTGTTTGGCGGCTCACCTCCCATCTCAGTCCTGCCTGCTCACGATAGGACTCTCCAAGTTGGGGGCTCCCTACGCCAGCTCAGAGCTTAGGAAGAGCTTTGCTGCTTGGGAGATGCTCCGCCTCCATCCACTCTAGTGAGGAATCTGGGCCCAGAAGATAAAATGGTTTTCTACCTGATGAAACTTGCTGCTTCTCAGATTGGCCAGCAAGCTTTGGTTTCTGGCCAAGTCCACGGTGGGCTTCCCTGCTTTGATGTGGTTTTGCAGGGAAAACATCCGCAAATGAGCAACAACCAACAGAGCCGCTTTTCTCTCTTAGTCCACCTTGAGTTTTTGAAAAGCAGTGCTAATTAGCCTCTTGGAGTTGGCTGGGGCTGGGAGGCCACAGCACCTCTAGAGGAGGGAATGGGTGCAGGCATCAGAGCCTGAAAATCTGAATACATTTAAGTTACTTTAGGATTTCCAAACAGTTACCCAAACTGTCACTGGTGGAAAAGGGGAAGATGAAGAATTTAGAATTAGGAGACCTGGGTCCTAAATCATTCATGCTCTACCTCTCAGTCAAGTATCTATTAATATCTATCCATGTTAGATATTAATCAGGTAGAAATGCCAATTCAACAATAAGACAAGAGGATTGTTCTTTGATATTAGAGGCAAAGCACATTACTCAATTATTGTTGCAAAAGGCTTTTCATTGTATCAGATATACTTTATATCACAATGGCAATAACAATATTGCCTATGAACGAATTTAATATTTAAAATATTTTAATTTGTCTTCTTTAGATTATGCAGAACTTTAAAAAAAAACTTGTAAATTTTGAAGTAAATGTAGATTCATAGGAAGTTGCAAAAAAAGAGTATATAGGGAGGTCCCATGCACTTTTCACCCAGCCTCCCCCAATGTTAACATCTTGCATAACTAGTACACTATCAAAACCAGGAAATTGACTTTGATACAATCCATAGAACTTGTTCATATTTCACCAGTTTTGCAAGCACTCATTTGTGTACATGCATGTATATAGTTCTATGCAATTTGATCGCATGATTAGCTTTGTATAACCACCTCCGCAATCAAGATACACAACTGTTTCATCACCTTAGGGGTCCTTCATGCTATCCCTTTGCAGACTCACGCTTTCTCCCCTGACCCCAGTCCCCAACTTCTGGAGACCACTGGTCTGTCTTGATAGTTGAAGAATGTTGCATAACTGCAATCACACAGTATGTAACCTTTCAAAATTGGCTTTTTCCCCCAACTCAGTTTAATTAACTTGAGATCCCAGGCAAGTTTTTGTGTTCATCAATAATTGCCACCTTTTCCTTGCTTAGTTGTATTGGTGGCATGGATGTACCACAGTTTGTTTAACCATTCACCCATCGAAGGACACTGGGGTTGCAATTATCCTTTATAAAGGAAAGGAATCATTTATTGATTCATTCAGTGAACATTTATGGAGTTGCCCTTGTGTGCCAGGTGCTGCAGTGTGTACTGGTGATGTAGCAGTAAGTGAGAGAAGACCACAGACCCATAAACAAAGAGGATGATTGCAGGGGATGTTAAGGGATATGAAAGAAACAGACAGACCAAGTGGAGAATTACCAGAGTACATGACTCCTTCAGACAGGAGGTGGATGGAGGCCCTTCTGAGAAAGCAACATTAAAATTGAGACCTGAATGATACGGAATCAACTCTTCCAAAAGTCAAGAGTTTTGTTTTCATTATTTGTATACATTTATGGGGAAAAGCTCTTGACATATGTATATGTGTAAAGAGTTTATATATATGTATATACTATACACACACACACGCACACACACACACACATATATATATATATGTATTTATTTATTTTTAGAGAGGGCACCTCACTATGTTGTCCAGGCTGGACTTGAACTCCTGGGCTCAAGTGATCTTCCCACCACAGCCTCCCGAGTACCTGGGACTACAGGCCACTATGCTGAGCTTGGAAAGAACTTTTAGGCAAGGGGAACAGAGAATGCAAACATCCTGAGTGGGGCATAAGCCTGATTATTGAAGGAATAGAAAGGAGGCCAGGAAGGCTGTGGCCAATGTGAAGGCAGGGGTAGGAGTGGGGAGAAACAGGCAGGGGCAGCTCGGGCTGCAGGGCTGTAGTCTGCAGGGAGGAGTTGGGATTTTATCCTAAGGATATCAAGCAGGGGGAGGCATGATACCATTAATGTTTTTAAAAGATCACTCTAGACTTTATTGTCTAGAGACAAGCTCTATTTTAAGCCCCTGGGTATAATTTCATTAAGTGACGGTTCATTTATTATTCACAAACCCTTGAACAAAAATTGAGTGAGAACAGCCTCTGTTGCCACTAGCCATGTGGAGCTACCTTTCCTCCCAGTCCAGTGGGAGCCGCTGGAGGAGACACCAAGTCAAGTCAAACTCAACTCCTCTCCTGTCCTCTCCTCCCCTCCCTTCCGCTCCCTTTCCTTTCCTTTCCTTTCCTTTCTTTCCTTCCTTCTCTCTCTCCTTTCTTTCTCCCTTCCTTCCTTCCTTTCTTTCCTTCCTTCCTTCCTTTCTTTTCTTTCTTTCTCTTTTTCTCTTCTCTTTTTCTCTTCCCTTTCTTTCTTTCTTTCTTTCTTCTTTCTTTTTCTCTCTCTTTCTTTCTTTCTTTTTCTTTTCTTTCTTTCTTCTCCAAAGCAAAAAGCTCAGCAAACATTTATTTGCCAAATGCTTCCTTTGTAGATACCCTCATTGTATTTCACTTGGACTCCTGGAGAACTTGCTTCCCTCCTCCCACCTCTTGCTGTTCATGGACCCACCACCCTCTATGCCCCAGTCAATGCCTGGGTGAGAGAAGGCAAAGGGGATAAACAGGCTGGATGCGGTGGCTCACACCTGTAATCCCAGCATTTTGGGAGGCTGAGGTGGACGGATCACCCAAGGTCAGTAGTTCAAGACCAGCCTGGCCAACATGGTGAAACCCTGTCTCTACTAAAAAATACAAAAAATTAGCCAGGCATGGTGGTGCAAGCCTGTAGTCCCAGCTACTCAGGAGGCTGAGGAACGAGAATCACTTGAACCCAGATGGCGGAGGTTGCAGTGAGCTGAGATAGCACCACTGCACTCCAGCCTGGGTGACAGGGTGAGACTCCATCTCAAAAAAAAAAAAAAAAAAAAAAGAAAGATGAGCAGACAGAAGACAAGGGAGGCACTCTACCAGGCCCCCGGGAGCTTTGAGTAAGCTTTGGGGATTGGAGATGGGGTTAGGATGCACACACATATACAGAAAGAGGATGAGAGTGAGAGTGAGAACAAGGAAAGATCAGAGTGGGCTGACATGGCAGACAGGAAGACCATGCACTGGGCGGCGGGAGGCTGGGTGTCCAGTCCTCTCCTTGGCAGTGAGGAGCAGTCACCTTGCCCCTCTGGACTTGGGTTCCTAATTTGTGGCCTGTATATTCTGATCAGAGGTCACTTACTAGCCTCAGAACAAGTCAGTTCAAGACCAATACGCTGGGCCGGGTGAGGTGGCTCGTGCCTGTAATCCCAGCACTTTGGGAGGTCAAGGCTGGTGGATCACCTGAGGTCAGGAGTTCGTGACCAGCCTGGCCAACATGGTGAAACTCTGTCTCTACTAAAAATACAAAAATTACCCAGGTGTGGTGGCGGGCACCTCTAATCTCAGCTACTTCGGAGGCTGAAGCAGGAGAATCGCTTGAACTCAGGAGGTGGAGGTTACAGTGAGCCGAGATTGTACCACTGCACTTCAGCCTGGGCGACAGGGCAAGACTCCATCTCAAAAAAAAAGACCAATTCGCCTTTCTGCATGCCTAATGTACCATATTGAAAATGAGAAAGGAATTGAGGTTTAGCAAATGGAGGGATTATCTCCCTCCTTCAAAACGAGTCGCAGAGTCTCTAAACTGAACAATTCCAATGAGCAGAAGTTGATCATGTAGAGAGGCTGTCCCGAGGCCTCCAATTCTGGAGTAACTCATTAAAAAAATTTGATATGCAAAAATTTAATTTTTCCAACTAATAAATTAGGGCAGGGATTACTAAACAATGGCCCATAATCTAGCCCACTGCCTGTTTTTATCTGGCCTGCAAGCTAAAAATGGTTTTTACATTTTTAAATGATTGGGGACAAAAAATCAAAAGAATATTTTGTGACATGTGTAAATTATATAAATTTCAGATGTTGATGTCCATAAATAAAGTTTTATTGAAACACAGTCATTGGTTTACATATTGTCTATAGCTGCTTTTGTGTGATAAAGGCAAAGCTGAGTCTTTGCAACTGTCTTACGGTAGAAACCGTCTGATGTATAAGCCTAAAATAAATGCTATCTGGCTTGTACAGAAAAAGAAGGCTGACCCCTGTGGGGACAGACTCTAAATGGCCTGCATGACTCCTGTTTCCTGGTATGCCTGTCTTTGTGGCATCCTTTCCCTTGAGTGACGGTAGAACTTGCGACTTGCTTCTAACACATAGAATGCAACAAAGGGCGTCACTCCTGTGATTACATAGGATTGTAACTTCCATCTTGCTAGGAGACTCTCTTTTTGCAACTTTGAGAAAGCCACCTACCGTGTTGTGAGCTGCCCTGTGGAGAGGCCCATGTGGCAAGAAACTGAAGGTGGCTTGAGACAACAAACAGCAAGCAACTGTAGCCTTTGTCTTGACAACTTGCAAGGAACTGAATCCTGTCAACCACCACATGAGCTTGGAAGTGGATTCTTCCTCCCCTCTACACTCAGCCAAACAGCATACCTATTCCTCCTGTGAATACACATTGAACCACTTCATCTGTTTTGGAAACCGTGTAGAATTCCATTAATGGCTGTTCCATAATTTTTAACCAATTCTTCATTGATGGGCAGTCGGATTGCAAACAGTCATTTGCAAGCAATAATATGCAGGCAATGTTGTGATCATCCTTGTACAGAAACGTGTGCCTTCTTTTGTAAAAATATCCCTGTGGGACAGAGTCTTAGAAATTGATTTTTTTTAAAACCTAGCATTAGTTCTGATAATAAGCTGTAGTAGAAAGAGCACCAACCATGAAGTCAGGAATCCTTAATTCAATAAGTTTCATTACTCACTTGCAGGTGACCTTGAGCAAGTCATTTGATCTCTCTGAGCCTCAGTCTCCTCATCTGTGAAATGAGGATAATAGTCTCCCGTTGGCCTATCTTGGGGTGCTGAGGAGATCAAATGAAATAAAGAATGCAAGAGTGCTTTGAAGGAAATGAAGGACTACACAGATGGGGGAATGGGTAGCGGTGGTATTATTATCCCTTAGGTATCTAAGCATGGGAGAGGTTATAAAATTCTCTATCTGAACTTAATTAACTGTATTTTTTTTTTGAGATGGAGTCTCGCTCTGTTGCCTAGGCTGGAGTGCAGTGGTGTGATCTTGGCTCACTGCAACCTCTGCCTCCTAGTACAAGCAATTCTCCTGCCTCACCCTCCTGAGCAGCTGGGATTACAAGTGCACACCACCACGCCCAGCTAATTTTTGTATTTTTAGTGCAAATGGGGTTTCACCATGTTGGCGAGGCTGGTTTCAAACTCCTGAACGTAAGGGATTCGCCGCCTCTGCCTTCCAAAGTGCTGGGGTTACAGGTATGAGCCACCTCGCCCGGCCCAATTAACTTTGATTTTTAAACAACACCAGAACATTCTAGGGGTAAGGTGTTGGGTAGTTATGAGTGCCAGGGCAATGTACTGAAAACAAACAGGAGCCTTTGCTAGTGGAGACACCAATGCTTGTCTGCAAAAACCCGGAGGGCTGTTGGCCAGGACTTACCACGTGGCCTCCGAGGCCAGAGTGAGACCAAAGGCATGGTCCCAGGGAGGCTGGTTCTGGCTTGCTCTACAGAAAGGTTTTCTAACAATCAGTGCCATCCAACCTGCAAGAGTTTAGCCTATAAGAGGATCTCCCATTTCTGGAAGTATTCAAGGAGAGGCAGATGAGCCCCTGCAGGTATAACACAGAGAGGTGCCCCACAGGAAGACTTGCCACCAGGAGTACTTGGATCAACCCTTCTCTCCTCTGAGAGAAAATCACTCCCAGTCCAAAGGTGGGCTGAGGGCTCTGGCTGGCATCTGTGGTTGGCACAGTCCCTAATCTTTTCATCATTTGGAATGCCTTTCTTATTTACCTTCCACTCTATGGAATCTATTCCTCAAAGATTTTGCCTATCAAATCAACCACTTTTATTATGAAACAATGAAGCTCCATTCATTTTATTTATCAAATCGGAGCCAATCAGAGCTTTCTCTCCCCATAAAATAACTAGGGTTGCCACTTCAACTTATGCGTTTATAGCCTCGAGCAACGACACTTGCTTCAGAGAGTAGACTGACTTGTCAAAGGACACACAGCTGAAAAGTTGCTGTGCCAGGATGGGAAGCCAGGCTATCTGAACCTGTACCCTGCCTGCTGAAGCAGAGACCCCTCCCCAGGGCCCTCATGCTGGCCTCCCTGCAATGCCTCTAGCGTCACAGGACACCCTTGGGAGCTCCAAGCAAAGCACACTGCATTTATAGTTAGAAGACAGGAGTTCAAATCCTAACCCCACCGCTTTATAGCTGTGCAAGCTTCTAGAAAACTGGGAACAATGACGCCATGCTCTCAGAGCAGCTCTGAGGAGCAAATGAGACCACAGAGTTTCAGGCATTGGTCACTGGATACATTGTTTAATTTTTAAAGGGAAGGTTTTCATCCTGTGATTGAATATGAGAGGAAACAGCACATGCGGTGGGGCTTGAAACCAGTATGCACATCCAGTGTCTGCCTCTTCCTAAAGCACAAGAATGGCTGAATGTGAGGGGCGGCCTCTGTGCGGATCAGGTTCCCGCATCCATCCAGGAGGAAGTGATTAGGCACTTGATGCTTCCTGCTGCCTCTTAGAGGGGCCGCAGGGGCAAAACTGGCTGTGGCAAGAGAGCCAGGTGCTCAGGGCCAAGGAACCTGAGTTTCCTCAGTTTGGAAACCCACACTGTAATAACTCTGAGATGTTACAATGGATTGAGTGCATTTGGTGTAGCTGTTCTTTTATGTTGCACAGGTCCTGAAATGAATCTGTTTTCACTGGTGCCCAGATAGCCTCGCGGCCTCCTCCACACAAGCCCAGGGAGCCTCCTCCAAGCAAGTGGATAAGCTCTGAGCACATTTAGCCCCTTCTCTTTATAGGAAACCCAGGCCCAGAGAAGATGAATGAGGAGTCCAGAGTCCTGAAGCCAGAGGCATGGGCAGCAGCCTGGGAATCCCGTGCCTTCTCTAGAATTCTGGGAGGGTGCCCTGCTAGCAGGCAGCAGAGTAACAGCTGGGGCACTACGCTTCCTTCCCAGGTTCTTGAGGGATCGGACCTCAGGCAGTTAGAGAGGCAGCCTGGGTTAGTCTTCAGAGCCTCTCCATTCTCTCGGAGCCCTGACCAGTCACAGCAATGACATGCATCGACTGTTTCACAGGCAGTTGCTGTGACAGGCACGGCACTGGGCTCCTGGCGTAGCATCTGCTTTAACCTGAGATTCAAACCTTGGAGGTGGGGGCACAGGATCACCTCATTTTGCAGACAAGGAGCGTAAGGCGCAGAAAGTATGTGACTTGGCCAAGGTCGCACAGTTAGGGAATGGCAAAGTCAGGATTTGAACCCAGCATTTTTCAGAAACTCTTATCAGAAAAAAGAAGGCCATGACATGAATTATCCTTGTAGTTGGTCTGAGGGTTTGGTGAATGAGGTCTGGAAAGGGGCTTTGTGAATGAAAGGGGTTGTACTACCCCAGGCAGTGTTATTTTATTAGGGTATGAGCCTATGCTCAGCCCTTTTAACCCTAGAGCCCCCACATCCTCAGCCAGGTCACCCTGAGGCCATGCCTAGAGAGCCATAGCTTTTTAGGCCAGTGGTTCACAAACTTGAGCACATACCAGAATCACCTGGAGCACTTGTTGGATTTCTGACTCAGGAGGCCTGGAGCGGTATAAGAATCTGCATTTCCAATGAGGTTCCAGGTGATGCTGACGCTGCCAGTTGGACCACACTTTGAGAACCACTTCACTACGTCTTGCTTCTCCCCCTCACCCCCATGCACACCCTAGCCCCATCTGGGACAAGCCAGGGGGATTTAAACAAGCAAAAGCTTCCAGGTAGAGAGAAAGGACTTGCCAGTCAGGCAAACTGGGTTTTGATTTTCTTATTGGTTTTTTAGTCCTCTAACCTCTCTGAGCCTCAGACAATTCTCTAGAATGTACAGATGCTATGACTGATTTCATAGGGTTGCTGAGATTATACATGTAAACCCACCTGGTACATAATACAAGCTTAATTCATGACAGTTACCCTGTGACTGGACATAGTAGGAGCTCTTTGATTTCTGCTTTTCCACTAGCCTCTGGACTCCTGAACCAGGCTGCTCAAATTCTATGTTCTTTAAAAATTAATCCTAAAAGCCGCATTGGCCTTATTAAGAGGACCGTATTCCAAAACCTGCTCCAATCCCAGAGCCTTCAGTAGAAAGCATAGCCAGGGAGAGCAGGGGGAGGTGGCAGAGAAAGCTGGGGGAGTCAGCTCAGGTGGCAGAGGAGGTAAAGCGTCTGTAGTTTAACAGCTTAGTGACCCATGGCAGCGCCCTCTAATCCCTGACAGCTGTAGGCTCTGGGCTTTGTCATATGGGAGGAAGCAGCTGGCTGTTGGGTTTGTACCTGCTGCAGCAGGGCTGGGCTGCTTGGTGCACAGGTGGTGGAGACTGCAGGGTTTTGATCTTGCACAGGGCCTGGCAGCTTACAGGTGGGGTCGCTGGCATTTGCCCAGTGGACTGGGTGCATGGCTGGTTCCATCTGCTCATCTTGCTTCTGCCTCTATTTCCTCTTTCCTGGGGGTGGCTAGGAGGAGCCCTGATGACAAGCTGGCTCCTTCCTGCCCAGGCTGGGAGAGAGATGCATAGGACATGTTGCCAATGTGCCCACACCCCTGGCCAGTGCCCACCATTTAACACAACTGAGTTCCAACCCTCCGGGGGCCACCACACAGGCCTGTGCATGAGCCTCCCCTCCTCTACCAGCCAGGCTTCTGTCAAAGAAGCAGGACCCTGGAGTTTGTCGCAGGATGCGTCCTTATGCTGTTGTGGGAGCTGTCTTAGCAGTCTCTAGAAGGCTTGTCTTCTCAGTTGCCAGAGCTTGAAGTCCACAGGGCAAGCAGCTTGGAATGGAAGATGGGTGACAAGTGGGGAACGTCAAGCATAGCCTGGATTCCACACACATGAGTTGGACCCTGTGTCAGGCCTTGTATTAGTTTGCTCGGGCTGCCATGACAAAATTCCATAAGCTGGGTGGCTTAAGCAACAGAGATAGATTTTCTCACAGTTCTGGAGGCTGGAAGTCCAAGATCAAGGTGTCAGCAGGTGTGGTTTTTCCTGAGGCCTCTCTCCTTGCCTTGCAGGTGACCACCCTTTCTTGGTGTCCTCACATGGCCTTTTCTCTGTGCACATGCACCTCTCTGCTGTCTCTCTTCTTATGAGGACACCAGTCCTATGGGATTAGGGCCCACTCTTACAACCTCATTTAACTTTGCCTCTTTGAAGGCCTTATCTCCAAACACAGTCATGTTGGGAGTTAGGGCCTCAGTGTAAGAATTTTGTGGGGATGCAGTTCAGTCCACAACAGGCCCTCCCTGCCTCCCACTGCCACCATGAGGCTGTCCTGCAGGAGCAGCTAGTGCCCTTCATTGTGAAGCTGAACACACACTGGCTGTGGAGTTGGGGAAGCCAAAAGGAGGGCAGACGGAGCAGCCACAGGCATAGCCACTGTCCCATTCCAACAAAGTGAGCCAGCAAATAAGTGACAATATGTGGGAGTTGCAACAATGCCTGGTGCCCCCTCAGCTTACACACCATACAGCTACTGCTTCACTCCACCCTCCAAAACTCAGGAAAATATTGTGGTCTACCCTAATCAAAAACGTACAGGAAAGAGAATTGCCAACACCTTACAAAGCCACCACAATACACCCCTGTCAATTTGGCACTCATATATACCTCTTAAAACCACACTTAGCAAATAGAGGCAATAGCAAACTCATACTATTGTCTGACATGGTATAACTATTCCAACATACAACCAATGATAACATGTAAAGCTCTTTCCCCAAAAGGAGGATACAGGGTGCCTTTTCCTTCTTTGGGTGGTGTTCATTCTTCTAGCTGATTCACACTCGTTCTTTGATATCCTATAACTTAAATACTGACATATAAGGTTAACTACTATTAGTGCATCTTATAGTAGATGGTGGGGGAATGGGAGAGGAGTAAGACATTAGTTAATATGCACTCAAACATATTCATATCAAAAAAGAGGAAGAAATATTCGTAAGTATTACAGCCCTTGTTTCTGCAACTGGTCTTGTGGTGGCAACTGGTATTTATAATTATCTTCTTCCACTGCCCATTCCATTTTTGGTGACAAGATCCTTTCTTCCTGAGGGGCCTGGGTCACTGGCAATCCTGCCTGAATTGGGCTGTTGTAGTTTTCCATTGAATTTTATCACAGCATGTGGGAGTTATAAGAGTCACTCTAGGGAAGCCACACATTTCAGACATACTCCTTACCGCCATTGTGTAGTTGCGACCTGGTTTCCCCTTGAGAGTCAGGATCAATCACATTATCATGGCCTCTTTGCTTGTTGGTTCTCTAGAGCGAGAATCCAGCATGACCAGGTGGCAGCCTCAACTTCCACTTCCATGGAACCCCTGCTGTGTCTGTCCCCTGTGGAAGAGTCCCCCTTGGGGACTGCTGTGGTTTGAATGTTCCCACCAAAACTCATGTTGAAACTTAATCCCCCATGTGGCGATATTGATAGGAGGAGCCTTTAAGAGGTGATTGGATCGGGAAGGCTCTACCCTCGTGAATGGATAAATCCATTCATGGGCTAATGGATTAATGGGTATCATGGGGGAAGGAACTGATGGCTTTATAAGTAACGGAAGAGATACCTGAGCTAAAACGGGAGCACTCTCAGCCGCCTGTCATGTGATGCCCTGCACCACCTCAGACTCTGCAGAGCCCCCACCAGCAGGAATGCTGTCATCAGATGTGGCCCCTCGACCTTGGACTTCTCAGTCTCCAGAACTGCAGGAAATAAATTCCTTTTATTTATAAATTACCTAGTTTGAGGTATTCTGTTATAAGCAACAGAAGATGGACTAATACAGGGACTAAGACCTCTAGACCAGCAAGGCCCAACGTCGTGGAGTTGGGAAGCAAAACACTGGGTGTGGGTCACCAGGGACTAGTGAGAGGAGCGGCTCCCATTTCCACTCCTTCATTGGGACCTGGGAATCCTGGCTGTGGGAGAAACAGCTGGGTTTATTGGCCACTGATTTAGCACACACGTCACATGCTGGAGGACACTTGCCCCAGCCACTGGTTTAAGAACTAACCATCTTCTGTCTTTCATCCCAGGGTTCTCTGGAAGGAGGGTCTCTCTGCCTCTCCATCTCTGTCTGTCTCTCTCCCTCTCTCTGGATAGGCATCTTGTTTAGTCAGATACTGGGTGAGCCTCCAGGTGCACAGCAGCATCCCCTCATCCTTTGGCTCCACTTTCTAGCCTTGGTTCATCCTCACAGCTGCCCTGTGATGGAGGAAGGGAACAAAACTTATCCTTGTTTTTCCTTTTGTTTTGTTTTGCTTTAATTTGTTTGTTACTTTGTTTCATAAACAAAAGAGTAATCAAACAATAGGTTCACTGACGTGCCCTAGGTCACCGAGCCAGCTGTTGGAGAATCTCATATGTAGAGCCCCTGACCCCTTACTTGGTGGCACCTATCTAGTCAGCAGTGAATTTCTCTGCTTCTGGAAATTTCACTGCCAATAATGACAGTATTCACTGAGGGCCACCTGTGGGTGTCACACTGTGGCAGCTTCTAGTCACATGGCTTTGCACTAACAGGTGTCTCTTCCCCAAGCCTCCCTCAGTCTGGTGAATCTAAGAACTGGAATCTCTTCCCAGCCCTCCTGTCATGTGGTGGGAGGAGCATGGAATTTGGAGCCAGGGCCCCACTGCTTATTGTGGAGGAATTTTTGGGCTATCTTTCCCTTTTCTGAGATGGGATTTTCACCTGTAAAATGGCAGAGATAGTGCTTTCTGCATTAAAGCGTTGTTGGAAAGATGAAGGGATATGGTGATGTGAAAAAGTTTTAAAAGTTTAACTCGTTTGTTATCAGTAAGACTGTTTATCACCAGTGTTAAATGCTTGCATTGTAAGGGACTGAAATATCTTCCTGGCACTGTGTGTGGGTCGCGGAAGGCAGTCAAGGTGGTTAGCAGCCTCCGGAAACTGGCCTCTTTGGAGAGGTGATGGAGAAATTGTATAGAACCAATGGGCTCCAAGTTTACCTGTGCTGCCAACAATGTTGGGAAAGGGGGAGGAGAACATTTATTGAATACCTACAGTATACTAGGCCCTTTCTGCAGTTTCTGACTCCTCTCATAACACCCCTCTTCAGACAGTCCCTCAACAAAACACTGTTTTGTTGAGCACCTACTCGAGGTAGGGTTCAGCGCTATAAATCACAGAAGCTGGTAACAAAATGACAAGCACCACAGACACCCTCCCAAACTCCACGTAGCATGTCCTGAGGAAGGCAGACTCGCCCCAGAGTGTGGCTGACTCTCATTATGGCCTTGGCCTCCCTCACTGCCCTGCAGAGGCCTTTGATGACCACCCATTGTGAGGGCACCTCAACCTTTCCTCTCTCCTCTTCATGCTCCAGGACCGTTCCTTCTCTTGCCCATTACATTCCTCTATAGCATTTGTCACTATCTGAAATTGTCCATTTATTTGTTTAACGTGTTAAACACATTGTCTCTCCCAGCTCTCGGGAATAGAAAACTCCTTGAAGGTAGAGATATTTTGTGTCCAATTCAATGACATATCCCTCAGGCCTGGAACAGTGCTTGGTGGGTAATAGGTGCTCAAAAGCTAGTTTTTAAATGAATGAATGGAAGAAGGAGGGAAGTCATGCTCCTTGCTTTCACAGAAAGTCTGCTGTGTCCCATGTGGAAGTACTCACACTCCCCCACCCCATCAGTGGAGGGGACAGACGAGTGAATTGTCCATCCCAATACTTTGGGGTGAATGCGGGAGGTGGCATGCACAGGTGATGTGGGAGCACAGTATTGGCATGGTGGTGGCAGCGTGAGTGTTGGGCAGGCTGGTGCAGGAGCAGCTTCCTGGAGGAGGGGACTATGCCCAATTGTAAAGGAGGAGGTGTGTTTGTTTCCTAGGGCTGCTATAACTAAGTACCACAACTGAATGGCTTAAAACAAGAGAAATGTATTCGCTCATAGTTCTGTAGACCAGAAGTCTGAAATCAAGGTGTTGGGAGGGTCCGTGCCCCCTCTGAGCTTCTCGGTAGAATCATTCCTTGAGTCTTCCAAGCATCTGGTGGTGACTGTCCATCTCTGCTGTCCCTTGACTTGCAGCTGCCTCACTCCAGTGTCTTCTTCTGCAGCCTCATTCCTGTGTGTCTCTCTTTATATAGAGGTTTCCTGTTCTTTTAAGGATACGGTCATATTGGATTAGATCCCACCCTAATGACCTCATCTTAACTTGATCACTCCTGCAAAGACTCTATACAAGGTCATGTGTATAGGTGCTAGAGGTTAGGACTTCATATTTTTTTGGGGGATACAATAAAACTCATAACAGATGGTGAGCTTGGCTAGGAGAGGATGTGGAAAAGCCATCCAGGCCAGCCAAGAGACAGGAAGACCTGTCAGGAAGCCATTGCTGAAACCCAGGTAAGAAGTGAAGACATCTACCTTAACTAAAGCACCGAGGGTGGGGACTTGGAGGCAGGTGAAGTAGGTGTAATTATGTTGATTTACAGGTGAGGAAACTGAGTCATGGTGAAGATATGTTACCCTGTCTAAGGTCCCATAGGTACAGGTGTGAGCTCAGATTAGTATCACTTGATCACTTTTCCAAAGATGAGCCAAGTAATGGTAAATGACCCCTTGTCTGAGGTCTCACCACTAGTAATGAGATAGAGACAGAGCTGAAAGTGCTGGTCTTCTGCCTCCAGGTCCAACGCAACTTAATCACTGTGAAGTCTTATCTCTACCTCAAACTGGGGATTATACCACCATTGCTTTAACAGAGACACTTCTTTTCCTTGGGCCAGCACTATGTGCTTGTATTACATTGGTCCAGAGTCCAACTGAGGGACATGAAAACGCCTCACCATTCCCAAACCCCTTTCTTCATGGCCTGCCATGGTGCTCACTATCACAGCCAATGCAATCAGTGGGCCTTAGGTGGGCTGCTGATTTGGGAAATCCTTCCGAATGCTGGTTGCCTGGAAGGCAGGGAGTTCACTCTTGCCAGAGCAGGAGCACAGTAGGAGCCTGTCCCATGGCTCACCCACGCCTGAGGATGCAACTGAGTAGTCGTGGAGCAAAGTGCAGCTTGGAGGACAGAAGACTCAACATCTGAGTGTGCCGTGGTCTGGACTTTTTAGAGCCTCAGAATCTTTATTCAAAAAATGTGGGTCCTATTGTCTATTTCCCATGGTTGGGGATTAAATTAAACATTTATGCAACAGTGCTGGGCCCAGCGCTTGGGCCATAGTAGAAACTTACACAATAAATGTTGGGTTCCTCCCTTTATACATCTTGGAACCACTTAAGCCTGTGTGTTTGCATCAGACTTGTGTTTTAATTTGAGTTTTGTGGGCAGCTGAGCTGGGTGTGACTATGAACAAATGACTTTGCTCTCTGAGCCTTAGTTTCCCTCATATATGAAGCAGTTAGAGAAAGGTGGTTAAAAACAAAAGATCTGGAGCCAGAGGGCCTGGATTCAGATCATGATTTCTCTGCTCACTAGCTATATGACTGGGAACGTTCCATAGATTTTCTGTGCCTTGGTTTCCCCATCTGTAAAGTGGGGATTATCATAGCACCTACCTCATAAGAGATTTTGAAATTAAATGAGATAATGTACATAAAGCACTTAGCATAATGTTTGACACACAATGAGCATTTAATAAATGTTAGAATGTTATTATTAATTGTGAAATATGAGTAACAGTACCATTTGTAGGACTGTTGTGGTATTAAATTAGAAATATTCATACACCCTAACACACTTAGTATACTGCCTGGGGTACGATAGGTCGCCCTTACTCTCTACCCTAAGCTGCCTCCCTAGTGAATGCTTTTTTTCTTCTTTTTCTTTTTCCACTTCCCTGTCAGTTTTGATGAGGATATAGGCTGGGCTGGTGACTCTGGGAGCAGGAATGTGCATGTTGAGCTCAGTCACGGGTGACAGGATCAGAAGTCTTTGGTTTGCCTCTTGGGGAGAGGTGGATTACGACTCCCCAGGGGTCAGCCCAGGCTTTAGCCTGCAGTCACTTCCTGACAGGGAGCTACTCTCCCCCAACTTGGTCTCAGGGCAAAAGGCAAAATGGAAAATGCAAGAATGGAAAGGAAACAGGAGCCACAGGGAAGCTGCTGGGAGATGGCTGGGCCACACGTTTTTGTCATAGGCCAGCCTTGGAGAACTCCTGTGCTGGGTGATCTTAATTATAACCTTACATGATCATGAGTAAGAATTGAACAGAGCTCTCCCTGTCTGAACTCTTTGCTGTGCGCCCCTTCCTTATCCTAAGAGAAAAACAAGAACAAGAGAACGGAAACTAACCAAGCCCTAAAGGACCTCTCTTCACACACATTTCTGTCAAAATGGACAGTAGACTGAAAAGTATGTTTCTCTACCAGGTGATTCCAGGACCTGATGGTGAAGCCTCAGCATCAGAAAGGACCTTAATCATAATACAGGACATGCTTTCAGATGGGACTTACACCCACTGAGGTATTGCAGCCATTGAGGAGGGGGTGTCTTTGAAGGTGCAAAAATAAATATGGAGCATTCAATTTAGTTAAAAATTTGGGACAAAACTTTCAGCTTTTTCTTTCTCATGCACTGTTTTTTCCTTTTATGCTTTAGTTTGGGTGACTTATATTGATCTGCTTTTGAATTTCTGATTCTGTAGCCATAGGTAACTGATTTGGTAGCTATTTTAGATAAAAAAAAGAGACTGCCAAGCGGGAGGCAGTGTCCTTATGAGATGACAAAAATGAAGGGGTCAGATGACAAACATGAACATGCAGTGAAGTCACTCTTTGCCAGAAATAATGGACAATTAGCACCCAGTTTCGTTGGCCAGTCCAAAATTTACAATGAGAGGTCTGTGAAAACATACTGATTTGCAAAATGGTGGATGCTGAGGTGAATGGTGAAAAAACTTTCAACAGTTCTCTCATTTTCCACATCTGGACAATCAGAGTAATAAAGTCTTCTCTGCCACATTGTGAGGGTTTTTGAGAAGGACAAATCATAACCAACAATTTTTTATGTATGTGCTAGGCACTGTTCAAGGCACCGAGTTCTCAGCATATTAGTTGGGGCCCAGTTTTCTTATAGTCACAGAGGACAAGTAAAATAATCATCTAAAAAAATCAGAAGTTACTAAAAATCATTTGTACTTTTGTATACATTTTCTTAAGGGACTTCTATTATGCAGGGCACCAAGCCCAGAGTAAATGACATTCACCAAAATCTAGAACCATAGATTTTATCTTGGTGGAGTGTTCTGTAATTGCCAGTTAGATCTTTTTGATGGTTGGTGATGTTGAACTCAGTATCCTTGATGATTTTCTGTCTAGTAGTTGTATCAATTGCTGAGAAAAGGGTAGTGAAGTCCATCAGGAGTTGTGTGTTTGTCTATTTCTCCTTTCAGTTCTATCAGTTTTTGCCTTATATATTTTCATGCACTGTTGCTTGGTGTATACACATTTAAGATTGCTACGTCTTCTTCGTGGACTGACCCTTTAATTATGTTACATTCCTCTTTGTCTCTGGTAATTTGATTTGCTCCAAAGCCTACTTTATTTTGTAGTAATATTGTCACTCTTACTCTCCTCTGATTAATTTTTGCATGGTATATTTTCGTATCATTTTACTTTTAATATATCTGTATAATTATATTTGAAGTGAGTTCCTTGCATGTAGTTTATAGTCGAGTCACACTTTTTTATCCACTGTGCCAAGCTCTGACTTTTAATTAGTGTATTCAGATCACTTATATTTAATACAGTTATTGATATATTAAGGCTGATATATGACATTTTATTATTTGTTTTTGTTTATTGCTTCTGTTTTCCATTGTTCTATTTCCCCTTTCCTGCATTTCTGTGGATTGCATGAACATTTTTTTCAAGCCAGTCAAATTTAGCAGTGGGGTGTTGTATACCAACTTCAATGACACTAATGTTAATAAGTTCTGATAGCCCACTACCATCAAACCAGCCTACTTGAACATTTTAATAGTGTTTTTGAATATATGTTTTTGCATAGTTTTTTAATAATGGTGGTTGCTCTAGGTATTACATATACATATGTAACATTATAGTCTACTGGTGAAACATTTTATCACTTAATGTGAAATGTGAAAATATTACCTCCATTGAGCTTCCATACCCTCCTCCACTTATAATTGTCTTATGTATTTCCTCTACATTGAGAAATACATCATACAGTGTTTCAATTTTAATTCAACCATCAAACATAATTTAGAAAGCTCAAGAGGAGAAGAAACATCTATTGTATTTACCTACATTTTAACTTTTTCCCTATTATTCTTTCTTCTTTCTTGATGTTCTAAGATTTCTTCTTTCATCCTCTCCTTTCTGCTTAGAGAACTTCCTATAGCTTTTCTCATAGAGTAGGTCTTTTGGTGACAAATTCTCTTAGTTTTTGTCCATCTGACAATGCCTTGATTTTTGTTCCATTCCTTGAGGATATTTTTGCTGGCCATAGACTTCCGAGTTAGCAGTTCTTATCTTCTAGCATTTGAAAAATGTTGTGCCACTTCCTTCTGGCTTCTATGATTTTGAATGAGAAAATCTGCTGTAATTCAATTTTTTTCCCTTCTAGCAAGGTGTCATTTCTCTCTTATTGCTTTCAAGATCTTTTTTTTGTCATGAGTTTTCATAAGTTTCACTATAATGTGTTTTGGTATGTATTTTGTTGGGTTTTCCTGTTTGGGGTTTACTCCATTTAATTTAAAATTTTAGGACAATTTCAGCCATAATTTCTTAGAATATTTTTCAGTTCCACACTTTCTTTTTTCCTTCTAAGACTCCAATGACAGAAATGTTAGATCTTTTGTTATTTTCCCACAGATTCCTGAGGCAATGTTCTTTTTTAGTCTATTTTCTCACTGTTATTCAGATTGGGGAATTTATTTTGATTTATCTTCAGGTTTACTGATTCTTTCCTGTCACTGCCATTCTGCTATTGAATTCATCTATTGAGTTTTTCTTTCAGTTATTTTTTTTCGGTTCTAAAATATTCATTTTGTTCTTCTTCATATCTTCTATTTCCTTGCTGGGGCATTCCAGTTTTTCATTTGCTTCAGGTGTGTTTGTAATTGCTTGTTGGAGCATTTTTATGATACCTGTATTTGAAATCCTAGTTAGATGATTCCAATGTCTGTGTCATCTCCATGTTGGTGATTTTTCTTGCCTTTTCTCATTTAAATTGATGTATTTCTGGTTCTTGGTATAAGAGGTGTTTTTCTATTGTATCCTAGACATGCTGGATTTTATGAAACTCTGGCAATTATTTAAGCACTCTATTCTAGCAGGCCTCTGCTGACACTGAACCAGCAGGGTAAAGCAGGATGCCACTTAATTACCACAAAATAATGCAGAAGTCCAGGTTTCCTACTCAGCCTTTGCTGACACCATGAGTAGAAGAGGAACCTTGTTACCACTGGGCAGGAACCAAAGCCTAGGCTCCTTATTTGACTTCTGCAATTGGCAGATGCCTCATTTTTCCCATGGTGTTTGGATGGAGTAGAGTGAATAACTTCAAAAATGTTTTTTATCTGCTGGGCTGCCCCTTTTCTTATCCTTTGCCTAAAGAGAACAGTATTTTCTTGAGCATTATTTTGTCTACACCTTTTTGCATTTCTAGGTTGTAAAAGTCATAATATACGAAAGATGAAGGAATAAAAAAAATCCAGGAACTTGCCACCATGTCATTCCTCAAGCCTTGAGGCTCCTAGTCAGTTCTTTTTTCCACCTTTCAGAGTCTTCTTATATTTGTCCTTTCAATTATGTCCAGAGTTTTTAGCTGTACTTGGAGGAATAGAAAGAAGTGTGTCTATTAGATCTTGTCTGGAACCAGACATCGCTATTCAATAATATTAAAGAATTATTATTAGTTTTTTTAGGTGTAATAATAAAATTATATTTTTAAAGATAGTCGTTTTAGAGATACATACTGAAATATTTACATACAATATAATATAATATATTGTATGTATATAATATGATGTCTGGGATTTACTTCAGTGGAGGCAGAGGCTGGTGGGGATATAGATTGAATAAGAGTGTTCAGAAGTTGGTAATTATGGAAGCTGAGTAATTGTTCAAACTGGAGATCCTTTATTCTACACCAGCTTAATTCAATACAAATATATGAGCCATGTATGTAATTTAAAAATTTTCTAGTATTCATATTAAAAAAGAAATAAAAGATAATTAATTATAATATTTTAAACCAAACATATCCAAAATAATTACTATAAAAATTACTAATGAGATATTTTACATTCTCTTTTATACTCTATTTGAAATTGATGGATGTTTTACACTTACGGCACATCTCAATTTGAACTAGTCATATTTCAAATGCTCAATAACCATATGTGGCTAGTGGTTACTGAATTAGACAACACAGTTTTATATTTTCTTCTGTTGTTAGTATTTGGAACTTTAAATAATAAAAGTTTATTTTTAAAACCAGGTCTGAATTCAAATTCTATGCTCTTAACATCTGGCCTCTCCCATTTATGCTCCTTGCTGTGTGATTTTGGACTCCCTCAGTCACTGCCCAGTAAAGTCTGACTCATGAGGATCTTGGAAGAAGCAAAAACCCTGCCATCCCTCCTCTAAGTTCTCTGCTGCAGCCTCTTGCCTGGCCCGTTGTCCACCTCTACCCTCTGCTGTGTTTTTGAAGGTGGATAGAGTCCATGTACTGCCTCCCCTGCAGCACCTTATATGGTACTCAGCACATAGTTCATGTTCCATATATATTTGCCAAATAAATGAATGTTAGGAAGGAAACAAAAGCTGCATCTTGTAAAGTGAGCAATGGTAGAAGGACATTAAGCATATCTGGAATACATTAGGCATTTTCATACATAATGTCTTGTTGAATTCTTGCTAAAAATATGTGACTTAGGTATTAACATCACCACCCTACGAATGAGGAAATATCACAGTGTGGCTCTTAACCTGTCATTATGTGTTAAAGCCAGACTTCGAATCCACTTCTGCCTGATACCAAAGCTACATCATACCATCTCCCAGGAATTTGCCCAATAACTAGAATGTAATGCAGGTTGTGATCAGTTTTCTATAGTGATCTGGCCTCTCATGCCCTTACTTTTACCCTGGTTGACTTCTGTCAGTCTGTGGTAACAGAATAATGGGCCCCAAAGATGTCTCTGTGTTAATAATCCCCAGAACCAGTGAACATGTTAGGTTAGATGGCAAAATGGAATTCAGGTTGCAGATGGAATTAAGGTTACTAATTAGATTATCTTAAAATAAGGAGATTATCCTGGATTATCCAAATGGACCCACTCTAATCACAAAAGTCCTTGAAAGTGGAAGAGAAAATTGGAAGGGAGAACCAAAGAGATGATAGCGGGAGAAGGACTCAGCCTCGAGTTGCCAAAGGAAGCCAAAGAGTGTGGGCAGCCTCTAGAAATAGGAAACATCCAGGAAACGGATTCTCCGCTAGAGCTTCCATAAGGAGCAGCCTTGCTGACACCTTGGGTTTAGCCTAGTGAGGCTCATTTCAAACATCTGATCTCCAGAATTATATAATAATATGTTTTTATCATTTAAGCCACTAAATTTGTAATAATTTCTTAGAGCAGCAACAGGGAACTAACATGCAGCCCTGGCCCTGGCCTAGCCCCAGTCAATGTTCAGAATGAGCTGCTGTTTCCCTCTGTTGCCCTGCCTTTCTTTCAAACCATGATAGCCGGCTGGGCACTGGGTGACGGGTAGCAGGGGTCTCATTATCTCTGGTACGATCAGGTTCCTTTCTGGTGCCTTTTGCCCAAAGCTCTTGGGGTTGCTGAGGTGTCATTGGCCCCCTTCAGTGGTCTTTGTTTGGTGAGTTCTGCCTGTTGCCCGAACTTTCTGGGCAACATTTACTCTGTTTTCCAGTGGGTAGATCTATCCTAGCCTGCCCTTGCCAATGTTCTGATGGAATTTCTACAATAACTTGGCATGAATATCACACCTATATTTACTTAATGTGTCCCAGAGCTGAGCTGTCTCCTTTTGGGGCAGAAGCATTCTCTTCCCTGCAGAGCTATATAGAGTAGGAGAAAGGCCTGGCATCCACTCTCAGAAGGCCTGAGCCCATGGCCTGGATTGGCATGGCCAGCCACCAATCCAGTCTGCTTCCTTGGGTGTAAAATGAGATTATAATAATGATACCCATCTCACAGGGTTAACAGTTCAATTTAGCTCACAAATCTTTGGAATTAATATAATAATTACTAGTAGTTATTGAGTTTGTCCTTTGAATATGCTAAGTATTTTGTGTGTTGTTTAATTTAATCGTCAAAACAAGTAGGTTTTATAGTTGAAGAAACAAAAGAAGAAATGTTATTATGCATACACATCCTCTATCTTTGTCCTTCTGATGATATTTGTTTCAATTAAAAAACAATGGAAAGAATCGATCTTTATGTAATTAATTTACAGTGACAATTACTGTTAGAATTGACCTGTACAAATAATAACCAAGAAAGAAATTTGATACCAGCTAAAATGGTGCACAGTGAAATGTGGCAGAGAGAAAAACTGAAGAGTCATATCTTGTGGGAAACATCAAAGCTGTAAAAATTTGATCTAAGAAAAATTGGGCTGTGTAAAAATATTCAGTGTCTAATTAAACTGTCAACAGCTAAAGCTGTATGTGGTAAAATTTGTTATGGATTAAAAATTGACAGAATAATTAAATTTTCTCAGCAAAATTGAGAATTACAGGATCTCACTAGGAAAATTAGATTTGGCAGACATAAAACCACAAAATAAAAATCACAATGTTAGAAGATAGGATAAGTATTATTGAATTTGACAAAAAATAAAACCCCCTTTGATAACTGAATCTTTCATTAAGTTTTACAGCAAAAAGAGAAGAAAACACAATCCTGATAAAAAAATTTTCCATAAAATAAACATGAAAATGGGAGAGGGAGGTATATAACTGTGCCATATAAAAAATCAATCTAGAAATTATATTGGCTTGATGAGATTTGATCCCAAAAATATTCTGTTGGTGAAAATGTTTTAATATTAGTATAATTCTATTTTTAAAATTTTCTGTTTATAAACCCAGAGTTCAAATAGTTTCAGGTCAGTATAATGTTGTATCGTCTAGATTCAGTGCAGAAAAAGAAAAACAACACTTTAGATATTTCAAAAAGAGAGTGTATTGCAGGGAATGAGGTACTTAGAGTAAAGGGGTGGAGTCAGGGGCCACCACTAGACTCGTGGTCAGGCTCCCTGGGAAGTTGCAATCCAGAGGTCAGAAGGCTGCAGGAACCTGCTGCTGCTAGCACAGATGACAGGCAGAGCACGGGAAATATCGCTGGCCACCATAAAACTCCCATCTGCTAAAGCTGCCAAATCTCTTGCAAATTTGGCCATTGGCAGAACCTTGGCCTTGATGGCAAGGGAGTTGGGGAAATGTAGCTCTCAGCCTTCTAGCCTCTGCAGTACACTGGAGTGTATAGAAGTGGGTAGGAACAAACGCAGGCCCCCTTTAAACAATATCCAGCACAGAAGGATGAAAATGTCTTGGGTCCAGATAAAGAGTCTCTGCGACGTTAACATGACCAAGGTCTCTCTTGGAGGCATTGGGTTTGTGGGGATTGGTGAAGAGAGTGTCTGTCCTCTCAGAGCTCACAGTGGATGGAGGAAGACAGATACAGAGAGTCTCTTATAAAACATGGCAACATTTGCAAAAACGATTAGCTTAGAGTAAAACAATGAGAATGGAGCAATTCACACTTCTTGGAACAGATGGAGTCAAGGAAAAGCTGGAAACATCAACAGTCTTTAGCTGGCTGTTGAAAAGTGGCTGCATTCACATGGTGGGGAGAACTGGGGCTTGCCAAGAAGAGGCAACAGCCAGAGCAAAGGTTGGCAGTGTCTTCGGCACTGGACACACCGTGTCCACCATGTCCAACTCACCAACATAGGACTTGGTGAGGAGGGCTGCGCTCAGTAACCAGGTTAGAGAGACCACTGTGAACCAGCTTCCCCGAGGGCATGGCTTTACAGGGCCGACTTCAATCCTTTCCTTCCCTGCACAAATTCAGGCCTTTATTGTAGTTAATCCACCTCCCAATACCATTTTCTGCTTTTTTGGCTCCAATTTCCTAAACCTCCAATGAGTAAGTGCTTTTTATAATCTTCTAGATCTTTCAAATCTCTCTCTCCAGTTAGCAGTTCCTGGGGCATGGCTGCTCCAGCTGTTGCAGCACTGAGAGATGGGCTGGATTTTTCCAAGCATAACTAGATTGTCACAGCTCCCTGACCCTGGCCCAACATCCCCACTGATTCCATGGGACCAGATGTTAACTACCTTGAAGAAAAACTGGCTGACTTGAAACTGAAAAATGAAAGTAAAACAAATCATTAAAAGGAATGGCTGCAGAGAACAGAACAGAGCTTACTAAGGCCATTCACATTTGACAACTCTGAAATGGGTACAATCATGCCCATTTTACAGATGAGACAACTGAGTCCTACCTAGGCAGAAAGTGGTACAGTTCACCACTTAAATGATAAATTTAAGACCTCTGCTTCTGAGTCTAGTGCTGTTCCAACTGAGCCAGATGACAAACCTCTCATTTGATGGTCCTTGTCACCTGTCTTCTTTGATGTTCAACCTTGGAAGAATGTACTATAGTTAATGTCTAAATAGAGACAGTTTTGATGGTGACCAGTGGCAAACCAGATGAGGTATCAGTACAAAAGATGCGAGCCTAACTATCCTAGTCAAACTGAGATGTACGTGTACTGGGCTGCATCCTATTATATTGGGTAGAATTTGACATGCAGAAGGAAAAAAGATGCATGCACATCATCTATCTAGAAAAACAAGAGTGTGGGCAGATTTGTCCTAGACACAGTTCAGGACATGGGTTAGTTCTAGGCATCTCTGGGAAGGGCCCACTACATCCCATCCTGCTTCCAGTGAATGCTTCAAGATCATCCATGGAAGGCCTTTACCTGGGTACCTAGCTTCTCTGCCAGGCAGCTCGCTCCCCACACAAATCTATTCTTCTCCTTGCTGTAATCTCCATTAATATTCTGGTCTGAACTGCGTCCTGTAAGGAGGTAGCAGGAAGCTCTGCCTGGATTAGCCAGGCAGAGTGAGACTCTCAGGGGACAAAAGACATCCAAATCTTGCAGGTGTGGGCTGAATCCCAAGTCTGCTTGGCAGAAAGAAAGCTCCAGAGGTTTCCAGGGATATGCACGTTCTCTCTCTCTCTCTCACACACACACACACACACACACACACACACACACTCAAGCATAAGATCTTTCCTTATGGTTTGAAAAGTCAGATTCATGAGGTATGATGGAGTATATCAAACTTCACTGAAATACACTTGCAGGTTCCTACCTCAGCCATGTGTAACCTGAGCTGGCTGGATGATATGCCCACTAAAAACCTAGGTTAGGCTCCTGCTTTTGAAGCTTACAGCTCTGTGAACTTGAGTCACTTTGGTTCTCTGAGATTCAGCTTCACCATCTGTAAAATAAAAATAATATTTAGTTCATTGAGTTGTTGAAGGATTGACTGGCACACTTATGGGAATACATGGTATGATGGTTAATACTGAGTGTCAACTTGATTGGATTGAAGGATGCAAAGTATTGATCCTGGGTATATCTGTGAGGGTGTTGCCAAAGGAGATTAACATTTGAGTCAGTGGGCTGGGAGACGCAGACTCACCCTTAATCTGGGTGGGCACCATCTAATCAGCTGCCAGCAAATATAAAGCAGGCAGAAAAAAGTGAAAAGACTAGACTGGCCTAGCCTCCCAGCCTACATCTTTCTCCTGTCCTGGAAGCTTCCTGCCCTTGAACATTGGACTCCAAGTTCTTCAGTTTTGGGATTCAGACTGGCTTTTTTTTTTTTTTTTTTTTTTTGCTCCTTAGCTTGCAGACGGCCTATTGTGAGACCTTGAAATCCTGTGAGATAATACTTAATACACTTCCCTTTAAATATGTATCTATCCTATTAGTTCTGTCCCTCCAGAGAATCCTGAGTAATACACATGGTAAATTCTAGTATTAATTCAAGTGTATGGTGTGACAGTGATAACAAAGAGAATAATGTTAGAAGATGATGACATTGGTGAGGATGATGTTGATAAAGATGATGAGGAGGAGGATGTTGGTGCTGCTGAGGAGGTTGATGCTGCTGCAGTTGTTAGTTATGATGACAAAGAAGAAAATGAGGATGAGGAGGAATGTGATATGAATGCTAAGAGTTTGGCAACCACTTGAACGTTGTCTTCAGCACTGACAGAGGCACAGAGTAGGCGTAATCTCCTAGCTCCAGATCAGCATAAGGGTGGAAAAAAACCTATGTTTCTTGAGCACCTGCCATGATCCAGGGATGCTGACAGCGTCCACAGCCTTACCCTTCTTCCCCTTTGCAGCAACTCCACAGTGTCTCCACATTAGTTTAAGCAAGGCAAGGTAATTTGCCCAAAGTCATATAGGCTAAGAAAAAAAACAAACAAACAAACCCAGAAACAAAGCATTTTATAAAATAAGAATTGTATAAATTTTTAATCTTTATATTCATCATTTTCTATATAAGGAAGACTATTTACAAGCCAACAGAATGAGCGTCCTCAAGGGGAGTGAGGCAAACATCACTGGAATATCCAGAAGTGATATAAATAACTGCCTATGAGTTATCACCTGGCACATTGAACCAGATGACCTCCTGAGCCTGTTAGCTGTATGATTTCAGGACACATATATGCTACTTACGCCCTGTACCCCCAGGAATGGCAAATCTCTTCATCTCTTTGGCAATATACAATGGTGGTTAAGATCAGAGACTGAAGTCATGCCAACCTGACTGCAGGTCCCAGCTCTACATTTTATAAACAGGCAAGGGAAGGCCCAGAGAGGGTAAGGGACTTGCCTGAGAATGCACAGTGAGTTGGGCAGCAACACCAGGTGCAGGACCCAGGTGTCCTGATTCATCAATATTCTTCCCTGGGAGACCAAGCCCTTGTTTGTGGATGCCAATCCGTGCCATCCACAATGTCTCTCAGGTGCCAAGTCTGTTCCACATTTGCCCAGTTTGTGAGCCGTTGATCTCATCTGCTTCTAACAGCTCATCCTAGGCCTGGCACCTTCTTCAGAAGTAAGCAGGGTTCTAACTGACCATGGTGCTGGTCTGAAGGCAGAAAGTAGTCTGTGTGTTGCCATGACCATGATGGCAACTGGTCTGCCTAAGTGATTTATTGACTTTTCAAGCACAGCTTGGTGAAGCAGGCAGGGTAGGCATATTTATCTTGTGTTTACAGATGAAGTAACTGAGGTTCAGTGGGGTGAGGCACTAGTCACCACCCTCTGTGGGCCTCGGTTTCTTCACCTGGCCATAAGGTCTTTTCCAATTCTTATAGCCTATGCCTCTATAATTTGTCCAAGGGCACACAACTAATAAAAAGCAAAGTCAAAACTATGAGGTCTTGGGGCTGCTATACTAATGATCTTTTTAATACTAATTACATTAGTTTTCTAGGGCTGCTGTACGTACCACAGACTTGGTGACTTAAAACAAGAGAAACTTATTCTCTCACAGGCTGGAGGCCAGAAGTCTGAAATCAAGGTGTCGGCAGGGCCACGCTCCCTCCGAAACCTCTAGAGGAGAGTTCTTCCTTGCCTCTTCCAGCTTCTGATGGCCCCAGGAGTTCCTTGGCTGCGGCAGTGCAACTCCAGTTTCTGTCTCCATCTTCACGTGGCTGTCTCCCCTCTGTGTCTGTGTCTTCACACGGTGTTTTCCTCTCTGTCTGAATTTCTGTCTTCTTATAAGGACACCAGTCATATTGGTTTAGGGCCCACCCTAATGACCTCAGCTTAACTTGGTTACATCTGCAAAGACCCTACTTCCAAGTAAAATGACAGTCACAGGTCCTGGGGGTTAGGGCTTCAATGTATCATTTTTGGGGATGCAATTCAACCTATAACCTTAATCATACTTAACCTTTAAACAAAAGATTTTCCTGGATGCCAGGCTCTTTTGCATGGGTAATCTCATTTAACAGGTACGTGAAGTGAGCTCTATTATTATCTTCCTTTTATATGGGAAGAGGCTGAAGAGAGCAGCTGGGTAACTTGCTCAAGGTCAAACAGACGCTAACACCACCTCAGCTGACTGCTGAGGCTGCACCCTTAGCCAACCGGCAGCGCTGCCTCTGCTGTGGCCCCTGAGCCTGCGGTTTCACGTGGGGGTGGCTGTGAAGAAGGCTGTGTCTGTGTGGTGAGGAGGACCAAGCACGGCTGGTCTGGTAGTGTTGTTTTGTCAGCTGAAACGCCAACACACAGTGAGTAGATATTGAGTCTGGCGTCCTCCCTGCAACTCTCCAAGTGGCTGTGGTTTCCCACAGCAGCCCGCGGCCCAGGGTGAAGTCATGGGGAGAAAGTGGGCACGATGAGAGTCCCAGGGAGACAGGAACACTGGGAATTTCACCTCGACATTGAGCTTGGGTGGAGAAGGAGTGCAAAAGGCAGGGACCAGCTCACAAGAAGGGCCCAGTGTGGGTGGTTAGAGGCAATGTGGGTATAAGCAGGGCCTGTGGATTCAGGCAGCCCTAGGATGGGGTCCCTGATCCATTGTCTATTATCTGTGTGACCTCAGAGAAGTTGCCTAAATTCTCTGAGCCTCAGTTTCCCTCAGCTATCCTCACTTCACGGTGCTGTTGTGAAGACTCAGAAAAAACCTAAGGCCAGTGTTTCACCCAGAGGAAGGGCAGCCAACACCCACAAATGGCTGGTGTGGCTGACTTGAGGAGGGCCAAGGAGTAGGAAAGAAAATGGAATATTGGTGACTTCAAGGAATTTATAGGCAAAAGGTTACACAAGAAAGTGGCCTTAGTGTATTTATAACAAAAGCAGATTGGATTAAGGCGAAGACTTGGAGCTGGCAGAGAGTAAACAGAGAGCTTTCATGGAGAAACGGAGTCCTGAGAAGGATTGTGAAGAAGAGCAGGAAGGACTGGAACAGATGAGGCCCACAAAGGCCCAAAACCCTGAGGGCCCTGAGCCCTCCACCAGCAGCAGCAGGTCCTGGGGAAGCTCATTCCCCTCTGGGGATTGCACTAGACATCTTCTGAGATGGCCAAGCTCCTCCTTCCCTCTTCCTTCTCCACAAATCACAGCGTACCCCATGCCCAACACACACACACACACACACACACACACACACACACACACATCATTTTTTGTTTGAAGAATCACCAAACCTGGGTTTTCCCTGGGAAGGGCCTGTCAGTCAAGAAGTGTGTTACCCAGAGCTAATGAGTAACTCAAGAGAGATCAAAAGATAGAAGTGATGCCTTTTATTAAGCTCACAGATTTATTATAAGTGAGCCGGCAGGACCACACAGGTCTCCCATCCCAGTGCAGGAAAACTGAGTGTGTGTGTGTGGTCTGGAGCAGTCGAAAGGCAGCGAGACGGCGGGTGTGAGCCTAATAAAGGCTATAATTGGCACCTCTTTTCCAGCAAAACCCACCGGCCACCTTCTCCCCACTGCTAGGCTCTCTCCTTGCAGGGAGGAGTGTAGAAGGGGAGGCTCCGCCCAGAGGAGGAGCCCAGGAGTGGGCAGGGGATGGTCATCCAGGTACAGCCTCCAACCCCAGCCCTCCAGCTGAAGCCCCAGTGGCTCCGAGTGTAAGTCAGCAGGGGAGAGGGCACTTCTTCCTGCGAGACTATCCGATGGGGTGGTCAGGAGGTGTGTTTTTGCAGACATCCAGGCTGGTCACAGGCATCCAGTGACATGCACCTTTCTCAGCACAGAGGACCAGGGAGACTGAGTCATTTCCATAAACTGGTGTCGGGTTCATATCAGTGTTAATATTTTATTATAATAAATATTGTAAACACTTGTTGCAGTAGCAACAAAAATATTTTAAAAAGCTAGAACTGTGAGCTTCAATTCCTGCAATCCCCAAATTCCAAAAGAAAGACTGTGGTGGTGTGTGTCTGTGTGTGAGACCCTCTCTCTGCGGAACATTGGTGGACAAGCAGCTGGCATTGCTCTGGGACTTTTACAAGATGAGCTCAGCATTTGCTGGACATCTATTCTGCTTTGGCCAAAACATGACGGTGGACTTCCATCTCTGAGGATGACTCCTACAAAGCCAGCCATATAAAATGAGGCTCTTTCTTTATAAAACATGGGTGTCCTTGGCCAGTTCAAACACCTTAAGGCCTCAGTTTTTAATCTGTATGAGAAGTTAGAGCCACCCTAAACTTGAGGCCTTTTTCAGCTCTGAGACTGAATTTGGGCCTTACAAGCAAGGCTCATGTGTAACTCCAAGGCCCAATTCCTGGTCCCAGTGCCCCTCCACTTTCCATCACAACCACAGCCCCTATTTCCCACAGTCCTTCAAGCCCTCCCCTGCAGCCTCTCACCTCCTCCTATCCTGCCTTGTTTCCAGCCATCTTCCCATCTGCACAGCACCCCCCAACCCACCCGCACACATTATAGCCTGGCTAATTCTGCCCTGGCAAACCCACAAGCCTGATAATTCCCCCCAACATTCCTTGGCAGTCTCCCCCTTCTTCTTGGCAGGGATTTAAGAGCCAAGAGCAGCCATGAGCTCATGTCCTGCTCTGGCTTTGTTACTTCTAGAAAGCCAGCTTCATTTATTAATAGCTATTAATTATTGCTACAAGTAATTGAACCTAAGTTGAACATTCTGAGACTGCCTTAAAAAAATTATCTTCCTTTTATAAGGTTTTGCTTTGAATGCTTTTTAAAACTACTTGCTCTGCTTTAAGATTTTACTCCTATATCAAAAAAAAATTGTGGGATTATGAGAGCTCTCTTCTGTGAACACAATGGTGCTCAAAGTAAGTTTTAACAGATTGACAGGAGATTCGGAGAGTCTCAGATATAGAAGGCATGAAGAACACTAAAATTAACTGGGCACTTCATATTTGTGAGCTCATTAAACATGAGAACGATTGACCACTAGTATTTCGTTTCACCATCAAAGGGACCAAAGCTTCCAGAAGTGAAGTCCTATAGCCAACGGGAGAATTGGGTTTGGGTTGGGTATGGTGGTTCACACCTGTAATCCCAGCCCTTTGGGAGGCCAAGGTGGTAGGACAGTGATATGGTTTGGCTCTGTGTCCCCACCCAAATCTCATCTTGTAGCTCCATTCCCACGTGTTGTGGGAGGGACCCAAAGGGAGATAATTGAATCATGGGGGCAGTTTCCCCCATACTGTTCTCATGGTGGTAACAAATCTCACAAGATCTGATGGTTTTATAAGGGGTTTCCACTTTCCCTTCTCTCTCATTCTCTCTTGCCTTTGCCATGTAAGAAGTGCCTTTTGCCTTCCACCATGATTGTGAGGCCTCCCCAGCCACGTGGAACTGTAGGTCCATTAAACCTATTTTTCTTCCCAGTCTCAGGTATGTCTTTATCAGCAGTGTGAAAATGGACTGATACGGTAAATTGGTACCAGTAGAGTGGGGCACTGTTGAAAAGATACCCGAAAATGTGGAAGCGACTTTGGAATTGGGTAACAGGCAGAGGGTGGAACAGTTTGGATGGCTCAGAACAAGAGAGAAAAATGTAGGAAAGTTTGGAACTTCCTAGAGACTTGTTGAATGGCTTTGACCAAAATGTGGATAATGATATGGACAATGAAATGCAGGCAGAGGTGGTCTCAGATGGAGATGAGAAACTTGTTGGGAACTGGAGTAAAGGTGACTCTTGCTATGTTTTAGCAAAGCGATTGGTAGCATTTTACCCCTGCCCTAGAGATCTGTAGAACTTTGAACTTGAGATAGATGATTTAGGGTATCAGGCAGGAAAAATTTCTAAGAACCAAGCATTCAAGAGGTGACTTGGGTGCTGTTTAAAGCATTCGGTTTTAAAAGGGAAACAGCATAAAAGTTTGGAAAATTTACAGCATGACAATGGGATAGAAAAGAAAAACCCATTTTCTGAGGAGAAATTCAAGCCAGCTGCAGAAATTTGCATAAGTAACAAGCAGCCAAATGTTAATTGCCAAGGCAATGGGGAAAATGTCTCTAGGCCATGTCAGAGACCTTTGAGGCAACCCCTCCCCATCACAGGCCTGGAGGCCTACAAGGAAAAAATGGTTTTGTGGGCTGGGCTCAGGGTCCCCCTGCTGTGTGCAGCCTAGGGACTTGGTGCCCTGCATCCCAGCCACTCCAGCCATGGCTAAAAGGGGCCAAGGTACAGCTTGGACCATGGCTTCAGAGGGTGCAAGTGCCAAACCCATGGCACTGAGCCTTCAGGTACACAGAAGTCAAGAATTGAGGTTTGGAAACTTCTGCCTAAATTTCAGAGCATGTATGGAAATGCCTGGATGTCCAGGCAGAAGTTTACTGTGGGGGTTGGGTGCTCACTGAGAACCTCTGCTATGGCAGTATGGAAGGGAAACGTGGAGTCAGAGCCCCTACACAGAGTCCCCACTGGGGTCCTGCCTAGTGGATCTGTGAGAAGAGGGCCACCATCCTCCAGACCCCAGAATGGTATATCCACTGACAGCTTGCACCGTGCACCTGAAAGAGCTGCAGACACTCAAAGCCAGCCTGTGAAAGCAGCTGGGAGGGAGGCTGTACCCTGCAAAGCCACAGAGGTGGAGCTGTCCAAGATCATGGGAACCAATCTCTTGCATCAGTGTGACTTGGATGTGAGACACGGAGTCAAAGGAGATCATTTTGGAGCTTTAAGGTTTGACTGTCCTGCTGGATTTTGGACTTGCATGGGGCCTGTAGCCCCTTTGTTTTGGCCAATTTATCCCACTTGGAATGGCTATATTTACCCAGAGCCTGTACCCCCATTGTATCTAGGAAGTAACTAACTTGCTTTTGATTTAACAGGCTCATAGGTAGAAGGGACTTGCCTTGTCTCAGATGAGACTTTGGACTGTGAACTTTTGAGTTAATGCTGAAATGAGTTAAGATTTTGGAGAACTATTGGGAAGGCATGATTGGTTTTGAAATGTGAAGACATGAGATTTGGGAGTGGCCAGGGGCAGAATGATATGGTTTGGCTCCGTGTCCCCACCCAAATCTCATCTTGTAGCTCCCGTGGGAGGGACCCGGTGTGAGATAATTGAATCACAGGACTGTTTCCCTCATACTGTTCTTGTGGTAGTGAGTAAGTCTCACAAGATCTGATGGTTTTATAAGGGGTTTCCGCTTTCACTTCTCTCTCATTCTCTTTTGCCACCACCATGTAAGAAGTGCCTTTCACCTTCTGCCAAGATTGTGAGGCTTCCCCAGCCACATGGAACTGTAAGTCCATTAAACCTATTTTTCTTCCCAGTCTCAGATATGTCTTTTTCAGCAGCATAGAAATGGATTAATACAGATGGCTGAGGCCAGGAGTTCAAGACTGAGTAACACAGCAAGGCCCTGTCTCTACAAAAAATTTTTAAAATTAGCTGGGCATGGTGACCTGAGCCTGTAATCCTAGCGACTCTGGAGGCTGAGGCAGGAGGATCACCAGGAGTTTGAGGCTGTAGTGAACTATGATCATGCCACTGGACTCCAGGCTGGGTGGCAGAGTAAAATTCTGTCTCAAAAATAATAAATAAATAAATAAATAAATAAATAAATAAATAAATAAATAAAAGAGCTGGATTTGGACCCAGGTCTGTTTGACTCCAAACATGATGCCCACTGCCTTTATTTACTCAGGCTGAAGTTTCTGGAAATATAGTAAGTTCAAACGCATTAGCACACAATAAGTATGTGCAGTGAGGCCTTTCCTTTATTGCGAGTTACAGTATCTGACATTTGTTTCATCCAAATGAAACAAAGTCATTGAAGTGAGATGAATGAAGATTTTCAGATCTTAGAGAAGCTTATTTAACATTTTGAGGAGGTAAGAAAAATAAAATACAGGCACTATAATTAGCAAGAAATTAGTTTCACTTCACAGTATAGCAATAGAAAGAACATTTGACTGAACCTAACATTTATACAGCTGAATTTTTTTCCATTCTTAAAAATTGTGTTAGGTCGGGCACAGTGGCTCACTCCTGTAATGCCAGCAGTTTGGGAGGCCAAGGTGGATGGATCACCCGAGGTCAGGAGTTCGAGACCAGCCTGGCCAACATGGTGAAACCCCGTCTCTCCTAAAAATACAAAAATTAGCCAGGTGTGGTGGTGTGCGCCTGTACTCCCAGCTACTCAGGAAGCTAAGACAGGAAAATCCCTTGAATCCAGGAAGGCAGAGGCTGCAATGAGCCAAGATTGCACCACTGCACTCCAGCCTGGGTGACAGAGCGAGATTCCATCTCAAAAAAAAATTATATACACACTAGAGTTGAATTTTAAAAGCCACTTTTTCTTGACAGGTCTTACCACCTCCATGTTTCTGTTTCTCCACCTATCCACCTATCCTGTTTCTTAAGGATCTTACTCTGTAGAAAGTTCTGGCTTTTCCTTAATCCTTCTGCTATGAAAATGGAATGTGTGGTTAAGGACCAATTTCTTGAATGCTAACACAAATGTAAGTATTTGTGAGAAGATAGGCAAGGTAAGCTAAGAGGGAATGTAAGAATACTTGTTACAGGATAAAGTTTAAATATTATGGGGTGAAAGGTGGGGTAGGGGAGAGAAGGCAGGAAGGGGGAAGGGAGTCTTAGAAGCTCCTTTTGATGGTTTTCACTCCTCTCCTTACTTTAGGTCAGGAGTCAGCAAACTTTAGCCCATGGGCCAAATCTGCCCCACCACCTGTTTTTGTATAGTGTGTGAACCAAGAATGCTTTGTGCATTTTTTAATAGTTGAAAAAATCAAAAGAAGACTTTGTGACACATGAAAATTATACAAAATTCAAATTTCAATATTCCTCAATACAGTGTTATTGAAACACGGCTACGTTCATCTGTTTGCGTATTGTCTGTCTGCTTTTGCTGCAGCAGAGTTAGTTCGTTGTGATGGAGATTGATATGGTTTGGATTTGTGTCCCCGCCCAAATCTTGTGTCAAATTGTAATCCCCAGTGTTGAAGGCAGGGCCTGGTGGAAGAGGATTGGATCATGGCGGTAGATTTTCCCCTTTGGTGCTGTTCCCGTGATAGAGTTCTCACAAGATCTGGTTGTTTAAAAGTGTGTGGCACTGCCCTCCTCGCTCCCTCTTCCTCCTACTCCGGCTAAGTAAGACGTGCCTGCTTCCCCTTCACTTTCTGCCATAACTGAAAGTTTCCTGAGGCCTCCCCAGAAAATGTCATGCTTCCTGTACAGCCTGTGGAACCATGAGTTCATTAAACCTTTTTTCTTTATAAATTACCCAGTCTCAGGTGTTTCTTTACAGTCATGTGAGAGTGGATTAATACAGAGACTACGTGGTCCATAAAGCCTAAAATATTTGCTATTTGGCCCTTCACAGAAAAAGTTCACTGACTCCTGCTCTAGATAATCCCCTTTCCCAACCATGCGTTTCCCACTCCTCCACCACCCTCCTTAACCCATCAAGGAAGGAAAGAGGGAAGGCAGTTGTGTGGAGTTGTAGGTTGCAGCCAGAGTGAGTGACACGTGTGTGTTCAATTTGATACTGCTTAATTTCTTTCTTTATTTTTTAGTGTTCAATGAGCACATTTCAGTCATCTGGACATTTAGCTTTCTGTCTCAAGCACTTACTTTGATAGACACTGTGTTAATAAGGGCCACATTTGTCCCTCATTCAATATTGCCAGATAGGATTTTAGGCTCAGCTAGACACGTGAGTTAGAGGCTGAACAAAAAGTAGGGGGATAAACAATTATCAGGATAATCTAAGTCCCTGCCTCAGCTATTTAAAGAAAAGAGAAGGTGGAGCCTGCATTCTCCACATCGATGGCACTCGCTGGGTGCCTGGGCCACCCTCTCGGGACTCTTCTGCAGTCAGTGCAGCCTTCTGGTTGGCAGTGATGGATGCTGCAATTAGATCTGCGTTGGGAGAAAACCCCCTTTCTTGTTAAAAAGTGGTGTGATTGGCACTGTCTTCAAAGGCTACACTTCCGCTGTCTGCCTCATCCCCATGCTGACTAGGTGATATGGGGCACAGGGAGGTGGGTGTGGGGAGGGGGATGACTCATCCTGGTCCATTCACTTCATAAGGAAGAGTAGCTCACATGCCCTTCTCAGGCCCCACACTCTGAGGTGCTGTTCTGCAGCCTGGCTTGGTGGGTACAATTCCCGCTTGACACCCTGAGAGCCACATCTTTGCATGCACAGTGCTTGTCACTTCTCAAGCAGTTGGAGTTCCTTCTGAGAGCCAAATGACCTTGGCATTACAGGATGTCTTGCTCATCACCTGTGAACCCCCTCTGCTGGGTTCTCTTTCTCCCCAACCTCCACAGATTGGTCATTCTCAAGTTTCACCCTCACTTCCACATATTTTTTCCTGGGAGAGTCACACATTCCCAGGAGGAAGTCAAATATGCCTTTTATACTGCTGACTCTGAAATCTATCTACTTAGTTCTGGCCTTTCTCTAGAGCAACCAATGTATATTTCCAATGCATTTGTTCATTTCTCCCTAATTATTCACTGAGATCTTGTCCTGCTCCAGCATGTGTCCAGCAATGTGGATATGGTGCAGGGCAGGTGAGCCCCAAACTGGGGCTTAGCCTGGGAGGGTTCTTTGCTTTGCCCAGGTAAGAATTCAAGGGTGAGCTGGAGGTTGAATAAAACAGCTTTATTGAAGCAGCGGTGTTACAGCTTTAGTGGTGTTACAGCTTCAGCAGCGTTATGGCCCTTGTGACTGCTCCTGCAGAGCAGGGCTAGCCCACAGGCAGACAGCAGTAGCTCAGGGCAGTTCTGCAGTCATATTTATACCTACTTTTAATTACATGCAGATTAAGGGGTAGTTTATGCAGAAATTTCTAGGAAAAGGGTAGTAACTTCTGGGTCATCAGGTCATTGCCACAGAAAGGGGTGGCAACTCCCGGGTATTGCCATGGCAATGGTAAACTGACAGGGCACACTGGTGGGTGTGTCTTATGGAAAGCTGCTTCTGCCTTGGCCGTTTTAGCTAGTCCTCAATTTGGTTCCATGTCCAAGCCTCACCTCTGGAGTTGAGTCCCGCTTCCTACCTCAAATACAATGGTGCCCAGGAAGATATGAGTCCTGTCCTCAGAAAAGAGAGACAGAAATAATCGAATGATTCCATAAAGCTAATTCTCCACTGTGTTTAAATCCCCAGAGAAAGATACAAGTGCTATGAAAAGCACATCACAGGGGGACTTGATGTAATTCAGATGGAGGTTGGGGAATTTTGCCAAGGAAGGGGGAAAGTATTGTCAAATGCTGCTGGAGAGGCAGGCTACAGACAGATAATGTGAAGCCTTATTTTTTATCAGTTAATGTGCTTTTAGCTGCAAGTAACAGAAACCCAACTTAAGTTGGCTTAAGAAATAAGAAAATGTATCGTCTCATATGACTGCAAGTCCTAAGCACAAGCAGTCTGCAGAACTGGCTTAATCTAATATCTCCATATTAGTTATCTATTGCTGCATAGCAAATTACCTCCAAACTTGGCAGCTGAAAAAAATATACTTTTTCTTCACAGTTTCTCTGAGTCAAGAATCTTAAGAATTGCTTAGGTGGATGCCTCTAGCTCAAGATCTTTCAAGAGGTTGCAGCCAAATTATCAACCAGGGCTGTGGTCATCCCAAGACCTGACAAGCTGAAGGATCTGCTCCCAAGATCTGTTGCATGGATGTTGATAGGCTTTAGTTCCTCTCACACCATCACGCCGAGAGCCTGTTTTTCACCATTTGGGCCTCTCCATAAGGATGCTTGCAACATGGAAGCTTTGCTTCCCCAGTTGCAAGTGAGAAGAGAGTGAGAGGGAAGGACAGATAGAGAAAGAGAGAGGCAGAGAGGGAGTGAGAACCCAACACAGAAGGTGTTATCTTTTTATAACTTAATATCAGAAATAATATGCCATCACTTCCGCCCTACTCTATGCATTAGAAGAGAGTTCTTAGGTCCTGCCCACACTGAAGGAAGGAGATTATACAAGGGCATGAATACGAGGAGGCAGGGACCATGGGGCCATCTCAGAGGCTGCTGGCCACAGGCTCCATCTGTGCTTCTCTGATCTCTCTCATCTCTCAACTCTGCCCCACTTCTGCTCATTCTTGTATATCAGGCTGGAAGCAAGATGGCTACAGGATTTAAGAGCTTTACCTCCATGCAAGACTATATCCTAAGGAAGAGTTCAAGATTGCATCCAAATGCTTTCCTAGAAAAATAAAGGAAGAACTTTCCCAGAAGTCTCCCCAGGCCTCCCTTCATGTCTCATCAGCCCACTAAGTCAGTTACTGGCAGAGGGATGAAATTGCCATTTGATGACTTGGGCCTGCCATGGGAGCAGGGGACGAGGCCAGCTGCCCCAAAAACATGGGTGGTGGGGTGACAGCATGGAGACCTATGGCAAATTCTGCCACTGTCCCAACTGCTAATTCCATCCTGCAACCCCGTACACCTTCTTTCCTGCTAACAGAACCACCAATTCTGCTAGGGTAGAGGACAGAGAAGATAGGCCCTTCCCTCTGTCCCAGGGAATGAATTGTGGTTGGATTAAGTCAGTGATGGCAATAACCTTTTCCCTTTCCCATATTTTTTCATTCCCAGGTGCTTTAGTGGTTGGAAGGTGCCATGTGGCACAGTCCTGCCCATGAGATTTAAGAAGTCTGCTGGGGAGCTTCTAGGAATATTTCTTTTGTTTGTGAAATGATACTGCACTTGAAGCAATGCCCCTTAACCACTCAGAGTCTTCCCCAGGCTTCTTATCTTTAAATGCAGCTGTGACATTTAGTGCTGCACCAACCCTCTTGCACCCAGGAGGTGACAGATTACTGAGGGCCAATGGCCAACATACTGGAGATGACAGCACAAGTAAAAGGCCTGGGCCTTTGACAGCATTGTCGAGCAGCAACACCAAACGTGAAACATAGATGAGATGATTGACAGTGTTTATTGCTTAAGCTGCTGTGAGTCGGGTACTCTGTTGCTTGCATATGAACACGCCCTAACTGATAACATTTCTCATAGGAAGGAGGAAAAGGGTTATGCTTGCTGCTGGGCAGCCAAGAATATCCTTCAGAGTCATGTTAAGAATTCGGGTTTTTATTCTAAGAACAATCAGATTTGTGTTTTGAAAAGATCGCTGTAGGTACAGTATGGAAAATAGATGGCAGAGGAGCAACTGTGCATGTGCAGGAAAAGAGTAGGAGGTGATTATAATATTCAGGAAAGAGATAATAGATGCTGACTTGTCTAGGGTTGGTGGCAGTTGAAGGTAAGAACTTGAGACATAGAAGGTGAAAAGCAGGAGGTAAACAATTGCAGTGAGGGTCGGTGGGGAATGGTGAAGCAATGAAATAAGAACTATGTATTTAGGAAAACACTCCTAACCTCGTGATAATGATTCAGTGTCTTCCTCTTTTGTGATAATTTTTGAGTTGGGTGGAAACATATATATTATCAAATCCTTTGTTTTTGAGGAGTTCTGTTTAGAAACTTTCAAAGAGTTTGTCTTATTTTGTTTCTGGCAAAGTATATAAGTGTCTTACAAGTGGTTTCCCCATGAATGTGTAAAGGAACTAATTGAAAAGGTAAAATTGGGGGTGAATTCTTCCTTATTGTTTGATTCCTATGAATGTTGTCATGTTTATGTAACAAATTATAACTTAAAAATAAAACACATAAAATGTCTAAAAAGATAATGTTGTTTTCTTTTTCTTTTCTTTTCTTTCCTTTTTTTTTTTTTTTGAGATGGAGTTTGTCTCTTGTCACCCAGGCTGGAGTGCAATGGCGTGATCTCGACTCACTGCAAACTCCGCCACCCGGGTTCAAGCGATTCTCCTGCCTCAGCCTCCCAAGTAGCTGGGATTACAGGAGTGTGCCACCACGCCTGGCTAATTTTTGTATTTTTAGTAGCGATGGGGTTTCACCATGTTGGCCAGGCTGGTCTTGAAGTCCTGACACCTCAGGTGATCTACCCTCCTTGGCCTCCCAAAGTGCTGGGATTACAGGCATGAGCCACTGTGCCTGGCCTACTGTTGATTTTAAAAGTACTTGTATAGCATTAGGTGCTTACCCGTAAATGGAATAACGTTTTTGTAAATATCTCTGAATTGCCTCCAGAAGCTTCTAAGTCTTGCAGAATTGCTTAGATTTTAGGAGAAAGCAATAGAACTATGGAGGACTCAAGTCATCAAATTTGCCTTCTATGAACCAGCGCTGTAAGGATTGCATTTGCCTGCCTGGTTAATCCTTGAAGTGTAAGTTGAAGATGAACAGCTCAGTGATAGAGGCTTCAGGTTTTGGAGTCAGCCAGTTCTGGCTTCCAAGTCTGACTAATACTGACTAGTTGCATGATTTTGAGCTAGTTACTTAATGCCGCTGGACCTCAGAGAAGTTTCCTTGCTGTAACATTGGTGGTGCTGGTGGTGGTGGTGTATGTGTGTGTGTCGGGGTGGGGGGTCCTGACAGGGATTTCAGGGAAAAGAGTGTGTGGCAAGGTGCCTGAAGCCTGGTGACTGATACGATACCAGGCGCTCTATGAGTGTAGCTGATTATTAAAGTTCCTAATAAAATCACCATGGGAACATCCCCTTATTAAATCTCATCTCCTCCAGGCTAAATGTGTTAAACATTTCATGTGGATAATTCAAAGAGTCTACTGTGTTTATACTAGGTTTTCTTAGACTTCAGAGCAGAAGTGAGTTTGGCAGTTCTTTCCTCTGCTCCTGGGAGACACAGCACCCTTCCATGCATGAGGAAGTGTGTGGGCACAAGACTTGCCCAGGGGTCCCTCTGGCTGAGGTAGGCAGACCATGGGTGTATCTGGGACTTTACCACCAACTGCACTGCCGTGTTCCCCTAGCAGGCACTGATGGGGGTCCCATGGCCCCTGGCAGGGCCTCCAAAAGAGCTGGAGCTGAAGCTGGATAGGGGGTGAGGAGGATCAGGGATTCAGGGAGTCTGTTGGCAGGACACCCCCAGGACCCTTCCCCAGTGGCCCTGGGCATCTTCCTTTGCTCTTTCAACGAGGCCTCATCCTCGGTCCTCCCCTTTGCCTCTGTCACCTGTTGCTTCTGACAGGTTTTCTCTCCTCCTGTGTTACTGCAGAACAGAAGGCAGGGGGCATTAAAGGATGGCCCGAGCACGGTGCTCTGAAGCCAAACCCCACTCCTTTGAGAGCTTCTAAGGCTTGTTGTGGCCAGTTACAAAAATGATAGTTCTGTGAGTGAAAAGCCCCAGCCTTCTCATTTCCTTCCTCCCTCCCTTCCCTCCCTCCCTTCCCTCCCTCGTCTCCCTCCCCTCCCCTCCCCTTCCTTCCCCTTCCCTCCCCTCCCCTCCCCTCATCTTCCTTCCTTCCTTCCTTCCTTCCTTCCTTCCTTCCTTCCTTCCTTCCTTCCTCTCTCTTTCTTTTTCCTCTTTTCACCTAATCCCTGTGGGAAAAGGCAGGCATTAATGATGATGAAGCTATGGGTGATTCTCTTGAGAGGGAAAAACAGGTACAGTATGCCTCACAAGATGTTTAGCCCAAGAGCTGGGAAGGGGACTTGGGGATGAGGAAAGGATGAGTGTTTCCACAGGTGGGAAACAAGAAGGGTGTGTGGACATGTCTGTAGGGCCCCTTGGCAGTGAGTGGCTACAAGGGAAAACAGGAGAAGTGACCCTGAAGATGACCTTCCTTCCTCTCTCTCCCTTCCAGTCACCTTGACAGACTCAGAGTGTCCAGACTAGCACAGGGTCAGTGAGAGCTTGGGGGAAGAGGTAGAAGCTGTCCTCACTGCAGTGAGGTCTGCAGTTATGAGCAGGAAGGGAAGGCAACGATCAAGCCGCAGTGGGGGAGGACAGGAGTTTTGTCTTGCCAGCCAGCTGGTGAATGGCCATGGGATCAAGGTGCATCTCTATCAGGAGGTCAGGACCGATCCTATGAAAACACCCTCACACGCGTGTGCGTTTACCTACGTAGAGATATGTACACTGCACACAAAAACTGTGTCTATACACAGGATGGATGGGTGTGTTTAGATGTTGGCAGCTGCCAGGTTGCTGATGGCACCAATAAAATCCACCCCACTACAAGCTTCTGCTTAAATATCACCTTACCAATGAGTTCTTCCCAATAAACCTTCTTAAAATGCCATCCTTGCCCACCCTGACTCTTTGCCTACCTTCCCTCCTTGATTATTTTCCCATGGTCTTAATCAGCACATATTTTTGCTGTGTTGTCTCTCTTCCCAGATATAATTTAAGCCTCTTGAGGATGAGGGCATTGTTTTGTTCACTCCTACACTCCCAGCTCTAGAAATATATCTGGCTTATAGTAGATGCTCAATAAATATTTTTTTAGAAGAAGGAAGAAAGAGAGGTGAGAAAAAGTATGAGAAGAAGGGGGCAGAGAAGATAACAGGGAAGGAGAGAGGGAGGGAGGGAGGAAGGAAGGAAAGAAGGAAGAAAGGAAGGAAGGAAAGAAGGAAGAAAGGAAGGAAGGAAAGAAGGAGAGTAGGAGGGAGAAAAAAAAGTAAAGAGTCTGGATCAAGCCCAATAGGTGTCTGACTAGTCCCTGACTATTGTTTATGACTCCCAGCCCAGAATTCTACATTGAGAACAGCTCAAATTGTCCTCAAACAGAGGCATGAAGGACTCTGGGGGCCAAGAAACCCTCTCGTGGGGTGAGGCCTGGGCTGACAAGGAGCTCCCTGGAGGCAGCCCCTGGAATTAGGCTCTTTTCTTGGTGCTGCCTGGTGAAGCCTCCACAGTGGGCAGAGGGGACAGACTCACCAGCCCCTTTGGTCTGGCTGGGAGCTAGCATTTCCTACAGCAAAAGTAGCAAGTGCATTGTTAAATTTAAGCCTCCTAGCATTGCTATGATATGAGTACTATTAATATCCTGCTGTTCCTGAAAATTAAGGTCAATAGAGGTCAGGTGACTCACTTGCCCATCATCACAGAGATGCTCAGTGGAGGCTGTTGAGCCTTGATCCAGATTCAGTGGACCCCAAGCCTTCCCTCTTCCTGCCACTGCTGGCCCTGCCGGTGCCCTAACTTGGCTTTCCCAGGAGCAGCCCATCCCATGGACCTTTGCAAATCTAAAAAGCCCTGTCCTGTGGATCCTGATAAGTTCATTCCCACAGAGGTGCTAGCTGATAACAAAAGGCTGAGTTGTAATCCTTCGAGAACTCAATGAGATAACCCCTGTAAATCTCAAGTCACCTGCTCCAAGCACAAAATAGATAGAAGCTAATAATCACAGCACATTGACTGGCATGTAGTAGGAATGACATCAACATTTGTGGCTGCTGTTATTGTTTGTGAGGTGGGTGGAAACCAGGATACCACTTTCCTGACCGATTTTCTCCTCTCTTCAGCTATTTTCATTGCGCTGAACACTGAACAGGCTTCCATAGTTGAAAAGGTTCTCTCACACATTATTTCTTTTGCGCTTGTCAACGAGCTGATGAAGTGGCTTCATAGTCCCATTTTTCAGATGAGGAAATTGAAGCTCCCAGGCCAGTGCTGTTTCTACCATTCACCCCAGTCCCACTTTCTATTTCCTCTCCCATTTCCCCAGTCCAACAAGAGCCACTGGACATTGGTGGGGGTGCAGAGAAGAGGAACAGTGACATTTGTCTTCTGTCATCTCTGTTTTCTTCTGTGATTCTGGGGTGCTGGGTGTAGTTTCCATGCCTGGTAGGACAGAAATCACGTTGTTTCCACAAAACAGGAAATCTCTGTCCAGCTAGTCTGATGAATTTCTAGCTTTCACTTTTCACATCAGAAGATGTAACAGTTCTCTAGCATTGTGTTTTGGGACTTGCTTGAAGCCCCATTTCTTCCAGGAAGTCCTTCCCATGTGAGGGGAGTTGGGATGGGAGCAGAAGGCCAGAGATGGGTGTTAGCATGACTTGGGGCTGTCCTCATGATTTCTGTATTGTTTGAATCTCGACAGACTTTGAATTTTTTGATGAGACTGGTCATAGATCATGATGCACATTTATTATTTATGGGGTGGATTTTTGGACTGCAGAGCTAGCAGCAAAGTGGATGCATGATGCCATTAATCACAGTTAATGTCTGTGGTAACTGAAAGTTGAACCATGTTGTTGGGGGACTGGTGGTAAGAACTGTATCTTGCAACTGAAATTTATATTTGTCAGAACCATGCAAAGCAAGAACTACCTGTGTTCAGTTGGCTGCTAGACATCGCCACCTGGAAATCCAACAAGCACCTCAAACTTGCCACTGCTCCCTTTAAATCTTCTCTCTTTTCTGATTCCCCAAAGCACCCTCCATGTAGAAACTCAGGCTAGGAATGTGGGAATCCCTTCATCTCCTGATCCCATTCACTCTACATCCAGTTTCCAATCCCTATCATTCCACATCCTAAATATTTCACAACTCCATCCTAAACTCCTTCTACCACCCCACTTCATGTCGCCATCTTGCTTGTGGGTGTACCGTAATATTGACTCACTATTTCTGCAGTTGCCCATTCAACCAGTCCTTCACACACTGCTGTTAACTAAAACACAGATCTGATACTATTATGATGTCCTTGCTCAAAGCCCTTCCGTGTTACCCTGTCACCTAGAGGGTAAACTCTATCACCATGGTAGAGAGGACCATGCAAATTGGCCCAGTATAGATCAACCATGCAACTCCAAACTTTGTATTCAGTTATGTGACAACATTCATTGAACACCTACAATAGGCCATCTCTTGGATTGTGCAGATGAATAAGATACAGTCTGCAGGGCCTACCTTATGGAAGACCTTTTCTACCATCGGCTCTGTTCTTCTAGAACTCCTTGTCAATATTCGATGCCATAGAACCACAGAACCTTGCTGTAGCTAGTTTACATTCTTTTGTTCACAGTACCTTTTAATCAGAAATGTCCTCTCTTCCATGCTCCCATAGCTCTCTTCTGTGGCTCTGTCATTGCTCTCACTGCATAGCTTTATAACCAACTGCTTCTGTGTCTCTACCAGAAGACAGGGGCTGTATCATAAGATACATATTTGTACACAGATGAATAATCATCTGTGCAATCCAAGTCCATGGCATATTGTAGGTGTTCAACGAATGTTGTCATGTCACTGAATACAAAGTTTGAAATTGCACAGTTGATCTATACTGGACCAATTTGCATGTAATGTTACAGCATAACAAATGTTTCCTTCCTTTTCTTTTCTTTTCTTCTTTTATAAAGTCTCTCTCTGTCACCCAGGCTTGAGTGCAGTGGTGTGATCTCACTGCAACCTCCGCTTCCCAGATTCAAGTGATTCTCCTACCTCGGCCTCCCGAGTAGCCTGGATTACAGGTGCGCACCACCATGACCAGCCAATTTTTGTATTTTTGGTAGAGTTGGGGGTTCCACCATGTTGGCCAGGCTGGTCTCAAACTCCTGACCCCAGGTGATCCGCCCGCCTTGGCCTCCCAAACTGCTGGGATTACAGGCGTGAGCCACCATGTCTGGGCCCAAATGATTTATTTCCCTTCATTTTATTGCAACGGCAGTGAATGAGCAGGTCATACTATGTCTGCTCCAGACTGAATGTTTGTGTTTCCCCAAATTCACAGGTTCAAACCCCCAATGTGATCGTACTAGGAGGTGAGGTCTTTGAGAGGTGATTAGGTCATGAAGGTGGAAACTTCACAAATGGAATTAGTGTCCTTATTTAAAAAAAAAAAAAGCTCCCAAAGAGCTCTCTCGCCCCTTTCCTCTACGTGAGGACACAATGAGAACTTGGCCATCTGCAACCTGGAAAGGGCCCCTCACCAGAACTCAACCATTCTGGCACTCTGACATCAGACTTTCAGCTTGCAGAACTATGAGAAATAAATGCTTATTGGATAAGCCACCCAGTCTATGGTAATTTGTTACAGTATCCCAAACTGACTCATGCACATTTTACGATGAGGAAACTGAGGTTCACGGAAACTAAGTGGTTTATCCAAAATCACACATCTTTCACTTGTCAGAGCTCTCTCTCAAGCCCAAACTTTCTGACTTGAAGTCCAGACCTGTCTCTCTGGCTGATTTCAGTCCTGACCTTTCTGTTAGCTACGTGTTGGGGGTGCACGTCATGGAGAGCAGGTGTTTGCTCATCCTGTCCACTGTCCTTCCCAGTGCCTAGAATCCAGGGTAAGTATGCAACACATGTTTGTTGGATTAATTAATTCACAAGTTAGTGAGTGTCACATGGGGTCAAGTTTTGCTGGTTGGAATAGAAAAACCAGGGAATTGGGAACTCAGTAAGCATCTGTGAAAGGGATATAAAAATCTTCCTCAGTTCTAGCGTCAGCAGGTAAGAAGAGGGCCACTGTCTCTCCTATGCCCAGATAATAGGATGTCTGTAGGGTTCCCCAGGGCTGAAGCTCCCCAGACACTTCAGTCTTCCTGAACAGGTGAAAGAAAACCTTAGCGGACAGACAGCTCCTACCACCCCAGGAGTGGGGTTCTTGGAAAGGTATTATCGTTCCCATCCGTCAGGATGGGGCTGGAGCTCATCGCCTTCCAAGAATGTGACTGACGGCAAATTTGAGTTCAAAAGAAGATTAGATTTCAAGGCAACTGGAAGCTATTCAGTTGAAGCCAAGTTTTACAGGGAGAGTTTCCTCCCTCTCCTCTCTTCTCCTTCTCCCTCCAGGGCAGCCCAGGGCTTGTTGGGACCTGAAAAAGAACTGACAGTGCCTGACTGTTCCCCTAATTGAGGAAAGGAGAGATGGAAAACCAGGCTCTGGACTTGTTCACAGCCCAGGGAGGATCCAAGCATCACATCTCCCTGGGTGCCCTCTGGGGACTGAGGCAGCTGCTGGAAGTGAGTCCCACACAGTGGTGGGGGATGCCTGGGCACAGCCATGCTCTCCATTGACCATAATAAAAGAAGTCAGTAATAACAAATAGAAGCCTTATGTTTGTACAGAACTTTCTAATTTAGAAAGCCCTCTTGCAATTTCCATTACAACACCACGGTGAAGCAGGTGGGCGGATGCTGCCAACCCTGGGCCGATAAGAAGTCTGGGGCTCGCTGGGCACAGTGGCTCATCCCTGCAATCCCAGCACTTTAGGAGGCTGAGGCGGGAGGACTGCTTAAGCCCAGGAGTTTGAGACCAGCCTGAGCAACATAGCAATAGCTTGTCTTGACAGAAAATTTAAAAATTAGCTGAGTGTGGTGGCGCACACCCAGCTGTTCCAGAGGCTGAGGTGGGAGGATTGCTTGAGCTAGGAGGTTGAGCCTGCAGTGAGCCATGATTGCACCACTGCACTGTAGCCTGGGTGACAGAGAAAGACCCTCCAAAAAGAAAAAAAAGAAGAAGACTGGAGCCAAGAGAGGTTTAAGGACTTCAACGGGTGACAACCACTGGATGGGGCACCTCCACTATACCTGGCACGCTTCTAAGCACTTTCATGTATGAGCATTTAATCCTCACAGCAACCCTATGAAGTAGATGCTATTTTTATTCCCATTTTATAGATGAGGAAACTGAAGCTCAGATACACTAAGTAACTTGCTTAAGACCCTGCAGCCGTTAATGGTGGAGCCAGAATTTAGAACAGGGGTCAGCTATTTACCCACTACTTGATTCTAAATTTCTGAGATCAGAGGAAAATCTCATCCACAGTTTTTTGGAGGGGAGTCCCCGGGTTTGAGCTTTGTTTGAAGATGTGGTCACAGCCACACGCCTCTAATCCCCGTTGAAACCTCGCCAAGCCAGCCGTCATGCTTGGCCGTGGCAGACTAAGGGCACTGGGGAGGAATCCAGACCAAAAGGTACCAAACACACAAATGTGAGAACCAGCGCACCGATGGTCGGAGGGCAGCTTGACAGAGAGAAATCAAAAGAATACAGTACCAAGAGGGCAAAACAAGGATAGCCAAAGCCCACCTGGTCGGTCAGCAGCCAGAATGTCTGGAGGAAGGGACAAAAGAAAGGGACGGTGTAAAGGAAGCACATGTTCCATCATCTTGTTTATTTTGTGCACTGTCCTGTCATATGACCTTATTTAAACTTCACATCAATGCTGTGAAGAAACTGAGTTCTAAGAGGTTGAGTTACCACCCATTAATCTTACTACAGTGTTGGCAAAAACCTACTGTCAACATAAAGTGATCTAAATTCTAAACTATCATTATAAATTCCCAAGTTTCCTCCCTTCATGGGCCCCATGGGCCAATCAATCAAAAACCCTTAGCTATTTAGCATTCGAGACTCTTTGCAGGGAGTCCAAGGAACTTCGCACTTGGCACCATCCCCACCTACCAGAAGCTGGCAAATTCACCGGGAGAAGATTCCTCCCAAGTTCATCTTTCCACCTGCAATCAACCGTGGATGAACTGGTGCTTTGTTTGAATAGCTAAGTAGAGTGTTTTCGGCATGGAAAACTGTAGACATAAAGCACTGAAAACAAAACAAAACATAACAAACAAACAAATAAATGGAAATAACTTTTCATTCCCTCATTAGTATTAACCTTAAAACATCTATTAATAGTAATAAAACAAGCTTACTTAAAATCTACCCCTCATTATGAAATAAGAAACAACATATGCTGTTCAAAAGCTTTTGTGCAGAGGAGTAAAATGCCTTTGAGTAAAAGTGATACAATCCTCTAACTGCTCACTTAATTAAACCTAATTTTATTTATGGATTCCTCCTGGCCTTTCCCTTGCTTTGGTTCTCTTCCCATTTAAGCTCTTCTAGTTCTTTCAGATCCAACTGCTGGTCACTTTTTCTCCTTTCTAGTAGCGTCTTTGGGTCTTGCAGAGAAAACTTTCTCTTATTTCTCTCAAGCCCAGCCCAAGGGTAAACCAAACAAACAAGCAGAAAAACCTAGCTTGCTTTGCAAGTACACACACGAGAAGATAAAACAAGAATTCACGTCTTAAATGCTATGTGTGTCTAGTGAATCTTCTAGACCAGAAGTTTCCAAACTTTCTCCAGTCATGGAAACTTAGTGTCTCTGTAATTTTCTCATGGTGCCCCAGGCCAAAAGAAATACCAACACTTCTGTTTATTAAGTAATTAAGTAATTAGGTCCAAACGACTTAATAAGTGTTTGTGGCTTAAAAATTTAGTAGCCATTTGAAAAATTAATACGCAAAAAGTAGAAAGAAAAAAGGTTTGTATTCCATTATTAAATAATTACAATGACTTATTTATGGGCACGACACAACTTCTCAGATCTTGGAATCAGGCTGTACAGAGCCACCCTCATTTTCTGTTCCACATTGATTTTCACATGGAATTTATTTGTTTTAATCACAGCAACTGGAAAAAAAATTCCATCAAAAGGAATGTGGTACAATCTAATGTTGAAACTGGGCACTACCTTGAGTTAGGAGTTTGTGTGATGTTTGACAGATGTTTTCTTGGAGAAAATGGACAATATTCCATAGCTCAATGCAGTGCCCTAAGCACATCGGCACACAGTTTGAGAACCACAGTTCTACACGATAAATGCAGTGAGCACTCAAAGGAGGAACAAAAACTTTCCACTAAGATGGTTCACAGATTTCGTGGAGGAGGAGAAATTGAAGCCGGGCTTGCTGGCTTGGCTGGGTAAAGAGGAAGGGATGGGAGCAGGCCAGAAGGGAAGGGGCTGTCTGCAGGGGGTCATAAGCAAAGTGTGACGGAAGCCAGCAGAAGACTGGACTAGCTGGAGAAAGATATGGAGAGGAAGCAGACAGGTCTTAGCCATCAGCCTGAGGGCTGGGCCCTGGCTCACCTCCCCTGGGGTCCATCCTTAGTCCTCCTTCACTTTCTGAATTTTTACCAGTTTATGTCTTCAATTAGGCTGAAAGCTCTGAGAAAAGGGACTGTCTGTCTTCCTTTGTATCTTCCATACCCAGTAGCACAGAGCTTTATGCAGAGTGTCCAACAAATATTGACCCTATTGACACCAACCCCTACTGAATGCTAGTATCTGGGCCTTTGCAGACCAATGGCACAACCAAAGGGGTAAGAGGGAGTGGTGGGGATTCCAGTCACTGGACAGGCTACTGGATGAGCTGTCTGATTCCTGCTTCACATTCCCCTATGGCTAATTTTTGGAGAAATGATAGGCAAGGAATTCAGCCCCCATGTTGTTTTCGGAGAGTGCAGGATTGTGTGTTTCCAGATCTCTTATCTGTTGCATCTCCCAAGTTTTACCAGGAGGGCAGACCTTAGCACTCCCAGCCAGCCCAGCCCTCCCTAACCCACCTCCGTTCCCACGAGGCAGCCCAGATGTGACAGTAGCTCATCAGAGAGCTGTTTGTGTCTTTCTTATTTACAGTATAAACAGCATTTAGACTGCAGCTTTGGAAGGCCTCCGTCTATTTGTTCAGGTAAATCCACAGCCCTGGATGTGGTTTCCCTGTGAGATCTCAGGCCAGCAGCTTCTGGATTGCTCCTCTTTGCTGGCCATCACAGAAAGAAGAAATCCTCTGGTCTTCATTGCCTTTGCATGTATTCTGTTGACTAATATTGTTCCTAGCAGAAATTCTCCCAGGAGAAAAGATGGGGTTTGCTTTTCTGTACCTCCATCTGTTCCTTCTCACACACAGCACTACTTTAAATAACAAATCCCTTGGGAACATAGCTCTATAACAAAGTTCATTGGATTAAAAGCAAAGTCAATAATAAAAGAAATTTTCATAATCAAAGACTATAGAGCAGACTGCTTCTGCAGCTATGTAACCAAAAACTCTCTGTTTCTGATAAATAGATGTGTTGTTGGAATTTCCTGGCTTTTTTACAAATCCAGGTACATTTATAACCGGCATCTTTTACTTTACAGAAGAGTTGAATTCTAGCAAAGCTAACTCGTAGTAGATTCTGTTTCCAAGGGAAGCCTATTGTTTTTCTCTTAATTTTCTTTGTAAAATTGAAAACGCTTTCTCTGCTTCTCACAGTCTTTTTAAAGTCTGGGTTTCGAAAGTAACAATCAAGAGGCATTTCCATTCCTCCTAGGCATTTTGTCTTCAATTAGAATAATTACCACCATTTGGATAGTAATGCTTCATGATTCCACCACCCAAGCTTCTCATAGGGTCCTTGCCCCAAAGAAAAAGGAACACAATTCTTTAGATGTACCTTTGAAAGGTAAAAGCCTTAACATTGGTTATGACCACAAAGCAAGAGTCCCAAAGAAGAAAATTATAAGAAAAATAAATCTAGATAAAAATTTGGAACTTTTCCACAAACTCTTTTTTATTATTAATCAATGCTTAAGATAGTTCTGACTTTGGTTTTCCTCCAGGGTGAAAGAAGGGTCTCTTTTAACTCACCCTTGATGTGAACACTTCCTCAAGTCAAAAGCCTTTCCTGGGGCTGCTACTGGTGACTTCAATCTTCATCTGAGCTGGGCATTAAAAACAAAAACAAACAAAATTCTGGCTTTTGTTCCCTTCTTCAATTACTTACCTTCTCTGAACTCTCCCCCCCAGAACTCCACCTCCATGAAGGCAGGCCTTTCTTCTCTGTCTGATCACTGGTTTATCTCCAGTGCCTTGGAAGTGGGCCTGGCACATAGTCAGTGCTCAGGAAATACTTCTGCAGAAAGGAATGAACGAAGTAGCAAATGGAGAAGAGTGCTGTGAGGCTGATGCATGGGGGACTTGAGTCAGAGCAGCCCTCGGCCAGTGTCACTGTCTTTCCCAGTCTTCTCTGGCACTTTCCTCTGAAATATGTCAAGACCTCAGTTCTATTCTCCTTAATCAGTACATTAGTTTAGTTACCTTCCTTGTGGTGCTTATTGATTTATTTACACATCTGCATAAATAGGATAATGGATGTTTTAGTTTCCTGGGAATGCCACTGACAAACCTGGTGGCTTAAAATGACAGAAATTTATTCTCTCACAGCTCTGGAGGCCAAAAGTCCAAAATCAAGGTGTTGGCAGAACCTCACTCCCTCCAAAGTCTCAATGGGCAGATCACTTGTTGTCACTTCCAGGTTCTGGTGGCTCCCAGCAATCCTTGGATTTCCTTGGCTCGTGGCTGCATCACTCCAACCCCTGTCCCCATCTTCACTCATCCCCCTCCTCTCTTTTTAAAGGGACTCCTGTCATTAGCTTTAGGACCCACCTTGAATCCAAAATGATCTCACTTAACTTTACCCACCTTAATTACACCTGCAAAGACCCTTTTTCCACATAAGATCACATCCACAGGCTCCTGATGAATGTGTCTTTTGAGGGACCACAATTCAACCCTCTACAGCGAGAATCAAGGAGAATCCTCCAATGAGGTCTTACTGGTGCTGAATACAATAAGACCATTACTTATGATCATCGGATAACTTAATGCTTGCTAACGTTTTTTAATGTGTCCGTTGCCAAGAACAATCCTGGTTCAAATTTACTTTGTTGTCAAGTGAACATTGATTTTACAAGAATGCTGCTAAGCCAGATCTCCCAACTACATTTTTGTCCTTGCTTATTAAGCAAAAAGAGGTCATCTTTTTTTCCTTTTTAATCTTTTTTTTTTTTTTCAGAGACAGGGTCTCACTCTGTCATCCAAGCTGGAGTGCAGTGGCGTAAGCATAGCTCACTGCAGCCTTGAACTCTTGGGTGCAAGAAATCCTCTTGCCTCAGCCTCCCAACTAGCTGGAACTAGAAATGTGTGCGTTTGTAGTCCCAGCCTGCTAATGTTTTTCATTTTTCTGTAAAGACAAGGTTTCACTTTGCTGCCCAGGCTGGTTTCGAACTCCTGGCCTCAAGCGATCTTCCCACTTCCCAAAGTGCTGGGATTACGAGTATAAACCACCACACCCAGCCTATCTTCTTATTCCTCATTGATTTCATGTAGAGAATATTTAGAGCTTTGATCTCATCATCCATCATTGTTATCTAAGCTATCAGTTAATATATTCAACACAATGGGAACCAAGGAGAGAGCAGTGAGGGGGACTTTAACTAGAATTTTATCCCTTCGGAGCATTCATTTAATGAATCTTTATGGAGTGTTCACACTGACTAAGGGTTTGCACTGGGCATCTGAAGGCTCCAAGTTAAGACACCGTGAAGAATGCCAAACATTAGAGAAAGCTCAAAGAGCTGTCAATTCATTTTTTAAAAAAGTTAATTGGGGAATTCAACTAAAAGCACATGCCTTTATTGTATTCACAAGTCTCATTATATATAAACAACTTGCCGAATGCCTTGCTAATTGTCAAGATGTATTTTATCTTCCAATTTGCCAATTCAGTAATCATTCATATTAGAAAGAGGCCTTTATTTAACAGGGCTTATTCTCAGTGAACCTGTATTAGCTCCTGGTGGTCACTGTTGATGGAATGATTCTAAAATGTTGGCGTCTATAGAGAGCAAATTTACTAGTCTGTACTTACTAGGATGAAAGTTTTTTTAAAAAAATGACATTTGCGGCCAGGTGCAGTGGCTCATGCCTGTAATCCCAGCACTTTGGGAGGCCAAGGCGGGTGGATCACCAGGTCAGGAGATCGAGACCATCTCAGCCAACATTGTGAAACCCTGTCTCTACTAAAATACAAAAAATTAGCTGGGCGTGGTGGCATGTGCCTGTAATCCCTGCTACTTGGGAGGCTGAGGCAGGGGAATCGCTTGAACTCGGGAGGCGGAGGTTGCAGTGAGCTGAGATCCACCACTGCACTCCAGCCTGGTGACAGAGCAAGACTCCATCTCAAAAAAAAAGAGACATTTGCTTATGTCCTGCCAACTGACACTTATTTAACTTTCCACAGATTCTAATATTACTGACAGCTTACTTGTGTCAAATCAAAAGTTTTGTGTACAACCAAGCTCCGTGTGTGTGTGTGTGTGTGTGTGTGTGTGTGTAACTTGCTTTTGTTTACTTAATCCTCACAACAACCTTATGAGACAGGAACTGCTGCTAAGCCCACTTTCCAGATGAGGAAGTTGAAGCAAAACTGAGAGACAAGAAATATTCTTTCATGAAAACTGGTCATTTTAAAGGAAGTATTCTTCTTGTGAAGATAAAGTTGCTGGTGCCAGAGAAATGTCCCTCAATCTGACCACCTACACACACGGTTTCCGACTGTGCTGTCTTTGTGCTGTGTCCGTGGTGACATCTGAATGGGGATGAGTCACAGATGAATGAGTCACTTTCTGTTTTGTTGAAGGTCATACATGTTTAAATCAGGACATGATGCCAGTTTACATTCATATCAGCTTGGAACAATTTCTTCTTATGTAACCCTCTGAAATAAGAACTGAAAATGCTTTTAAACAATTAATCCAGATCAATGGTTCATATCAGAATTATCAGAGAGAACTTTAATAAAACAATAACAAGAGCACCGATAAAATGATCTCTAGGCCCTTCTCTGGACCATTTCAGTGGTTCTCTAGGAATAAGGCAGAGAACCAGCATTTTACAAAAAAAAAGAAGAAAGCTTGGCCAGCTGCAGTGGCACACGCCTGTAATCCCAGCACTTTGGGAGGCCAAAGCGGGTGGATCACTTGAGGTCAGGAGTTTGAGACCAGACTGACCAACATGGTGAAATCATGTCTCTACTAAAAATACAAAATTAGCTGGGCTTGGTGGCACACGCCCATAATCCCAGCTACTTGGGAGACTAAGGCAGGAGAATCACTTGAACCTGGGAGGCAGAGGTTGCAGTGAGCTGAGATCGTGCCATTGCACTCCAGCCTGGGCAACAAGAGCATAACTCTGTCTCAAATAAATAAATAAATAAAATTGTTTAAAAAAAAAAAGCTTCCTGCATGATTCTAATGTGCAGTCAGGATTTTGAGCCACTAATTTGAAAATATCTCATGTAAAGTGGTAGGATCAGAGCTTCTCAAACTTACCTGTGCATAAGAATTGCCAGGGAGTATGGTAAAGATGCAGATGCTCAGGTGCTGCCCTTAAAGAGTCTGGCTCAGTAGGTCTGGAGTGGGGTTTGGGATCTGCAGCTCTAACCGGCATCTCAGGTGATTCTAATGCATGCGTTCCCTGGACCACACTTTGAGAAACACCTGATGAGATGCTCTTTTTGAGCCTAGACTGGGCTAAAATTATTTCTCTTTATCTTCTGTGTTTCCCTTTCCAAACTGGAGATCATCCTTCCTTCTGAAAAATAAGAGCAAGAGCCATATTAGTCAGGTTAGTCTCCACTGATGTCAAACCCCTACATCTCAGAGGCTTTACACATTGCTATAAACTGAATTGTGTCCTCCCAAAATTCATGTATTGAAGTCCTAACCCCCTGTAACCTCTGAATGTGACTGTATTTGGTAATAGGTCCTTTAAAAAGGTAATTAAGTTAAAGTGAGGTTATTAGAGTGGGTCTCAATTTAATCTGACTGGTGTCCTTAGAAGAAGAAATTAGGCTGGGCAGAGTGGCTCACGCCTGTAATTTCAGCACTTTGGGAGGCCGAGGTGGGCAGATCACTTGAGATCAGGAGTTCAACACCAGCCTGGTCAACATGGTGAAACCCCATCTCTACTAAAATCCAAAAATTAGCTGGGAGTGGTGGCACACGCCTGTAATCCCAGCTACTTGGAAGGCTGAGGCAGGAGAATTGCTTGAACTCAAGAGACGGAGGCTGCAGTGAGCTGAGATCACACCACTGCACTCCGGCCTGGGTGACAGAGCGAGACTCTGTCTCAAAAACAGAAGAAGAGATTAGGACAGAGAGAAAAACACCAGGGGCATGCGCACACAGAGAAAAGACCATGCGAGGGCACAGCAAAAAGGTGGCGAGCCAAGGAGAAAGGCCTCAGAAGGGATCACACCTGCTGGCATCTTTGTCTAGGACTTCCAGCCTCCCGAACTCTGAGAAATAAATTTCTGTTGTTCAACCCACACAGCCTGTGTTATTTTGTTATGGCAGCCCTTGCAAACTAATAGACATGTCAAAGTTTACTTCTGGAGACACCCCATGGCTTTCACCTTGCAGTCCCTGCTCTACACGAACAAGCGGAGACCTGGCTGATGGAGATACCGCCATCTTGTTATGCTGCCATAACAACAGGATGAGTGGCCGAGGATAGAGAAGGGTGCGAAAATGTACAATAGCTTGAAGTCCATCACTTCATCCTTGAAGTGATGCTTGGCCCTGCTACTTACAGTCCACTGGCCAGAACTAATCACATGAGCCCCAAGAGGAAGATCAGAGAACGAAGGGAGCTCGAGCAACAATTATAAGCACAACTGCCTCTTACATGGGATTGGAACAGTTGTACCTTATCTCCGACTTCTTTTGATCTGTTGGCAATGTATTATCTTTCTCAATCAAGCAAGTATTTATTAAGTCCAACTTTGTGATCAGCACTGTGCCAGGAATGAATGGAAGACAGGCTCCAAAAGAAATAAAGATAGGCTTCCTAGTGGTGGAGATTATTTAGGGAGATAACGCTTACAGATGAGTTATCAAACAACAGACAATATTGCATGGTGGAGGGCCAAGTGATGTAGTCAGCTCTGCATGCTGTAGATGCTCAGAAAAGGTGCAGTCAAGGGGCCTGGGATGATCAGGGAAAGTTTGATCATATAGAAAATCAGACAACAGACTGAGAGTTTAACTTGAGGTGAAAATGCTTCTCCAAGATGGGAAGGGGGTCCCAAGTAATCCCCTGCATGATCTCCTCAGCATCTACTACTTCCTCCCACCTACCACCAAATATTGCACAAGCAATCAATGGAAAAGTGCCTTTTTCCAGTAATAGAGCCTTAATCTTATCTCACAGATGAACTTCTAGTTTTTAGTTAAGGCTAGACATGGACTAGGACTTGAAGGAGATGTAGGTAACAGCTTAGAGAGAAAGCATAGAAGAATGGAGTATAAATCCTCAGAGAGGCCAGGCACGGTGGCTCACACCTATGATCCCAGCACTTTGGGAGGCTGAGGTAGGCAGATCACGAGGTCAGGGGATCGAGACCATCCTGGCTAACACGGTGAAACCCTATCTCTACTAAAAAAATACAAAAAAATTAGCCGGGCGTGGTGGTGGGCGCCTGTAGTCCCAGCTACTCGGGAGGCTGAGGCAGGAAAATGGCGCGTACCCGGGAGGCGGAGCTTGCAGTGAACCCAGATCGCACCACTGCACTCCAGCCTGGGCAACAGAGCGGGACTCCGTCTCAAAAAAATAATAATAATGATAATCCTCAGAGAGTATCAAGGTATTAGGTGTCTGGGGAGCCTGGAGTGGTACATTTGCTACTCCTGAGTCAATTTTATTTATTTTTGTTTTCTTGGAGACAAGGTCTTGCTCTGTGGCTCAGGCTGGAGTCCAATGGTGTAATCATTGCTCACTGCAGGCTTGACCTCTGGGCTCAAGCGATACTCCCACCTCAGCCTCCTGAGTATCGGGGACTACAAGTGTGCCCCATCACACCCAGCAAATTTAAAAATGTTTTTTTGGAGATGAGGTCTCATTATGTTGCCTAGACTGGTCTGAACTCCTGAGCTCAAGCAATCCTCATGCCTCGTCCTCCCAAAGTGCTGGGATTACAGGCATGAGCCATCGTGCTCAAATGTGAGTTTATTTTGGTTTCTGTTAAATGCTCATAATTAGCTGAACTCAGATGTCAGTGAAGGTCAATTGTTGGCAAAATGCAAACTCTAAATAGTGTCTTGTATGTGAACTTACCTATACCTATTACCTATTAAGGAGAATAAATGCTTTGACACAGTTTTTCACACCGTAAGAACGGGCAGAATTTGCTTGGGGCTGCCTCTTTAATGTCTCCCAAATAGTAACTCCCTCTCTGAGGACCACAGGTAGAGTGTCCCCCAAGGGGGACCTGAGTGCTTGGGGTTTGCCCTGTCACATGCAATGTAGAACCATCTCTTAAGACTCAAAACCTTCCAGCCTTGTCATGCTGCTGCCACCGCCACTATCTTTCAGGTTTCAAGAACAGCGATGTCAGGAGCTCCAGAAGCTTTCTCACCAGGGGTGGGGCTCCGCCAGCCCAATAAATCAGCAGGAAAATAATAAATAGATGCTCTCACTGCCCCTCCAGAGGAGACTTGTGCAATTACCCCCACCCATGCTGCTGTGCCACTCCTGCCTGGGACTAGGGAAACTCAAAAGGGTGAGGGGTGCCTCCATCCCTCGAGACAATGAGCCAAGTCTCTGAGAGGGGTGAGCAAGGTGCTGGAGGCAGTGCCTGTGGAGGGGGTGGGCCCTGAAGATTGAGATCTTCTTGGCTGTGTTGAAACTGAGTCTCGTGCTGGGCCTGGAGGCACAGAGCCATCTGCAGATAAGCAAGCTGGGCTGGAAGTCTGGGTCAAGATGGGGCTCACCTCTGCAAACAGCCTGCTTGGCAGTGCCGTGAGAACCAAGGTTTGAACATGCCTACTTGCTTGTGGCTTTGGCCTCCACAGCGAGGCAGGGGGAGTGACGGGGGAGAAAAAGTGTTGAAATGTCAACAGGAAGGCTGAGGTAGTTCTCATGGGTGGCTGCATCAGGGTGGCAACTGGGCTAGGAAGGGAGGACTCGGACTTGGTGGGGTCTGGGAGGAGCTTCTCATCAGGGATTGCTAAGGGGGTGGTCCTTGTATCTCCTCCAGGAGATTCTAAATTATTTCCCAGGTTAAAACATCTCTTCCAACTCCTATGTCTTAAAAATTTAAGTAGTGAGGCCCAGAGAGGGAAGCTGACAGACCCAAAATTGCACAGCTCATGGGGACAGTCAGAAATGCTCAGTTCTCCTGGCTGATAGACCAAGCCACTTTTCATTATGCTCCTGATCAGGGCAAAATACATACATTCAAACATACATACATACACACATATACACATATAGAAAATAAGACAACAGATTGAAAGTTTAACTTGGAGTGAAAATGCTTCTGCCAGGTAGATAGAGGGCCCCAAGAATCCCCTGCATGATCTCCTCAGCATCTGCTGCTTCCTCACTGCCCCCCCAGTGTTGCACAACCAATCCATGGGAAAGGGCCTTTTTCTAGCAATAGATCTTTAATCTTATATCACAGATGAACTTCTAGTTTTTAGTTAAGGTTCCATTTGGTCATTCAAGAGGTAGCCCATTGGCATAACTTTGATGAGACCACAAAGAAAGAAATCTTTGGTACAATTCAACTACCTGTAGGACCCCCTGACCCTGGAGTGGAGTCTTCCTGGAATTTCTTTTTTTAAATTATTTATTTATTTATTTTTTGGTGATGCTGGGAGGTGATGGAGCAGGGAGAAGAATTCTGCTCACTGAGTAAATGTCATCCAAAATCGACACACATTGTCATTTTATGAATCTCTAAAGAACTTATATGTGGGGTATCACTCCCTTGAAAAAGTTGAGAGGTTGGTGGGGAATATGCCCCAGGGGAAAAACCCAAAGGCAGGAGAGAAGCCCAAGGGCAGGCTGGGACAAGGAGAGGCCCAAAGCTCATGCCATAGTCAGCCGCTAAGAGCAGGCAACACAGGTGGCCTCAGTGGGTGCCTCTTCCATGTTTGGGAATCTCCAGGAAAATGTCATATTCCTTTCATGCCTCACTGTATCCATGTCAAAGGCAGCTCTTCATACACTGAATGGAAAGGAAGTGTTTCCTACTGGTTAGAAATGCAAACTCTGGAACCTGATTGCCAGGTGGGGTTCTCAGCTCCACCACTCAGCTGCGAAATCCTGAGCAGGTTAGTTAACCTTTATGCCTCCATCCTCTCATCTGTAAAATGGGAATGATAATAGTACGGTAGTTTCCCTTGTCCACAGGGGAGATGTTCCAAGATCCCCAGTGGATGCCTGAAACTGCAGATAGCACTGAACCCTAGATATACTAGGTTTTTCTCTTTTTTCTCCCAAAATGAGAAAGTGAGACATATACTAGGCTTTTTCATCTGGTCATTGAGATAGCCGCCAATGGGAAGGTAGCATATACCTTGGACAAAGGGATGGCCCAGGTCCTGGGCAGGTGGGAATGAGCATGACAGTGTGAAATTTCTTTTCTTTTCTTTCTTTCTTTTTTTTTTCTTTTTTGAGATAGAGTCTCACTCTGTTGCCCAGGCTGGAGTACAGTGGTGTGATCCCAGCTCACTGCAACCTCTGCCTGCCAGGTTTAAGTGATTGTCATGCCTCAGACTCCCAAGTAGCTGGGACTACAGATATGCACCATCACGCCGGGCTAATTTTTGTATTTTTAGTAGAGACAGGGGTTTTGCCATTTTGGCCAGGCAGGTCTTGAGTTCCTGACCTCAAGTGATCCACCTGCCTTGTCCTCCCAAACTGTTGGGATTTCAGGTGTGAGCCGCTGCGTCCGGCTGACAGTGTAAAATTTCATCATTCTAATCAGAAATGTGCTCAATTTAAAACTTATAAATTGACTATTTCAGAAATGTTCAATTTAATATTTTCAGACTGAGGGCAGCTGAAGCCACGGAAAGCCAAATCATGGGTAAGAGGAGGCTACTCTGCTCCATCACAGGGTAGTTACTGAGGCTTACATAATTATGTGAAGCACCTAAAATAATTCCCAGCAAAAAGTGTTACGTTATTATAAGTGGTATTCTCTCTTCTAAACATAAATCTTATTTTCTCTGTTTTGTGAAATGTGGCCAATATGAGAGAGAGAGTGCTCGGTAAATTAATAGAAGCTTCTCCACCTTCTCATTCATTCATTTAACATGTACCATGGTTGTATTTTTTCTTTCTTTCTTTTTTAAGTAAAAAAGCCATAGATGAGACACAACTACCCAAATATAGCTTCAGGCACAGCTTAGTTTCCTCTTGTTTCTCCTGGATCTCCAGCTGTTCTCCACAAATGTGTAATTGTCCCAGCTGCTTGCTGGAGACATCGGCCCAGTGCCTCTCCCAGGTGAATGACTGGCAGCAGCCTGGCACACTTGGGTCCCACCTGGGCACCCAGCAGGAACATTTGCATATTCCCTAGGTTTGCCTTTTGAAATTCCACACCAATAATTAAGGATTTCTAATTCTCTGGTAATTGAGTACCATTTGGGACTGATTAAGCAGATACGATCTAAATAATTATCTATTACAGCTTTGCTTTCCTTTGTGTGGGCTATGAATGACTTGTCAAAAGTGAACATCAAGTATTTCTCCCACCTGGCTCTTATTGTGTCTGATATATTCTCCCTCCTCCTCCCAACTGCTTCTCCCCCTTTCTACCCTTTCTCTGCTCTTGTCTCTCTTCCTCCCTCTCCTTCTTTTGCCACACTTTGCCACAGTCCCACACCGTGATAAAATCAACCTCCAGTGTTTCTACGGAATTCAAAATCAAATAAGCGACAGGACAATTTTTTTTTAAAACTCAGTGGTAGAATTGACTGGGTGGTTAGGTGACCCTCTTTAGAACCATCTCTATTTCACCACTTAACCCTTTTCCTGTTTAGAAAAAAGCCAGTGCTCATTTAATTTTACATAGACACACTTTTTGAGGCTGAAGCAAACTGACTGATTTTCAATGTGAAAATGAAGTATAAAAACCATTCTTGGAGTTATTTCTAAACAGAACTAACATCAGAATCTTCTGAATCATCACAATTGTCTATTTTGGAAAAATCAGATCCATCGAATGAATCTTCGGCCAACAACTATTTGAGAATGATAGCTAACATCACGTGTAGGAATGCTATGTTTTCTAGGATTTGACATTTTCGGTGATGGAGAATTACTGCATTTTGTAAATGGAAATGCTGCTACTAAAAACAGAATGCTATCAATAGAATGATGTCTCTTGTTTCCAAAGTCAATGTACTAGAGCGATGAGCAAATAATAATCAAAGTGAGATATTTCGCAGCAAAGTTATCTCGGAGTAAATGCTGTAGCCACAAGCGTGGCCAGTGAGTATTCTCAGAGCAAATGGAAAAAGCGCTAAGAAATGGTGGCAGAGGAAGTTTAAGTAACTTGCCCAACATCACACAACTACTAAATGATAGAACATGGATAACATGTATGAGAATGTGTATCAAAAACGGACCCCCTTTTCATTCAAAGTAATCCTGGGGTCCACAGGGACCCCTCCCCCACAGGCCTAAATGTCTTTTCATTCAACACTCTATCACTGCAGTGGAAGTCCCCTATGCATCCAAAGGCCAAATGCTAGGGATCCATGGTCTCTTTCACTTCCAGCAACAGCCTCTTGCTCCCTGCGGGCGGGGACCGCGTCCTATTGGCCTTCATCCACTTCTTCAGCACTCAGTTCAGTGTTCAACACATGGTAGGTCCTCTCATTTTGTGAACGAATTGAAGAGTTTTGTGAATGCATGGAAGAGTTCCTAGGGCTTCCAAATGCAGGCTGGTCCTCATTGATTTGGGTACCAGTGGGGAACATGCACACCTTAATTGTCCCATCTCTGTCTTGTCTCTAATAAGGTTGCTCACGTTCCTTCTGTCATACACTAGGGTGCCTAAATGTGCTGGGGACACAGTGGATACGCAAAAGGTTCTTGTCAGATTAGACTACTAATAGACGGCAGCTCTAGGGCAGGTGTGTGTGTGTGTGTGTGTGTGTGTGTGTTTTGTTTGTTTTGAGACAGAGTCTCGCTCTGTCACCAGGCTGGAGTGCAGTGGCGCGATCTCGGCTCACTGCAAGCTTCGCCTCCCGGGTTCATGCCATTCTCCTGCCTCAGCCTCCGGAGTAGCTGGGACTACAGGTGCCTGCCACCACGCCTGGCTATTTTTTTGTATTTTTAGTAGAGACAGGGGTTTCACCATGTTAGCCAGGATGGTCTTGATCTCCTGACCTCGTGATCTCCCCACCTCAGCCTCCCAAAGTGCTGGGATTACAGGCGTGAGCCACCACCGCGCCCGGCTTTCTTTTCTTTTTTTTTTTTTTTTGAGACAACGGAATTTCACTCTTGTTGCCCAAGCTGGAGTGCAGTGGCCTATCTCAGCTCACCACAACCTCTGCCTCCCAGGTTCAAGCGATTCTCCTGCCTCAGCCTCCTGAGTAGCTGGGATTACAGGCGCCCACCACCACGCCTGGCTAATTTTTTGTATTTTTAGTAGAAACAGGATTTCACCATGTTGGCCAGGCTGGTCTCGAACTCCTGACCTCAGGTGATCCACCTGCCTTAGCCCCGCAAAGTGCTGGGATTACAGGTGTGAGCTACCGTGCCCAGCCTAGGGCAGGTTTTTAAAAGAAAAGAAGGGTGCTTGTCTAGTCCCTCAGCTGAAGATTGTAAAGGACACCTAGCTCCCCTGCCCCACTACCCATTTGTTGGTCTCACCTGTCAGCATAGATTGTTGGTAGTAGAGTCATAGTTTCTTCAGGGGACTCACAGTCAAATGGTTGACAGCCCACTTACCTCACATTTTAGAGTCTCCAAGAATTCCTAGGCTGTGGGCAGATGATTTGACCTGACCATTCACTAACTAATTTCTAATTGTTAAAACCATCCCAGGAGCAGGAGTGAAAATTCACCAAATAGCTTTTGTTTTAGATCGGGGTGTCCAATTTTTTGGCCACATTCAAAGCTGTCCTGGGCCACATGCAGGCCACAGGCTACAGGTTGGATAAGCATGTTTTAGATAAAACCTAGCTTTAAATCAAACCTAGCTTGGAATGGTAGTCTTTTTCCATTTAATATATCTTATGTGCATATGTCTGGGCTTCAGAGGCCAAACTCGCAGATAGCTTCCTTTCAGGCACTCTCTACAATGTAGGAGGGTTGCTTTATTCATCTCTTGAAGGCTTTTTTTTCCCCATTAGTAAAATAAGGGTTTTTCTCTGAGGCCTTATCCACAAATCTAAATTTTTAAGATTCTATGATGGTGGAGGTAGGACAAGAATGAGTCGTGAGACTATAATACAGGAACACCTCATTTAAAAAAAAATGTATTTTATTTTAAGTTCTAGGATACATGTGCAGAATGTGTAGGTTTGTTAATGGGTAAATGTGTGCCATGGTGGTTTGCTGCACTTATCAACCCATCACCTAGGTATTAAGCTCCACATGCATTAGCTATTTATCCTGATGCTCTCCCTCCCCCTACCCCCCACCACAGGCCCTGGGGTCTGTTGTTTCCCTCCCTTTGTCCATGTGTTCTCATTGTTCAGCTCCCACTAATGGGTGAGAACATGCTGTGTCTGGTTTTCTGTTCCTGTGTTAGTTTGCTGAGGATGATGGCTTCCAGCTTCATCCATGTCCCTGCAAAGGACACGATCTAATTCCTTTTTATGGCTGTATAGTATTCTGTGGTGTGTGTGTACCATATTTTCTTTATCCAGCCTGTCCCTGATGGGCATTTGGGTTGATTCCACGAATACCTCATTTTACTGTGCTTTGCTTTACTGTATGTCGTAGATAATTGCATCTTTTACAAATTGAAGTTTTGGCCAGGCATGGTGGCTCATACCTGTAATCCCAGCATCTTGAGAGGCCAAGGCAGGTGGGTCGCTTGTGCCCAGGAGTTTAAGACCAACCTGGGAAACATGGTGAAACCCTGTCTCTCCAAAAAACCTAACAAACCAAAAAACAAACTGAAGGTTTGTGGCAACCCTGTATTTAGTGAGTCTATCAGCACAACTTTTCCATCTGCTCACTTCATGCCTCTGTGTCACATTTTGGTCTTGCTCTTTTGCCCAGGCTGGAGTGCAGTGGCACAATCTTGGCCCACCGCAACTTCTGCCTCCCAGGCTCAAGTGATCCTCATAATATTTCAAACATTTTTATTATTATTGTATCTGTTATGGTGATCTGTGATTATGACCCTTGGTATTACTATTGTAATCGTTCTGGGGTGCCATGAACCATGCCCACTTGAGATGCTGAACTTAATCCATCGTGTGCTTTTTTATTTTTTTTTTTTTGTTTTTTTTGAGACAGGTCTTTCTCTTTTGCCCAGGCTGGAGTGCAGTGACACAATCTTGGCTCACTGCAACTTCTGCCTGCCAGGCTCAAGTGATCCTCCCACCTCAGCCTCCCAAGTAGCTGGGACTACAGGCGTGCGCCACCATGCCTGGCTAATTTTTGCATTTTTTTAGAGACAGAGTTTCCTCTTGTTGCCCAGGCTCGTCTCAAACTCCTGAGCTCAAGTGGTTCATGTGCCTTAGAAGTGTGAGTCACCATGCCCCACCAGGAAAAGTGCTTGAAGGAAATTAAAAGTGCTACTTCACTGAACACATACATGATAAGAAAGGGAAACAGTCTTATTGCTGATAAGGAGAGGGTTTGAGTGGTCTGGATAAATGATCAAACCAGCCACAACATTCCCTTAAGCCAAAGCCTAATCCAAAGCAAGGCGTTAACTCTCTTCAATTCTGTGAAGGCTGAGAAAGCTGAGGAAGCTGCAGAAGAAAAGAGTGAAGCTGCCGGAAGTTGGTTAATGAGGTTCAAAGAAAGAACCCGGTCCATAACATAAAAGTGCAAGATGAAGCAGCAAGTACTAATGTAGAAACTGCAGCAAGTTATCCAGAAGATCTAGCTAAGATCATGGATGAAGGCGGCCATGCTAAACAATAGATTTTCCATGTAGACGAAATATTGGAAGAATATTTTGATTCTACTGAAAGTTTCTATTGGAAGAAGATGCCATCCAGGACTTTCTTTCCTAACGAGGAGTAGCCAATGCCTGGCTTCAAAACTTTAAAGGACAGGCTGACTCTCTTGTTGGGGGCTAATGCAGCTGGTGACTTTAAGTTGAAGCCAATACTCATTTACCATTCCAAATATCCTAGGCCCTTAAAATTAATGATAAGTCTACTCTGCCTGTACTCTATAAATGGGACAATTCCTGGATGACATTGGTTTACACCATAATTTACTGAATATTTTAAGCCCAATATTGAGACCTACTGCTCAGAAAAAGATTCCTTTCAAAATATTTCTGCTCATTTACAGTGTACCTAGTCACTCAAGAGCTTTGGCCAAGATGTACAAGGAGATTAATGTTGTTTTCATACCTGCTAACACAACATCCATTCTGTAGCCCATAGATCCAGGAGTTATTTAATTATTTTGGCTTTCAAGCCTTATTATTTAAGAAACACATATCATAAGGCTATAGCTGTCATAGTGATTTCTCTTATGGATCTGGGCAAAGTACACTGAAAACTTCTGGAAAGAATTTACCATTCTAGATGCCATTAAAAATATTCATGATACTTGGGAGGCCGAGGTGGGCAGATCACAGAGGTCAGGAGTTCAAGACCAGCCTGGCCAACAGAGTGAAACCCCGTCTCCACTAAAAATACAAAAAATTAGCTGGGTGTGGTGACGGGCACCTGTAATCCCAGCTACTCGGGAGGCTGAGGCAGGAGAATCACCTGAACCCGGGAGGTGGAGGTTGTGGTGAGCTGAGATCGCACCATTGCACTCCAGCCTGGGCGACAGCGTAAGACTCCAACTCAAGAAAAAAAAAAAATCATGATTCATGAGAGTAGGTAAAAATATTAACGTTAATATGAGTTTGGAAGAAGTTAATTCCAACCCTCATGGATGACTTTGAGAGATTCATGATTTGGGTAGAGGAAGTAACTGCAGATGAATGGAAATAGCAAGAGAACTAGAATTAAAAGTGAAGCCTAAAGATTGACTGAATTGCTGCAATCTCATGATAAAACACGAATGGATGAGGAGTTGCTTCTTATGGATGAGCAAAGAAAGTGTTTTTTTGAGATGGAGGCTATTCCTGGTAAAGATGCTGTGAACACTGTTGAAGTGACAACAAAGGATTTAGAATGTTACATAAACTTAGTTGATGGAGCAGCGGCAGGGTTTGAGAGGATGGACTCCAGTTTTGAAAAAAGTTCTACTGTGGGTAAATTGCTATCAAACAGTATTGCATGTTACAGAGAAACCCTTCGTGAAAGGAAGAGTCAGTCAGTTAATGCAGCAAACTTTATTGTCTTATTTTGAGAAATTGCCACAGCCACCCCAACCTGCAGCAATCACCACCTTGATCAATCAACAGCCAACAACATCGAGGCAAGACCCTCCACCAGCAAAAAAGATTACAACCTGCTGAAGTCTCAGATGATATTAGCATTTTTGCGGTAAAGTATTTTGTTATTATTATTATTGTAGAGATGGGGGTCTCGCTTTGTTGCTCATGCTGGTCTTGAGCTCCTGGGCTCAAGCAGTCCTCCTTCCTTGGTCTCTCAAAGTGCTGAGATTACAGACCTTAACCACCTCACCCAACCCACAATAGAGTATTTTTAATTAAGGTATGTACATTGTTATTTTAGACATGATGTTATTGCACACTTAATAGACTACGCTATAGTATAAACATAATTTTTATATGCACTGGGAAACCAAAAAATGTGTGCGACTCATTTTATAGTGATATTCCCTTTATTATGGTGGTCTGGAATCAATCTTGGAATAGCTCTGAGGTATGCCTGTATAGCGATGGGCCAGAAATTTGACTACATAGAAGCCAATTCATAGGAGATACAGGCTGGAGAGGATCCAGCTATACGGTGGGATGAATAAATAAGAGTGAATGGGCCGGGTGTGGTGGCTTACGCCTATAATCCCAGCACTTTGGGAGGCTGAGTTGGGTGGATCACCTGAGGTCAGGAGTTCGAGACCAGCCTGGCCAACATGGCAAAACCCTGTCTCTACTAAAAATACAAAAATTAGCCGGGTATGGTGGCAGATCCCTATAATCCCAGCTACTTGGGAGGCTGAGGCAGGAAGAATGGCTTGAACCTGGGAAGGGGAGGTTGCAGTAAGCCGAGACCATGCCACTGCACTACAGCCTGGGTGACAGAGCGAGACTCTGCCTCAAAAAAAAAAAAAAATGGAAATAGTCAAGAGTAGAAGAAACTAGAAGGGATTCAGAGATTCAGGGTAACAGGGTAGGCAGTAGGCACTGGGGACAGGGGTATGTGGAATGTGATGTAGATTAGGCCCTAAGAGGATGGAAAAGTTCCTGAGATTAGGCAGACGCTCCAAGCAGCACCTTTGAACTGCGGTCATCAAACTCGGGTACCCAATAGAACTACCTGGGAAGATTTTTAAAAATATAGATCCCGCTATCCCCACCCCTGGGGATTCAAATCTAGCAGATCTCATGAAACTGTTTTAAAATATAAGCCCCACGTATTCTCATGAACCAGCCTGACTTTGAGTCCAATGTTAAAGCTGGTGTTGAGGGGGCTTCTACTGGGTAGTGGGCGGAGTTCTGGGAATAAAGGCACCCACTCATCTAGGGGTGAAGCAGGGCTCATGCTTCAGGAGAGGAAGGCTGGATCCTCTTGCAGAGCATCTGTAATGTGTCAGTTTGTAGAAATCGTGTACTTTCAGATTATTTGCCCTCTGGTTGATTATTTTGCCTGAGTATGAGGATTTGGAGGTGGCACTGAGGGGGTACTGCATAGTTCCAAGAGGTGCTGTCTTGCGTCTTAGAAGATAGCATCCCAAATCACCTTTTTTTTTTTTTTTTTTTTTGAGACAGAGTCTAGCTCTGTCACCAGATGGAAGTGCAGTGGTGCAATATTGGCTCACCGCAACCCTATGCCTCCCGGGCTCAAGTGATTCTTCTGCCTCAGCTTCCTGAGTAGCTGAGACTACAGGTGCACGCCACCACGCCTAGCTAATTCTTGCATTTTTAGTAGAGACGGGGTTTTACCATGCTGGCCAGGATGATCTTGATCTCTTGACCTTGTGATCTGCCCGCCTCGGCCTCCCACAGTGCTGGGATTACAGGCATGAGCCACTGTGCCTGGCCCACCTTAAGAGGCAGAAAAACAGAGGCATTAAGAGTACAGACTGGAGCCAGGATACCTGGACTTGTAGCACATCTGGGGTTGCCAATTTAGCAAATAAAAGTACAGGATACCCAGTACAATCTCAGTGTCGTGTTTTATCTGGCAGCCCTAATCCCAGCTCCAGCACTTATTAGCCGTGTAACACAGTGCACTGCTGAACATCTCTGTACCTCAGCTTCCTCCTCTGTAAAGTGGGGATAATAGTGCCCATCTTATAACATTGCTAAAGGGTTATGAGTTAAGCATGTTCAGTGCTTCGGACAGTGCCTAAGTGCTGGATAAATATTAGATTCTACCATTATTTGATGGTGCCCCTCCAATGTTTTCATTACAACACCAGGTTAGGGGCAGGCTGTTAAGAGTTCTTAAAGTTGCAACAATATTATTTCCTTTACCCCCAAATAACGTGATCCAGGGTTCACTTTCTTTATGGGCCAATGGGATACATAGAATAGGAATGTACATGGTCAAAAGCTGCATCACTAATTCTGACTGGAGGTCTTTCTAGTTCCTACCTTTTATCCACAAGGTGAAGTGACTAGCCTAGACTGTGGCTAGCTCACAGCACCCCACCAACTGGTGGAGATTAGCCATCCCCATCGAATATTTTGCAGATAGTGAGTAGTGACTGCTTATGCATCAGAAACAAACAAAAAGTAGAATTTACATGGTCAAAGCCTTTAGGATTAATTCAATCACAAGCATAAAACTTTTGCAATGACAGATGTTACACATCTGCACCATCCAATATGACATCCACTAGCCACATGTGGCTATTTAGCACAGAGAATGTAGCTAGAACAACTGAGATATTGAATTTTTAATCTAGCTACATGTGGTGAGTGGCTACCATTTTGGACAACACAGGAAAGGAAGCATCTGGAATCCAGAAAGGTAAAATAAGTTTCCCCAGGTCTTACAGTCAATTGTTTATAAGGCTGGGCCTAGGATTCATGTCTCCTGACTCCTTTTTCAGTGCTCTTTCATTCTGGAGCACTTAAGAATAAATGCCACACGTAGAGAGGCAACTCTCCTACCTAGAAAGCCTTGTAACATTAAATTAGATTACCGGGCAGTCTTAGCTCGAAAGCCCGGAGAACATTATCAGGAACAAGAAGGATAAGATGCAGAAATGCAGCCTGCAGAGTTACAGACATTTCTTAAGGCTCTAATCCTCAGATAAACAGCTCTGCTCTTTCATCTTCTCTGGATGACACCTCCTTTGTTAAAGCTGTCAAACTCTGTGACAGCTTAAGCCCCACTGACTACATTAGAGGGCATGTTGCAGAGGGGCCAACCTGGATAGGTCACAGCCCCATGTGCACTGAGCCTGCTCTGCTCCATCAGCACAGACCCCTTATGCCCCATTCCTAGGGACCCCATCTGGGTGGGGTAGGATAAGGCTTCTCATTGAGAGCAGGGGATATGGTAAAGCAATGTGCTCTGAAGATAGCAGGGCTGCCTGGGTTCGAATCCCAGCTTGGCCACTTACTGCAATGCAAGCTGGGTAACCTTGGGCAAGTAACTTGACCTGTCTGGGCTTCTGTTTCATCATCTATAAACAGGAGACAATAGCCATGCCTATTGCATCAGGTTGTTGTCGGATTAAAAGAGTAATACATGTAGAGCACATAGAACTATGTCTGGCCCACAGAAAAAACACTTGATAAACACTAGCTGTTTTTAGAGTGGGCCTTAACAAGGAAGTTGTGGTTGGAGAGAAGGCAGAACACAGGCTGGATCTGGCAGATGACTTTGAGCAAGTTGCTTAATGTTTCTGTGGGTCAGCATTTTTTAGGTCTAAGTTATAGTGAGAACACTGGGACTCCCATAGTAGGAGGATAATAGAGAACAGCAAAGAAGGAATTAAAGGAACAATAATATTTTTGTGTGACTATGAGTTGTTCTTTTTTTTAAATTTTTCTTTTTTTGAGATGGAGTCTCATTCTTTCACTGAGGCTGCAGTGCAGTGGCGCGATCTCAGCTCCATCACTGCGACCTCCACCTCCTGGGTTCAAATGATTAACTATGAAGTGTTATAAAAACTTTCTTTCCTAGATCGAGAGCATCCTGTCTAACACGGGTCTCTAATAAAAATGCAAAAACAAAATTAGCCAGGCGTGGTGGCGGGCGCCTGTAGTCCCAGCTACTCAGGAGGCTGAAGCGGGAGAATGGTGTGAAGCCGGGAGGCGGAGCTTGCAGTAAGCCGAGATCACACCACTGCACTCCAGTCTGGGTGACAGAGCAAGACTCCGTCTCAAAACAAACAAACAACTTTCTCTCCTAATAATATTTTCAGGGGAGCCCTACTCTTCCATGTCAGGGCAGCGGCTACATTTGTATGTCAGGATCACAGGCTCTTTCAGAATCTATTGAGATCCTGGAGTCTAAAGAACATGAATAGGGACCCACAGGGCAAATCCAGGCTGCAAGTGTGTCTTGCTTGGCCTGTAGTGAGGACCCAAACAGTATTTTAAAAATGTTTAATTAGTTGCCAACATTTGAAAAAACAGGAGATTTCACATTTTAAAAATCCAGGTTTCCAGTTTCTCTTGCAAAATCAGATAACATGGTAGCATCGGCCCAAACTCAAGCCAGGCAACAACTGGCTGGCGCAAAGTGCAGGCCCTCGGGGCCGTGACATTACCTACCTGGCCCACCTCATTCTGTGTGCTCTGCCTGCGTGTCCCCAGATCTAGTCCCACCCTTCCCTTCAATGATGGGAAAACGGAGGGACCCAGTTTCCCAGCCCTCAGGCCAGTGCCCCTTCCTTTACACCTGTGGTTCTCAAACTTGAGACAGCATCAGAATCGCCTGGAGGACTTGCTGAAACACATTGCTGGGCCCACTCCCAGAGTTTCTGATTCAGTGGGTTTGCATTTCTGGTAAGCTCCCAGGGATGCCGATGCTGCTGGTCCAGGGCTGTACTTTCAGAGCTACTGTATTGCATCAAACCACTTTTTTTTTTTTTTTTTTTTTGAGACGAAATTTCTCTCTTGTTTCCCAGGCTGGAGTGAAACGGCACGATCTCCACTCACTGCAACCTCTGCCTCCCTGGTTCGAGAGATTCTCCTGCCTCAGTTCCCGAGTAGCTGAGATTACAGGCGCTCACCAGCACGCCCGGCTAGTTTTTGTATTTTAGTAGAGACGGGGTTTCATCATATTGGTCAGGCTGGTCTCAAACTCCTGACCTCAAGTGATCCACCTGCCTTGGCCTCGCAAAGTGCTGGGATTACAGGCGTAAGTCACCGCGCCCGGCCTAAACCACTTTAGATTTGAGAATTCTGGTTTTGGTCTCCTTGGTTCTGCCCCTCTTTCCCCATTGTCTTTGGTTTGCTTGCTGTTTTCTTCATCTTTGTTTCTTCTTAGCCATTCTTTTATCCCCGCCCTTGCTTTTCGAGGTTGTCTTTTTTCCAGAAGTCAGCTGCGGGGGTGTCTTGAGCCCCCACCCCCGTAACCTGCCTTAGCAGCCCCTCAGTACCCCTTTCTGCGGCCCAGCCTCTCCCCCAGTCACCCCCTAGGAAAAAGCGTGCCCGGGAGCCCAGCTGCTCCCTCCTGCTCCAATGCTCCTGGGGGCAAATGACCATCCCTCTGTCCAGCCCAGAACGACAGGGCTGGGACTGAGAGCCTCAATCCTCCTCCAGGGAAGCCTTGTGCCTGCCTGGGCCGCTGCGGGGTTCGGGTGCCAGCATCTTCGCGGATGTTGGCATCTTCGTAATCACAGCGGTCACGTCGCCGTCATTCAACCCTTTCTGTCGTCAGGTGCCCAGCCACTCCCTGGGGGCGCCTGCAGCCCAGACGCCCGGCAGCCTCTCCAAGCCACGGAGGATGACTGGACTGCGGCTCCGCGGGAAGATGAAGGCGACCACTGTCTTTATAGAGGAGTTGTCTCTTATCCTCCAGGGAACCAGAAATAGGCAGGTCGACCAGGCGTCGGCCCCTCCGCCTCCGCCTGGCCCTGTGCTCCCCGGGGCCCAGCGCCCCGAACACAACCCCAGGGACTCACGGCATTTGATGTGGCCCCCAGCGGCCCGCAGCTCCAGCCACGTTTGGGCGGGATCCGGCTGTTCGCGGGTCGGGCCGCCCAACCTGCCAATCCGCAGCTGCCGCCTGCCCCCAGGCAGGCCCGATTACTGGTTTTGCACCTGGAAGGGGCCCCAACCCGGCTTTGGTGAGACTCTATCTCCCAGGTGGTGCAGGAGTGGCTGCGGTGTCTGGGGCAAGGGGAAACCCCAGGTAAACTCTAACAACCAAGAAGGAGGCAGGCGAGAACTTTTTTCGGGGCAGGGAGAAGAGGAGGCAGAGGTGGGGAGGGGAGGGGAGATGAGTGCTGTTGCTGGGGACTTGGCGCCTTCTCACGTGGCTTCCCAGGCCACCATCAATAGCAGGGGCAAAGCATGCATCTTGCCACTCCACCTGTACCGAGTTTGGCCAAGTCACTGGCAGAGCTAGGCTTTGATGTTCTCCATTCTCCCCTGTGCCAGAAGGAAGGCACCCACTGCCTCTCGTGTTTTCGCTTTGCCTCCTGCCTGCCAACCAAAGGTGAAAGGGGAAGATTTTGGAGTCCGAATGCCGGGAGCCCTTGGTTGCCACTAGTTTCTTAGGCAGCTCTTCTGCTCTGCCTGCTGCTGAGCACACAAGTCCAAGGGCACACTGACCTTCAGGAGAGCAAGGAAGCATGAATCCTACAAAAAGGAGTATAGGGAGAAGAGCAGATGGCAGACTGGGGCCTGGGGGCCTCCTGCTACAGAATTTACCTAATCCACCCAGATTTCATATAATAAAAATTGCTGCTGTTTGAATGTTCACTGTTCCCCCAGACACTATGCTAAGGGCATGACTTGCTTTCTCTCCTTGAATCCTAGCAGTCCTATAAGATCCCCATTGTACAGATGAGGACACTAAGGCTTAGAAAGGGTTAAGTACTTACCCATAGTAGATAAGGGTGGGAGGAAATTTAAACTCATGCTGACTGACCCTGGAGTCCACTGTTGAACCTTTTATTATCTGGCCTTCTAAAGAGTGGTCTGGCCTCAATGGACAGGTGGAATCAAGAGAAGGCCAGGATTTCCAGGGAGGGAGAGGCTGGATGAGCTTCACTGGCCCTGAATAAAATAAAACTATTTTTTTCCTTTTTAAGGAATAGAATAAGAGCACACTTAATGGCCAAATATTCCAACATTTTCAGGCCCATCCTGATTTCCAAGAGTCCTGGTGTGCTCATTAATCATGAAAATATCTTGGACAAATTGGTTTCTGGGGCCCAAATTGCCACTTAGACTCCTCACAGTTGGAAGCAACATGAAACTTACCTGTTGGTCTGTGAGTCCCATCTTTTGACATAAAAATGGCAGTTTCCTGTCTCATAGGAGCTCTCCCTCTGTCAACAAAAGGTGGAGAAAGAAATGGTCCCATTTTCATTTCACCATAACTCAGAGGAATTTTTTATGATGATAAATTGAGGTTTCCTAAAAGCTGACAGCTTTTCTTTGTTTCCTTTGTATTGTCCTGATTTCCCTGAAGTGATTTGCAAAAACATCCTGAGAATTAAAAGGGAGCTTACAGATTATATCATCCAACTCCTAATTTTACGGGTAAAGACAATGAAGCCAAGAAAAAAAGTGACCAGCCCAAGGTTGCAGTTAGACACCGGTCAAGGTAGAGCTAGAACCCGAGGGGTGGGGGCAGGACGTCTCAGTCCTCGGGCCTCTGCACTGGGTGAAATGCAAAAGGTCCTTGTTATTGTTCCATGGGGAAAAGTGGGGTGAGACTGTGAGGCTGTGGGTGTGTCGATCTGAGGACCCCAGTGGGTAGGGAAGGCTGTGACAGCTAGAGAAAGGAGAGGAGCCCTGGGAGAAGGAAGGGAAGCCAAAGAAACTCACTGGGCCACAGAGGCCACCAGAAGCCATGTGTGCCACCAGCAGGTAGAGACAGCAGTCACTCAGGACTCTCACAAGAATAGTCTCTATTGTGCAGGGAACTCGGCTCAGGTACAAGGCACTCCCTGTCAGCCCCACTTTAATCTGAAGATCCCTCCATTCTCAAAACACTCACCCCAGGTTATGTCCTTCCGACCCCCAGTCCTCCTTTCATCCTTCTGTTTCAATGATGAGGCTGCCTGCAGCCTCCCCTTTGGACACTGGATGAGAGAAATTTCCTTTTTTTTCTTTTATTTTTAGTTGGCATGTAATCATTGTACATATTTATGGACTACAGAGTGATATTTTGATGCATGTATACAATGTGTGATGATCAAATTAGGGTACTTAGCATATCCATTACCTCAAACATTTATCACTTCTGTGTGCTGGGAGCAGTTCAAATCCTCTCTTCTAGCTTTCCGAAAATAAAAAATAAATTACTGATAACCTTATTCATCCTGCAGTGCCATGGAGAACTAGAACTTATTCCTCCTGTCTAGCTGGAATTTTATATCCATTAACCAACCTCCCCCTCTCCCTCTTTCTCCCTACCAGCCTCTAACAACCACAATTTTAACTCTCTACTTTCATGAACTTTTTAAAAAGAGCTTCCACATGGCCAGGCGCGGTGGCTCATGCCTGTAACCCCAACACTTTGGGAGGCTGAGGCGGGTGGATCACAAGGTCAGGAGTTGGAGACCAGCCTGGCCAACATGGTGAAACCCCATCTCTACTAAAAATACAAAAATCAGCTGGGCATGGTGGTGTGTGCCTGTAATCCCAGCTACTCAGGAGGCTGGGGCAGGAGAATCGCTTGAATCCGGGAGGCAGAGGTTGCAGTGAGCCAAGATCACGCCACTGCACTCCAGCCTTGGCAACAGGGCGAGACTCCATCTCCGAAACAAAAAAGAGAGCTCCCACATATGAGTGAGAACATGCGGTATTTATCTTTCTCTGCCTTACCTGAACAAATATATTTTCTGAACTTTTATTTTAGGTTCACAGGTGCATGTGCAGGCTTGTTATATAAGTGAATTGCATGTCACAGGAATTTAGTGTACAGATTAAGGAAATACATTTCTATTGAAGCCCTGGTCACAGGCCTCTGGCTTCTACCCTCAAGTTTCTCTTATAGAGCCATGATCTTTCCTAGGGGTTGGGGAGTGGTTAGCAGAATCTAGAAGGAAGGATGTCACTGATTACAAAGCAGAGAAGAAACTGATGTTGAGAGTAACCCACCATGTTCCATTCTCCACTTACAAGGAGAATTAGTGTTCACCATGATATGCCACAAAAACAAAACAAAATAAAAAGTGGCTCTTTCAAGATCAAAATGGAAGTTTCTCCAGAAATTATCCATTTTGATATTTTTGGTCAAGAATGAGTGATTTACATTTTTAACATCAAGAATGGTATGAGCTTTTAAAATGTTTATATAAAAAAAGGAATGTGATATGTTTTAAAAGATTTAGAAGCACAGCTTTAGCTAGTCAGGTCCCTTAGGGTCACTGCGTATGGCTTTTCCTTCCTCCAGCTGTTCTTGCTACTCATTTGGAAACTTAGAATTATGTATCAGCAAAGAAATGATAAATGTTTGAGATGATGGATATGCTAATTACCTTGATCTGATCACTAGACATTATATATATCAAGACATCACTGTATACAATATAAACATATACAATTAGTATGTGTCAATTAAGAAAACAATACACAATAAAAGGCTTGTGTATTGTTAAGATTGCCTAGATTATACTGCGGTGACAAAAACTCCCAAGTTTCAGCAACTTAAGAGAGAAATCAGAACACTTTTCTTAAAGGGCCAGATACTAAATATGTTCTGCTTTGCAGGCCAGTTTCGTTTTGTTTCCTTTTTCTTTTCTCTTTTCTTTTCTTTTCTTTCTTTCCTTTCTTCCTTCCAGTTTTTCTTTTCTCCTTCCATCCTTTCTTCTCTCTCTCTCTCTTTCTTTCTCTGTCTCTTTTTTTTTTTTTCTTTTCAGAGTGCAGTGGCTCCATCTTGGCTCATTGCAACCTCTGCCTCCTGGGCTCAAGCGATCCTCCCTCCTCAGCCTCCCGAGTAGCTGGGACTACCACCATATGCAGCTAATGTTTGAATTTTCTGTAGAGATGAGGTTTCACCACGTTGCCCAGGCTAGTCTCAAATTCCTGGGCTCAAGCTATCAGGCCACCTGCGCCCTCTAAAGTACTGGGATTACAGGTGTGAGCCACTGCATCAGGCCAAGCCAAACAGTTTTTGTAGCAGCTACTTAACACCACCTTGGTAGTGTGAAAACAGACATTATGTAAATGAATAGTTGTGGCTGTGTTCCAATAAAACTTTATTTATAAATACCACTAGCCCTCGGGCATAGTTTACCAACCCTTGGCTTAAAATAATAAAGGCCTACTTCATGCTTGTGCTCTATGTCCATCAGGGATTGGGTGATGGGTAATGGCTCTGTTCTACATTACCGTCATCCTTAAGCCAGGACCAGTTTGATGGAGGAGCCTCTATAGGGCACATTGCTAATCGCCTCAGCAGAAGGAGAGGAACTGGCAAAGTATGCACTGGTCTTGAAAGCTTCTGCCCAGATGTGGCACACAGCTATTACTGCCCAAATCAAGTCACGTGGCCCCAACCATGTTCAACAGAGCAGGAAAGTACAATCTACCATGTGTTAAAAGAAGAGAGAACCAAACATCTGTAAACGGCTGTGGTAGTTACCATAGAATGCATAGTTGTGGGTTAACAAAAATCTCTACTTTGCCTGGAAAAATTCAGTCATTCCGCCTATATTCATTGAATGCCTGTAGTTTGCCAAGGACTGAAGATACTGAGACACTTTACAGGTTGTACCTGCCAAAAAGATACAATCAGTGTTGTAAGAATGGATAGGGTAAAAGAAACCCATTTTTAAAAAATGGCTAAAAAAAGGAGGAAAACACATTTAAAAAGCAGTGGTGCCCCAAGATAAGAGAAATGTATATGATTGATTGCCAGATAGATAGATAGCAAAAAGACTGGAAAGAAGTTCACCAAAATATTGGCAGTGGCTAGTTCTAGCAAACCGGCCAGTTAGGATTACTTCAGTTTGTTCTTTATGCTTTTTGGTATCCTTCAGTTTTTCTTCAATGATTAAACATTAATTTCATTATAAGATTTACTTTTATAAAGAGAAAAGGAGTGCCTCCAATTTTCATCATGATAGAGGAGCTTACATCAGTCTAACCCTCCCAGAGACTACAATGGTAAACTCTGGACAAATTGCACTTACAATTTGAAGGCATGGAAAAATGGCCCAAAGCAAGCAGAAACTGGAAGGGATTTGACTAATGGAAAAAAGGGGAGCATATTGTATGAGATTCACATAATATGTTTTTTCCTTTACAGGACCCCAAGTCTGTGTGGCGCAGAGTAACTACAATTCAAGAAGAACATCTTGGTCTTACTGGCTTGGGGTATCAGAGGACAACATTCAGAGCTGCCAAAGTGTCTGGAAAGTGAGGGAAGGAACTTATCCCATAAATACAGGTGCCACAGCAAAGGGAGCCCCCAAAATCTGCATTTAAATTCTTGGTTAACCCTTGAACTGCACACGTATTGTGGAGACTCCAAGGAACCTAGCAGAAAGCAAAAACTGAAAGGCTATCAGAACTGAAAGGAGATATCCCCAACTTCCGCTCACTATAGACTAGAAAGTTTGGAGTTTCAATCCTACCAAATTAGAGAGGCTTGGTAAACACCCAGGGCTTTCCACAGACCTACATAAGTGTAAAACTAAGCCCCCACAATTCAAGTTAATTATCTAGTAACTTAACTGACTGCTAGAATAAATATCAACATACTTCAGAGAAAAACAACATAATCTAGAGTCTCTACAATGTCTCATCCACAATTTCTAGTACATAATAGAACATCTGTTAGACATGTGAAGACAAAAAGGAATATGTAACCCATAGTGAAAAAAAAATCAGGCAATAGAAACAGACTATGAGATGTCATAGTTGTTACAACTACGAGATGACATAGTTGTTAGAGTTAGCAGACAAGGACTTTAAGGTAGATGTTTTAAAATATGTTCAAGGACTTACAGGAAAAGGTGATCACAGTGAGTAAACAGAAAGACAAACTCAGGGAAATGGAAATTACAAATAAGAACCAGGTGGACATTCTAGTCCTGAAAATTGTAACATCTGAAATAACGAAAATTCACTAATTGGTTGGACTTAACAGCAGATTGGTGATGAGAGAAGAAAAAGTAAATGAAACATAAAGATGAGTCAACAGAAATAATCCAATCTGAAAACAGACCAAAAAAATGACTTTCAAAAATTGAAACAGAGTTTCGGTGATCTTTGGACAATATCTAGCAGCCCAAGACATGTGTGATTAGAGCCTCTGAAGGAAATAAGAGATAATGAGGCAGGAAAAAAGACTGGGCAAAAAATGGCTTAAAAAATCTCCAAATTTGGTTAAGAAAAAAAATCAATTTTCAGACCCCCCAAAAATCAAAGTACATAGCTGGGCATGGCAGCTCACACCTGTAATCCCAGCACTTTGGGAGGCTGAGGTGGGTGGATCTCCTGACGTCAGGAGTTTGAGACCAGCCTGGCCAATATGGCAAAACCCTGTCTCAACTAAAAATACAAAATTAGCTGGCTTGGCGGTGGGAGCCTGTAATCCCAGGTACTCAGAAGACTGAGGCAGGAAACTAGCTTGAACCCGGGAGGCGGAGGTTGTAGTGAGTGAAGGTTGCGCTGAGACACGAAGCCAGCTGGACTTCTTGGGTGGAGTGGGGACTCGGAGAACTTTTCTGTCTTACAAGAGGATTCACTCTGTAGCTAGGATTGTAAAACACACCAATCAGCACTCTGTAGCTAGCAAGAGAATTGTAAAATGCACCAATCAGTGCTCTGTAAAATGCACCAATCAGTGCTCTGTAAAATGCACCAATCAGCGCTCTGTAAACGCACCAATCAGCAAGAGTCTAAAAGTAGCCAATCGCGGGGAGGATTGAAAAAAGGGCACTCTGATAGGACAGAAACAGGACATGGGCGGGGACAAACAAGGGAATAAAAGCTGGCCACCACAGCCAGCAGCAGCAACTGGCCCAGGTGCCGTTCCCTGCTGTGAAGGTTTGTTCTTTCTGTCTTCACAATAAATCTTGCTGCTGCTCACTTTTTGGGTCTGTGCCACCTTTAAGAGCCTGTAACATTCACCCTGAAGGTCGGTGGCTTCATTCTTGAAGTCAGTGAGACCAGGAACCCACCGGCAGGAACCAACTCCGGACACAGCGCCACTGCACTCCAGCATGGGCGACAGAGCAAGACTCAGTAAATAAATAAAACAAAAAAAGCATGCACGCACAAAGCAACAAAAACGTTTCAAAGAACATCTTGAAATCAGCCGGGAAGGAGAAAAACACACCAAACGATGATATAATTGATGATGATCTTCTGATAACAAAAAACAGGCTTTAAAACAAGGGAATGGGATCCGTAAGATTTAAGAGTGAGAGAGAGAATAAAACTTCTGAAAACATTTCTGTTTTATACCAACGAAAATACCATTTTAAAATGAGGGTCAAGTAATGCCATTTGCAGATAAATGAAAGATGAATTTGTTACCAGCAGAGCTACATTAAGACAAATGATAAAGAAGTTCTTTTGGCCAAAGGAAACTGACATCATATGAATTTGAGACACAGAGAAGAAAAAATAACATAGGAAACGTTAAATATGTGGGTAAGTACAAAAGACTGCATCTTTCCTTGGTTTCTTTAAAATGAATACTTTTGTGAAAAACATAGTATTATAAGATTTCAAATATGGAAATTAAAATATGGCAGAAGTTGCACAAAGGATAAGAGATGATAGATAAAATTTACAGTTACAAAACTTTAACATTTTTCTCATGAATTCGTACAATATTAATGAACAGTAGACTATGTTAAAGATGGATATGGTACTGTCTAAAACAACCACTAAAAACGATCCAACAAGTATAGTTAAAAAGCCAGCAGAATTAAAATGAAACACTAAAAAAAAAAATGATTAACTGAAAAGAAGGTAGGAAAGAAGGAACACAAAAACAGCAACAACAAAAAAAAAACAAGAAATTAATAGAAGACAAACAGCAAAATGACATACTTAGGAACCTAACAATATCTATATTAGATTATGGGTAGACTAGGCTGGGCATGGTAGCTCAACGCCTGCAATCCCAGCACTTTGGGAGGTTGAAGTGGGTGGATAACCTGAGGTCAGGAGTTCGAGAGCAGCCTGACCAACATGGTGAAACCCCGTCTCTACTAAAAATACAAAAAATTAGCCAGGCGTGGCAGCGGGTGCCTGTAATCCCAGCTACTCGGGAAGCTTGAGGCAGGGGAATCACTTGAACCTGGGAAGTGGAGGTTGCAGTGAGCCGAGATAGTGGCATTGCACTCCAGCCTGGGCAACAAGAGCAAAACTCCGTCTCAAAACGAAACAAAACAAAACAAAACAACAAAGAAAAAAATACAGATAGACTAAACTTACCAATGTAAATCCAGAGATTGTCAGAATGGTTAAAAAAAGCAGTCTCAAGTATATACCAACTAAAAGTAATACACTTAAAATGTAAAAACACGGGTAGCTTTCAAGTAAAAGAATGAGGAATATATACCATATATTCTGTAAGCATATAAAAACTAGTATGATTATGTTAATACTAGAAAATTTGACTTCAAGACAAAACTTCAATATTAGCAAGAATAAAGGACATTTAATAGTGATAAAGGGGTCAATTCATCAAGAAGACAAAACAATCTTAAATGTATGTGCATCTAATAATAGAGTTAGTGAAATAAAAACTGATAGAACTAAAAGGATAAATTGATAAATGTATAATCAGAGGTCAAGATTTTTAACACCAACTCTCAGCCATCAACAGAATAACGAGGCAATAAATTAGTCAAGATAGAGATTTGAACATTATCAATTAACTTGTCCCAATTGTCATTTATATAACACTCTATCCAACTACAACAGAATCACATTATTTTCAAGTGCACATGGAATTCACCAACATAGAGCATGTACTAGGCCATTAAATAGGTTTCCATACATTTTTTTAAATTGAAATATTACAGAATATATCTGTGACCACATGGAATTAAATTAGAAATCAATAACAATAAAACAGAAAAACCAAAGTATGTGGAACTTAAACAATACGTTTTCATTTAATTTAATTATTTAAAAATTTTTTATTTTATTTTAGATTCAGGGGGTACATGTGTATGTTGGTTGAATGGGTATATTGTATGCTGGTGGGGATTGGGCTTCTAGTGTACCCGTTACCCAAATAGTGAACATTGTACTGGATAAGTAATTTTTCTTTTTTTTTTTTTGAGACGGAGTCTCACTCTGTTGCCCAGGCTGGAGTGAAGTGGCGCAATCTCGGCTCACTGCAAGCTCCGCCTCCTGGGTTCATGCCATTCTCCTGCCTCAGCCTCCCTAGTAGCTGAGACTACAGGCGCCTACCACCATGCCTGGCTAATTTTTTGTATTTTTAGTAGAGACAAGGTTTCACCGTGTTAGCCAGGATGGTCTCGATCTCCTGACCTCATGATCCGCCCGCCTTGGCCTCCCAAAGTGCTGGGATGACAGGCGTGAGCCACCGCGCCCGGCCAGGATAAGTAATTTTTCAACCCTTGCTTCCCTCCTAGCCTCCCCTCCCTTAAAGTCCCCAGTGTCTATTATTTCCATCTTTAGGTCCATAAACAATACATCTTTAAAACAATCCATGGATTAAGGAAGAAATCACAGAAAATCTAGAAAATATTATGAAGCAAGTGAAAATATAATCACAAAATATCAAAATTTTTTGGATTTACCTAAAGGAGTGCAATTTAAAAACAATTATCTAAGTTTGTGCTTTAAGAAACCAGATAAAGAGAGAAATTAAACCCAAAGTAAGCAGAAAGAAGGAAATGTTTTAAAAGCAGAAATAATTGAAATACAAAACAGACAATAAAGAAAATTAATAAAGCCAAAGTTTAGTTCTTTGAAAATATTAATAAAGTCGATAAATCCTACTAAGTTTGCTTTCAACCGTTTATAATAGCAAAAAATATGATAATCAGCCTGGCTAACATGGTGAAACCTTGTCTCTATTAAAAAGACAAAAAAAATTGCCAGACGTGGTGGTGGGTCCCTGTAATCCCAGCTACTCGGGAGGCTAAGGCAGGAGAATTGCTTGAACCCCAGAGGCAGAGGTTGCAATGAGCCAAGATCATGCCACTGCCCTCCAGTCTGGGTGACAGAGTAAAACTCCATCTCAAATAAATAAATATATGTGTGTGTGTGTGTGTGTGTGTGTGTGTGTATATATATACATATATATATACACATACATATATATACACATATATACGTGTATATATATATATGTATATACACACACACATTTGAAACGTTAATAAGAGATTAAGTAATAATTCATAGCCCATCCATAGGACGGAATACCATATAACTGGGAAAAAGTATAGTGTCAATGGATACTTGATGGTATTGAAAAATGATTATGTTTTGTGTAAATCAAGGTGTGATTACAAAACAATATCTGATGCTTGATCTCAATCTTAGAAAAAGACAAATATTCATTTAAAAAACATTAGAAGGATGTAGGCTGTTTACTAACAATAATAAACTTTGCATGTTAATGTTATGTGATTTTAATGTGGGAGAGGTTATTATATATATTCTAGATTTCTACAATTAATATGCATTGTTTTATCATTAGAAAAAGAATGTTTTCAAAAGTTATTTTTTGATATTGGATACTCAGAGTCTATGTTAGTGTACTGTGTTTAATCTAACGTGTATTCCCAAAATTTTGTGAATATTTTTTGTAAATCAAACTCTGTTTTCTCTAGCTCACCATATGCTACTATGTAAAGACACAATCTAAGGCCTTTTGTAGTGTGAATCATCTTTTGTAATCTATCCATAGTTTATTTGATTCAAAAGTTAAGATTTTCAAAATGGAGCTGTATTCTATATTTTGTGTGTCCTTGCTGGTTCAAGTATGCCTTCCATTCAATGTCTGAGCCAGATTTTTGGTGTCTGAGTGAATGGTATTCTGATCAAAGAGGGGATGAAAGAATCTGGAATCCTGTGGATAGAACCTCACTCAGGCCATTGCAGAAAATCAGCTGTGCCAGTTCTTCAGCCATGTGACTTGTATTGCTTTCTTCTTATTACCTTGGCTTTAACATCCTGGAGACCTCACCTTCTCCTGGACACTCTTACCATGGGCTATTACAATTTCATTAGGGAAGGGGTGTATCTACAGAAGAAAATGTCTTTAAAAGATGCCTTAGCAGGGTGATAATGAAAAAAAAAAAGGTTTGAGATACACTGTTTCAAGATGTCATAAAGAAGCTTAAGAAAACTAGTGGAAGAAACCAGGGATGCCTTGACAGAGGATGTACAGTTTGAAAAGGGACTTGACACTGAGAAGGATTTTGGTTGTTGGAGATTAGGGGAGGAGAGGTCTCTAGGTGGAGGGAATGGGTGAATAGGATTATGGAGGTAGGAAAAGGGCTATCCTCCAGCTAAAAGAGCAAACATTCCACTCCCAATGGAGCAGAGGCCCAAAGCAGGGAGTCCTGGAAGCTTCCACAGGAAGTATAGACTATTTCCTATGCATGTAAAATATCTCCCGAACTAGAACTGCTCTTCTAGGTCTTTTGCTTCTTTCTAGCTTCACCTCCCTGGGAGTCCTATATGTAGCCAGAATATGAGCAAACTGAATTAGGAACATTTTGGCTTTGACCACGCCTTTGTAATCAGCACTTCCTCCCCCTCACTCTCCAGGGTCGTGCTCATTTTCCCCTGGCTGCTCAGGGTCTGTGCAAGAACACGCCTTGGTGATCATGGTGTCATTTCTACAGGCCGTGTATCATTGTTACTCATATGTGAGACTTTTGCTATATATATTCTCCATGCAAAGGGGAGCTCCCATTTGGGAGAGGAGGCTAGAGTGGGGTTGGGGCTGAGAAACTGGGCTGAGACAGGTTTGTGCACTCACTGGCATCTGGCTGATGTCAATAGTCTCTGCTATGAAAATGAGCAAAAAACAAAACAAAAAATAACAACCAAAACCAACTGTCTTGTCTAGACCAGAAACCAGAACTCAGTGGGAGGTCGCTAAAGGGTGTGGCGCAGCTGGAAACAGAAAAATTCATTTCATCTGGCCTTAAACAGAACAGGATATTCATCAGACTAGCTTCAGGAAGGCAGGCAACAGCACAGAGCCCAGGGGCCAAAAAGTTGCTAAGAGAGAGACCAAGACCAAGAGCTGCTCACAGCCTCTGTTAGGCAAATGAGGGCTGGGAATTGGAGATTGAGCATCAGGAGAAAACGTGTACTTTGCACATCGATTTTTAGTGATGCTTTCTGTTTCATTTATTTCCTTTTGGAAATAGTTGAACCTTAATTGGCCTGGGAGTCAGACTGTTCTTTCCTAGTCCGTTCAGCTTCCCACTCTCAGAGAGGACTTTTCTACATCTTGTCTCTGCAAAGCTCCTTGCTCTGCCTTAATCTTCCTGCTGAGGAAACTGGTGCAAACAGAAGAGAAGGTCCACAGACTCCCACCATAGCCACCCGCTCCCAGCAGCAGCCTCCATGTCCTCTGCTCACCTACTCGCTGCCATTCTTTTTCCTGTCAAAAGCCAATTTGGGGGGCAGGGGGAAGGGTGGCATGCACCTGTAGTCCCAGCAACTTGGGAGACTGAAGCAGGAGGATCGTTTGAGCCTGGGAGTTCGAGGTCACAGTGAGCAAGAACCCATCTCTTTAAATAAATAAATAAATGGGAAAAAAGAAGAAAACAAAAAGGTGATTCTAATTGTGCACTAGGCCTTGTCCTGTGACTCAAGGACATCCTCAGTTGGTCTCTGCTCATTCTAAACACCAGTTTCTCACCTGCTCTGTGTCACTCCCATCAGCTTATAAACATATTATTTCTCCCATTTTAAAAATTTTTTTATATTTGCAAACTGAAAGTGTTATATAATATTTCTCCCATTTTGAACAACAGTAACAACAAATATCTCTTAACAGTCATCACAATTCTTTGTTCCTCTTTGTCTTCAGAAGAATTACCCCAAACTCCCTAATTGCGGTGGCCGCGTCCCTGTCTTCATCCTAATTGACCTGTCAGTAACAGATGACCCTGGCTCTGGCTCATCCTCTTTTGCTTCCAGGATCTACATTCACTTCATTTTCCTCTATCTTTCCTTTTAAAAAAAAAAAAAAAGAGAGAGAGAGAGGGAGAAGGTCTTTCTTTGTTGCTCAAGCTGGAGTGCAGTGGTACAGTCATAATTCATTGTAGCCTGAAACTCCTGGCTCAAGGGATCGATCCTTCTGCCTCGGCCTAGCCAAGCACTGGGATTACAGGCATGAGCCACTGCACTAAACTTCCTTTTCCCCCTTTCTCACTGGCTGCCCCTCAGTCCCCTGAGTGGCTCCCTCTTCTCTACCCTTCAATGAAGGAAGGCATATTCATTTTCTGTTGCTGCTGTACAAGTTGCCACAAACGTGGTGTCTTAAACAATACAAATTTATTATCTTACAGTTCTGGAGGTCAGAAGTCCAATATGGGTCTCCCTGGGCTAAAAAGGTGTCCGCAGGGCTGTGTTACTTTCTGGAGGCTATAGGGGAGAATCTATATCTTTGCTGTTTCCAGCTCCTGGAGGCTGTCTGCATTCCTTGGCTCTTGGTTCCCTTACTCCATCTTCAAAGCCAGCAATGTTACATCTCTGACTCTTCTTCCACTGTTACAGATTTCTCTGACCATAGCGGGGAAAGGGTCTCCACTTTTAAAAACCCATGTGATTAGATTGGGTTCATCTGGAAAATCCAGGATAATCTCCTCATCCAAAAGTCCTTAACTTTCATCACATCTGCAAAGTCCTTTTTGCCATTTATGATAACATAGTAACAAGTTCAGGAGCTTGGACATCTTTGGGGGCTGTTATTCTGCCTCCGCAGGCATTCTTCTTCTTCTTCTATCTACTCTCACTGTCTGATGATCTAATCCAGGCTCATGGATAACACTAGTCAATGACTCCTAAATCTCTCCAAGCCCTTCCTCTCTCCCAGACTAAATTTCTTTACTCCACTGATGATGAGATACCTCCAGTCAGCTGCCTAATAAGTCACAAACTCAATCTGTACAAAACCAAATGCCTGATCTTCCCCCCAAATATGCTCCTTCCCTAGACTTTGCCATCTCTGTTGATGGTAGACTTTCAGTTGCCTAGTCCAACAATCTTGGAACTATCTTTGACTCCTCTTTTTTTCTCCCATACACGTCATTCATTCCATGTATCCGAAAATCTTGTCTTTACCTTAGAAATGTATACCAGATTGCTTCAAAATAATTCAGCATTTGTTGGGGTGGGGAGAAGGTGAGGGGAGAGGGCATTTAAATGAAACAGGTTTGCTCATGTTCTGGTAATGGTTGAAGCAGAGTGATGGGTACATGGAGGCTTATTGTATTATACTATTATCGGTACTTTGTGCATGTCTGAAATTTTCCATAATACAATGTTCTTAGTTGCATTTGCCATTGAACTCAGCAATCCCATTCCTTTAGAATCTATCCCATATTAGGCCGGATGCGGTGGCTCACACCTGTAATCCCAGCACTTTGGGAGGCCGAGGTGGGTGGATCACGAGATCAGGAGTTCAAGACCAGCCTGGCCAAGATGGTGAAACACCATCTCTCCTGAAAATACAAAAAAAAAAAATTAGCCAGGCACGGTGGCAGGCGCCTGTAATCCCAGCAACTCGGGAGGCTGAGGCAGGAGAATTGCTTGAACTCGGAGGGTGGAGGTTGCAGTGAGCTGGGATCATGCCACTGCACTCTTCTGGGCAACAGAGTGAGACTCCATCTCAAAAAAAAAAAAAAAGAATCTATCCATATTAGTAAAAGCAGTAGTGCATACTAATACATATATATTGGCTGGGCGTGCTAGCTCATGCCTGTAATCCTAACACTTTGGGAGGCCAAGGTGGTAGGATCACTTGAGCTCAGGAGTTCAAAACCAGCCCAGTCAACGTAGCGAAACCTAGTCTCTTAAAAAAACAATAAATAACAGAATTAAAAATACATATACATGGATCTTTACTTCAGCATTGTTTTCAAAGACACAAATAGTGAAAATGAAGTGAAGAGATAACAATGTGGATACAAAGGGATACCTCCTTTTATTGCACTTTGCCTCATTGTACCTCACAGATACTACATCTTTTACAACTAATTGAAGGTTGTGACAACCCTGTGTTGAGCAAGCCTATTGGCACCATTTTTCCAACAGCATGTGCTCACTTTTTGTCTTTGTGTCACATTTTGAGAATTCTCACAATATTTCAAACTTTATTATTATTATTATAGCTGTTATTGTGATTTGTCATCAGTGATCTTTGATATTACTGTTGCAATCATTTTGGACACCACAGCCACACCTGTATAAGACAGTGAACTTATTTAATAAATGTGTTTCTGACTGCCCCACCGACCAGCCATTCCCCTCTCTCTCTCCCTCTCCTCAGACCTTCCTGTTCCCTAAGACACAACAATATTGAAATTAGGCCAATTAATAACCTACAATGGTCTGTAAACATTCAAGTGAAAGAAAGAGTCACAAGTCTCTCACTTTAAACCAAAAGCTAGAAATAATTAAGCTTAGTGAGGAAGGCATACCTAAAGCTGAGACAGACTGAAAGCTAGCCAAGTTGTGGATGCAAAGAAATAGTTCTTGAAGGAAATTAAAAGTGCTACTTCAATGAACACATTAATTATAAGAAAGCGAAACAGCCTTATTGCTGATAGGGAGAGAGTTTGAGTGGTCTGGATAAATGATCAAACCAGCCACAACATTCCCTTAAGCCAAAGCCTAATCCAGAGCAAGGCCCTAATGCTGTCCAATTCTGTGAAGGCTGAGGGAGGTGAGGAAGCTGTGGCAGAAAAGTGAGAAACTGCTAGAGGTTGATTAATGAGGTTTAAAGAAAGAAGCCGTCTCCATAACATAAAAATGCAAGGTGAAGTAGCAAGTGCTGATGTAGAAGCTGAAGCAAGTTAGCAAAAAATCTAGCTAAGATCACTGATGAAGGTGACTACGCTAAATAACAGGTTTTCAGTGTAGACAAACAGCCTTCTATTGGAAGAAGACACCACCTAGGACTTTCATAGCTAGAGAGGAGAAGCCAATATCTGTCTTCAAAGCTTCAAAGGGCAGGCTGACTTTCTTGTTAGGGGCTAATGCAGCTGATGACTTTAAGTTGAAGCCAATGCTCATATGCCATTACAAAATTCCTAGGACTAAATCTACTCTGTCTGTGCTCTATAAATGGAACAACGATGCCTGGATGACAGCACACCTGTTTACAGCATGATTTACTGAATATTTTAAGCCCACTTTTGAAAACTACTGCTCAGGAAAAAAAAAAAGATTTCTCTCAAAATATAATTGCTCATTGACCATGCACCTAAACACCTAAGAGCTCTGATGGAGATGTAAAACGAAATTAACATTATTTTCATGCCTGCTGACAAAACATCCATTCTGTAGTCCCTGAAGCAAGGAGCAATTTTGACTTTCAAGTCTTATTTTTTAAGAAATAAATTTCATATGGTTATAATTGCCATAGGTAGTGATTTCTCTGGGCAAAGTAAATTGAAAACCTTCTGGAAAGGATTCACCATTCTAAATGTCATTAAGAATATTTGTGATTCAGGGAGGAGGTCAAAATATCAACATACATATGAGTTTGGAAGAAGTTGATTCCAATTCTCATAAATCACTTTGAGGAGTTCAAGACTTTGGTGGAGGAAGTAACTGCAGATGTGCTGGAAATAGAAAGAGGACTAGAATTAGAAATGGAGCCTGAGGATATGACTGAATTGCTGCAATCTCATGATCAAACTTGAACAGTCAAGGAGTTGCTTCTTATGGATGAGCAAAGAACATGATTTCCTGAGATGAGACCTACTTTCTTTTTTTTTTTTTTTTTTTTTTTTTTTTTTTGAGACGGAGTCTCGCTCTGTCGCCCAGGCTGGAGTGCAGTGGCGGGATCTCGGCTCACTGCAAGCTCCGCCTCCCGGGTTCACGCCATTCTCCTGCCTCAGCCTCCCAAGTAGCTGGGACTACAGGCGCCCGCCACTACGCCCGGCTAATTTTTTTGTATTTTTAGTAGAGACGGGGTTTCACCGTTTTAGCCGGGATGGTCTCGATCTCCTGACCTCGTGATCCGCCCGCCTCGGCCTCCCAAAGTGCTGGGATTACAGGCGTGAGCCACCGCGCCCGGCCGAGACCTACTTTCTTGAGATGGCGAAGATGCTGTGAGCATTGTTGAAATGACAACACATTTAAGATAGCACATAAACTTAGTTGATAAATTAGGGGCAGAGTTTGAGGACTGAGTCCAATTTTGAAAGAAGTTCTACTGTGGGTAAAAATGCTATCAGATAGCATCGCATGCTGCAGAGAAATCTTTTGTGAAAGAAAGACCCAATGGATGCAGCAAACTTCACTGTGGTCTTATTTTAAGAAACTGCAGGCCACACACCCTGGCTCACACCTATAATCCTAGCACTTTGGGCGTCCAAGGTGGGCAGATCGCTTGAGCTCCAGAGTTCAAGAGCAGCCTGGGCAACATGGTAAAACCCTGTCTTTACAAAAAATACAAAAATTAGCCAGGTGTTGTGGTGTGCACCTATGCGCCTATAGACCCAGCTCTTCGGGGTGCTGAGGCGGGAGGATTGCTTGAATCCAGGAGACAGAGGTTGCAGTGAGCCAAGATTGTGCTACTGCACTCCAGCCTGGGCAACAAAGTGAGACCCTGTCTCAGACAAAAACAAAAACAAAAAACTGCTATCTGATGAGCTTTGGCCCATTGTAGTAATCTACAAATTCATCAACTAGAAGAGAGAGAGAGAGAGAAAGAAAGAAAGAGAAAGAAAGAGAGAAGAGAGAGAAAGAAAGAAAGAGAGAGAAAGAAAGAAAGAAATTGCCACAGCCACCCCATCCTTTGGCAACCACCACCCTGATTAGTCAGCAGTCATTAACATGGAGCCAAGACCCTCCACCACCAAAAAGATTACAAGTTGCTGAAGTCTCAGACAATCATTAGCTTTTTTTTTTTTCCGAGACGGAGTCTCGCTCTGTCACCCAGGCTGGAGTGCAATGGCGCGATCTAGGCTCACTGCAACCTCCGCCTCCTGGGTTCAAGTGATTCTCCTGCCTCAGCCTCCCATGTAGGTGGGACTACAGGCGCGTGCCACCATGCCCAGCTAATTTTTGTATTTTTAGTAGAGACGAGGTTTCACCATGCTGGCCAGACTGGTGTGGAACTCCTGACCACGTGATCCGTGCACCTTGGCCTCCCAAAGTGCTGGGATTACAGGCGTGAGCCACTGTGCCCGGCCAAGAATTTTATAGATAAGCTATATGCATTTTGTAGACATAATGCTATTGCACATTTAATAAACTACAGCATAGTAGAAATATAACTTTCATACGCACTGGGAAACCAGAAAATGTGTGTGACTTGCTTTATTGCGATAGTCACTTTATGGAGATAGTCTGGAACTGAACCTACAATATCTGTAGGTATGACTGCACAGTGGTTGAATACATTTCTGAATGTACACTGTGAGGCATCTCACTACCACTATAAGAATTAACTTTATATTAGATGATTTGGTGAAGTTTCCATAATTTACTGATAAGTGAGAAAAGCAAGATGTATCTAATATGATGCAATTTCTATAAAACAAAAATGATAGTAATTCTATTATATATATTAATGCCAAAAAAATTCAAAACAAAATAAACAAGGTATCCAAGATCTAATGGCTTCTAACCATCTCAATTCCATTCATTGTGCTGCAAGCTGCCACTGTCTCTCACCTGGATTCCTACGCTGGCCTTCTAACGGTTCTCACTGATTCTACCCCTGCCCTCCACAGTTTGATCTCATCACAGTGACCAAAATGCTCAAAATCCAGCAATGGCTCTCATTTTCACTCGAGTAAAAGCCGAAGTCCTGACAATTGCCTCTGAGGTTCCGCGTGATCATCTGCCCAGACACAGCCCCATCCTTGCTTCTCTGACTTCATAGCCCACTGCTCCCCTCTTCCTCACATAGCTCCAGCCACACTGCTCTCCTAGCACGCTTCTGCCTCAGGGCCTTTGCTCCACCTCATTTATCTTTCTGGAAACTCTTGTCTCATATATCTGCTTAGCTTCCTCCCTAAGTTTCTTCAAGTCACCTTTTCAGTGAGGTCCAAAGTGACTTCTCTATTAATAATAATAATAAAAAAAATCTGCTTCACACCTTGCTGATCTATTTTGCCCTGTTTTTTTTAAAAAGGCACTTTTGATATATTATACTATAAAATTGATATATTTACAATGTTCATGTTTATTGTCTTTCTTCATCATCAGAATATAAGCTTCTTGAGGACAGAGATCTTTGTTTTTTCATGGATGCACCTCCAGCACCTGGAACAGTGTCTGGCATAAGTAAGATTCAATAAAGATCTCCAGTGCTGCATAAAAAGCTAATCAAGAAGGCAAAGATCTTAATAGAATTTGCTCTAAAAATGCTTTCTTGATGAAAATTCATCAATGTTGCTAGAGATCACTTTGATATTTAGGGATTTGTTTTGTTTTTGAAATGGCACTTCTCATGCAGAGGGTTGAGGTGATCGTCCTCCTCAGTTGAGGCATATCGTCATTGGAAGTCCTTGCAAGGTCACTCTCTTGTTTGAGAAATCCTTACGTCACCCACTCATCTACCCATCCTCCCACCCCCATCTCCCTATCCATCCCCCCATCCATCCCTCCATCCATCCCTCCATCCATCCCTCCATCCATCCCCCCATCCATCCCTCCAGCCATCCATTCATCCCTTTATTCATACACTTTTCTTTCCATTTCTTAGTTCCATTCCCCTTCCCCCAGATGAAATTGTTTTGATATTTTAGATATGTATCCTTCTTTTGTATATGTTCTGGTATAACATCCATTTTTATGGACACGTGTTTTAAAATTGTATATATTTAATTCCGTTTCTGCTTTTCTCAACATTTTTAAGATCTAGCCATGTTGCTATCTGTATGTCTGGACTAATGCTTTTAACTGCTTCAGATATATATGACACATTTTACTAATCCAGTTCTCAAGTGATGGATAACCAGAATGCTTCCAACTGTCAACTGCCAAAGCAACCCCATATGTATATGAGAATTCTGTGGGGGCTACCTATCCAGGTACAGAACTGAGAAGTTTTCAGAATGACTTCATCAACCTATACACCCACCAGTGGCACATGACAATTCCTAAATCCCTGATCTCCAGTGCCACCTGGCATTATCTAGATGTTTAATTTTTTCCAAGTCTAATAGCTAAAGTGTATTTTCTGGCAGTTATTCTTTTAATTTGCGTTTCTCTGATTACCATTAATTTGACTACTTATATGCTCTTTAGCCTTTTGCATTTAGTGTTTTTGTTGGTTTTTCTCAGGGGGTCCTTTTGCCTAATAATTTGTGCTTTGGAGATTTTGGTTGAAAATTGAAAACAAAGTTGGAAGCAGTGGCACATGCCTGTAATCCCAACTGCTCAGGAGACTGAGGCCAGAGGATCACTTGAGCCCAGGAGTTTGAGGCTGCAGTTAGCAATGATTGTGCCATTGCATTCCAGCATGGGTAACAGAGTGAGATCCTATTTCAAAAAAAAAAAAAAATTATGTCACAGAGTTTTACTTTCCACATTCCATGTCTGTCTGTCTGTCTGTCTGTCTGACTACAGCCAAAATAGGGAGTGTGATGTGGCATCTCATTATGATTTGCATTTTCCCAATGACCAATAATGTTGACCACTTTTCATGTGCTTATTGGCATTGATAATGGAAAAATGCCTGTTCAAATCTTTTGCCCATTTAAAAAATTGGGTTGTTTGCCTTTCTTCACTTTATTTTAAAGCCCCATTCTTGACTGAAAATTCCTCCAATCCTGGTATCACCAGAAGCTTCAGGATTAGACAGATATTCCCGCTACCAGCATCAGCACCAAAAATCCCCCGTGGTAGGGCTATTCCTTCTCCCTCCATTACTCCTTTCTCTGCCACTAGGAAGGAAAACTAGTATATCCATGACATTCTCTATAAGCATCACCAGGAAGGGCCCTGATTCGCTATACAAGATAGAGGTCTTCCAATGATGTTCCTGAAGAATCCTGGCATCCTCAAAGCAGACCAAGGTTTTCTGCAGCTAAAGTAGTATAAGTCTAAAGTCATTTCCTAGACTTTCAGAGAAAAAAATTAATGACTATGTTTTCTAATTTTAACTCTTTCTCCTGGAATTTTTACTTCAAACTGAAGCACCTATTTTTACTTGCTTATGCTAGAAATTAATATAACATGATGCTTGACTAGCAAAAAATTATATATTTTATTTGCAGAATACAAATATCATTATTTCATTATGTTCTACAGAAAACACAAGGACCCTAGATGCTGAACAATTTTGAGGACCATAAATGCAGGAAATAGAAAGGACTTAGAAGACATTATTCTCCTTCACAAAGTGTGGCACCACTGCTCCCCCCAGGCACTCAGGCCGAAATATTATTGACGATTTGCTCTTTCTTCTTCCCCTCCTCATTCAACCAGTCATCACTTTCTAGAATATTTGCAATGCTGTCTTTTCATCTCCATCTTATCTGCCATTGCCCTGGTCCAGGGCCTCTAATTCCCCTTTCTGGACTACTGTCATAAGCCCTAATTGGTGTCCTTGCCTCCAGCCTCTACACTGCTACTAAGTAGTGAATCACATTTGAAATTAATCAATGTTATAATCAATTACTTCAGTCTCTGCTTTCCCAAGAGAGTAACTCCATCAAAGAAAGGATGGTGCCCATCCTGTTCAACACTGCATCTGTAATGCCCAGAACAATGACTGGCATGAGATTGGAAAGGCAGTGGGTCAATGAAAGAATGAATGAAGAACAAACGAATGAATGATTTCAAACTGCAAAAGTACATATCACACAACTCTGGTGACTGTCCTTCCTACCTCCACAGTAGAAAAGATAAAGTCCATACTCCCCAGCTTGGCACACAAGGCCCTCCTTGACTTGACCTCTCTACTACTCCTTGCTTATCTCAGCCAGTCCCTTCCTTGAATTTTATGTATCAAAATATCTTGGAAAATTCCATACTTTTTATCTCTTCTATGTCTCTGCTCACTTCTTTTTTTTTTTTTTTTGAGACGGAGTCTCGCTCTGTCGCCCAGGCTGGAGTGCAGTGGCGGGATCTCGGCTCACTGCAAGCTCCGCCTCCCGGGTTCACGCCATTCTCCTGCCTCAGCCTCCCAAGTAGCTGGGACTACAGGCGCCCGCCACTACGCCCGGCTAATTTTTTGTATTTTTTTTAGTAGAGACGGGGTTTCACCGTTTTAGCCGGGATGGTCTCGATCTCCTGACCTCGTGATCCGCCCGCCTCGGCCTCCCAAAGTGCTGGGATTACAGGCGTGAGCCACTCTGCTCACTTCTTTATGCCTGAAATGTCCTTACCCAATATTCCATCCTCTATCTCCTTTTCACCAAACTCTTTTCTCCCTTTTAAAAGCATAGAGAACACTGTCCATTGTGTTCTACCACATAGATTTATCAAAGCTAAGCATTTTGCCTTATTTACTCCAACTTTTCTTTAAGAAATAAAGCACTGTAAATACAGTTGAACCTCCTTCTTCAATCTCATCCCCTTCTCTTTTTCTTCAGATGCATCTGTTATCTTGCTTTTGGTGTTAACCATTCACATATATATATTTCATATTTTTAATTGGGATTTTGAAAGCCCCCCCCTACTGGTGACTGTCATGTTTTAGCCTAGATGAAGAGTCTTCCAAAGTCCAGAGAGGTCAAGACTTGCATGAGGTCACTTAGCAAGGTAAGACCAAGATAGCTCACGAGCCCAGGACTCTGTCTCTTAGTTCATGTTTTCCCAATACACCATGGTGCATCTTTTAAACAATGTGTATAGATCCTTTTGCAGCTCATAAGTGTGATGATTGGGTTTTCACACTCATGTGTAAGATGTGTTTCCCTCAAACCTTGCTATGATATCAGCACAGTACCTATCTGACATGAAAAACATAAAATATTTTTAAATGGGCTGGGTGCAGTGGCTCACGCCTGTAATCCCAGCGCTTTGGGATGCCAAGGCAGGTGGGTCACTTGAGGTCAGGAGTTCGAAACCAGCCTGACCAACATGGTGAAACCCCGTCTCTACTAAAAATACAAAAATTAGTTGGGCATGGTTGTGGGTGCCTGTAATCCCAGCTACTCGGGAGGCTGAGGCGGGAGAATCGCTTGAACCTAGAAGACGGAGGTTGCAGTGAGCCAAAATAGCGCCACTGCACTCCAGCCCGGGTGACAAAGCTGGACTTCATCTCCAAAAAAAAAAAAAAGGTAATGTATATGAATGAAATAGATACCATACACTATGTCTCAGAGATAGTGCTAGACATATATATATATGTGTGTGTGTGTGTGTGTGTGTGTGTGTATTAGTTCATCCAACCCTCACTCTAGAGAAGAGAAACTGAGACTCAGAGAGGAGGTGAAGTCACCTTCCCTATGTTAACCCAGCTAGCAGGTAGCAGAGGTAAAATTGGCTCCCCAGGGCTGCCTGACTTCTAATGCTGCCCTCTGGTGGGGACAGTATGGAAAAGACATGAGTTTTGAAAGCAGAAATCCCAAGGTTTGTGTCTGGTTCCTCCCCTCCCTGCCCAGAGAATCCTGGGTAAGTTAAGTCCATTTAAAGTACCATTTATTGACCCTTCACTAAGCACCAGCAATCTTTACACATCACCTCATTTAGTTCCCACAGCCAAACTCAAAGAGAAATATTATTTTTTCTCCATTTTCAGAGGGAGAAGTTGAGACTCAGGGAGAACATACCATTAACAAGGAGCAAAGCCTGAAGCAGGACTCAGGATCACCAGCACCAGAGACTGTGCCGCGAAATACCCCCAGCACGCTTTTTTTTCCTTCCTCTCATGGCTTACGTGTTTTTTTAATTTCATCTTTGAAATTATCATGTAGTTTGTATATAACATATCTGATTAAAGTCTTGTAGCCAAAATATACAAAAACCTCTTAAAACTTAATAAGAAAACAAATTCTCCAATGAAAAATGAGCAAGAGAGCTGAACACACATTTTATTAAAGAAGATACACAGATGGAAAATAAGCATAGGAAAAAGTGTTCAATGTCTTTTGTCATTAGAAAAAATGCAAATTAAAACTACAGTGAGATACCACTACATACCTATTAAAATGGCTAAAATCCATAAATCTGAAAATACCAAAGACAAAGATGCAGAGAAATAGGAACTCTCATATTTTCTTGGTGGGAATACAAAATGGTGTAGTCACTTTGGAAAACATTTGACAGTCGTCAAAATGTTAAACATAGTTACCTTATGACCAGCAGTTCCACTCCTATATGTATAACCAACAGAATTGAAAATATATGTCCACACACAAAAAAATTGTTTAAAATGTTCATAGCAGTGGGCATGGCGGCACATGCCTGAAGTCCCAGGTACTTGGGAGGCTGAGGCTAAAAGATCCCATGGCCCAGGAGTTCCAGATCATAGTGTGTGATGATCATGCCTGTGAATAGCCATTGCATTCCAGCTTGGGCAACACAGAAGGACCCCACTGCTAAAAAAATAAGAAATGGAATGTCCACAGCATCATTATTGACAACAGTCAAAAAGTGGAAGCAACCCAAATGTTCATTAACTTATGAATGGATATGCAAAATGTGGCAAATCCATACAATGGAATATTATTAGGTGATAAAAAAGAATAAAGTACTTATACCTGCTACAGCATGGAGGAACCTTGAAAATACTATGCTAAGTGAAAGAAGCCATTTACTAAAGGCTACACGTTGGATGATTCCATTTATGAAATGTCCACAGTAGGCAAATCCATAGGGACAGAAAGCTTGCTAGGGGATTGGGGGAGAAGATAAATGACAGTGACTGCTAGAGGGTGTGGGATATCCTTACGGGGTGAAGAAAATGTTCTAAATTTAGATAATGGTGATAGTTGCACAACCTAGGAAATATCCTAAAAATCACTGAATTGTACACTCTAAAGGAGTAGATTGCATTGTATATGAATTATATGTCTATTCAGATAAAGTTATTAAAATTATTAAAAATATATAAAGTTGTAAAAAATGAAGTAAGGCCAACAAATATTGAAAACAATGGAGCCAGAGTTGTGGGGCCACCAGAAGTGTGTTTTTGGTGCAAGCAGTGAGGCCATCCTGGCAGAGGTGCTCTTGCCCAAAGATTGTTTTAATGACCTAGTTAAGAATGGCTTGGGGCAGGGAAAAAAAAAAAAGAATGGCTTGTGATGAGATTGGCTGTTTTTAAACAAACATATGAAGGACTGACAGCAGGTGTAATGTCTATACATCATTCCTGTGTTCAACCAGAAACAACTATAAAAAACCCTATATACATTTTAATAAAATATATGACCATCAAGACAAAGTGCTAAAAGTTTTTAAGAAGAAGGTGATTAAAAAAAAAAAAAAAAAAAAAGCAACCAGGAATCACATTGACATCTGATTTCTGAATAGCAACACCAGAAGCAAAAAGACAATGGAATAACGTTTTTAAATTTTTAAAGTAGCCTGAAACCATAAAACTCCCAGAGGAGAGCAGAATTAGAAAGTTTCATGACATTGGTGTTGGTAATGTTTTGGGGCTGGGGGTACGATACCAAAACACAGTCAACAAAAGCAAAAATGGACAAATGGGACTATATTAAATTAAGAAGCTTCTGGGATTGGTGCAGGGGCTCACACCTGTAATCCCAGCACTTTGGGAGGCCGAGGTGGGTGGATCTCTTGTGCTCAGGAGTTTGAGACCAGCCTGGGCAACATGACGAAACCTCGTCCCTACAAAAAGTACAAAAAATTAGCCAGGCCTAGTGGCCTGCCTGTGATCCCAGCTACTCGGGAGGCTGAAGTGGGAGGGTCTTTTGAGCCCAGGAGGTCTAAGCTGCAGTGAGCTGAGGAGCTGAGGGTACACCACTGCACTTCAGCCTGGGCGACAAAGTGAGACTGTGTCTCAAAAAAAAAAAAAAAAAAAAAAAAAAGCTTCTACACAACAAAGAAAATAAATAATAAACAGAGTGAAAAGACAATGTTAATCGTCAGGGAAATGCAAATCAAAACCACAATGAGATAGCACCTCACGCCTGTTAGGAGGTCTGTTATTCAATAAATAATAAAGAAAATAACAGATGTTGGTGACGATGTGGAGAAAACTGGAACCCCTTTGCCCTGTTGGTGGGAATGTAGAATGGTGCAGCCACTACAGAAAACAGTATGGAGATTTTTCAAAAAATTAAAAATAGAACTACCCTAAGATCAAGCAATCTCACTTCTGGGCGTTTATCCAAAAAAATTTAAATCAGGATCTCAAAGAGGTATTTTCATTCCCATGTTCATTGCAGGGTACTCACAATATCCAAGTGGTAGAAGCAATCCAAATGTCCACTGACAGAGAAGTGGATAAAGAAAATATGGTGTACACATATAGTGGAATATTATGCAGCCTTAAAAAAGGAGGTCCTGTCACATGCTAAACATGGATAAACCTTAAGATATTAGACTAAATGAAATAAGCAGTCACAGAATGACAAATGGTGCACAATTCTACTTACATGAGGTGTAAGATGTGAAGATGATGGGTCTGTCAGGTGAGTCTGTTGACTGATACCCACCACTAAGTGTTAGAAAGAGGTGCCAGGCCATCCACTTTCCAAGTTCTGCTTATCTATTTTTATTTTTATTTTTATTTTAGAGACAGGGCCTCATTTGGTTGCCCAGGCTTTCAAACTCCTGGCCTCAATCGATCCTCCTGCCTCGGCCTCCCACAGTGCTGGGATTACAGGTGTGAACCACTGTGCCTGTTCCTCTGCTTATATACTGAAGAACTTTCACACCTTGAAGAACTTTTATGTTCAAAGACTGACATGATGAAAATGCCTTTTTAAAAATTGTGGTATTTCTAAAGTATAACGTAGTCTAATGTAAGAAAATAAAACATAAGACAATTGAACATATTTAAAAGTTTTCAAGAAAAAATTTAAGCTTAAAATTTTATATCTAATCATATTGTTACTTCAAAGTGAAAATAAAAATATTTACAGAAGATATGCCACCTAAAAACTTTGAAAGCACTCTTGGAGGAAAAATCAAATGAAATGAAAAAATTAATTTAGATCCTTTCCTCCAGTGTTCATGAAAAGAAAAACAAATTAATTTAGACTGATGCCTTATGAAATCCAGCACTTGAGCTGCAGGTATTTATCAAACTGATTTGAAAAGTTATGTGCACACAAAATCCAACACCTTAATGTTGTTATCAGCTTTTTAAAAATTAATATAACCATCAGAAAGTGAAAGCAACCAAGATATTCTTCAATTGGAAAATGGATAAACAAACTGTCATCCATCCAAACAATGGAGTACTATTCAGCCATTAAAAGGAATGAGCTATCAAGCCATGCAAAAACATGTGCAAATCAAATGCATATTGTTTGGTGAAGGAAACCTGTTTGAAAAGTCTCCACTTAAATGGCATTCTGGAAAAGGCAAAGCTATAGAGACAGCAAACAGAGGAGTGGTTGCATGGCATTTGGGAAAGGGAAAAGGTTGAGTGGGTGAGGCAAAGGGCATTTTTTGGGAAAATGAAACTATTCAGAGTGATATTGTACAGGGGAGTAAGTGACATTATTCATTTGTCAAAACCTATAGAACTTTACAGTAGGAAGAGTAAACTCTAATGCATGCAAATTAAATAAAAATCATTTAGGAAGTTGGAGGATACCTAGATAGGATGAAGACTGAGGCACAAGAATTTGTGCATGAAATATGTGAATGTATGAAATGTATGAAATAACCTCACTGATCAGAGTGCTGACCAAAATGACCTTGAAAATGAAGGGAGACTATATGACTTAAAGCAAAAGGAACTGCAGACAGTTACTGTACTTTAACTGGTAAAATTTTTTCCCTTAGGGGCATAGGTTAACAATTTTGAAGCCACTAAACACATATATAGATATTGATCAATTGAGTAAATGGATAGCAGATGTTGGGAGCCAGGCTTCTCACTGGTGGGAGGTTACAGACAAGTTACAGGGAAGGTTAGAATAATACCTGATAAATTAGAGTAGGAGGCATCAATATGAACTCATGGGTAGCCTAATATTGATACAAATGGACACATTTATAGATATGCATATGTACATTGGGAAGCATACACACATACATTTTCTTGCTCTGTCAGATAAGAGGACCTGAAGATGACACCCCAGTATCAATTAGCACACCCAGTGCCCAGACCTTGCTGTCTAACACCATTCTCCATTAAAAAGAACCAGGGCTGTTTGGAGAAGCAGCTGATTCTGGGGCTGGGGCAGGAAATATACAAGATGATCCTGGGACTTCTTGTAGTGCCAGAAAGTGAAGAAGTGCTAAACACACTCACATATAACAATGGGGCCGTGTCAAAGGGACACATGAGTCAACATAAAGAGTTCCCAACGGCTCCCAACAATTAGAGTGAAATAATGATAACAATAATAATGCAGAATTGAATTATAATCCACGGCATAAACATCCATTGGTTCATACTAATATAAATACATGATTAAATAAATAAGTGTGGAAGAATAAGTACGTTTCCTGTGCAGAAGAATTCCAAGTAATTTATGTAGATGTTCCTTCCTCGAGGAACATCTGGAGTGCAGTGGTGTGATCTCGGATCAGTGCAACCTCTGCCTGCTGGGTTCAAGCAATTCTCCTGCTTCAGCCTCCTGAGTACCTGGGATTATAGGCGCACACCACCATGCCTGGCTAACTTTTTGTATTTTTAGTAGAGATGGGATTTCATCATGTTGGTCAGGCTGCTCTCAAACTCCTGACCTTGTGGAGCATAACTGCACACTCCTTAGGTGTGGGCTGCAAGTAATTATTTCCTTCCAAGAGCACAATATGGCAATGGGGGTGGGAAGCATAGCTTTGTGGTGGAGAAACTGGCAAACAGTACCTTGGCCAGCTGATAAATATTAACATCAACAATGATAAGTCATTTAGATAGTATGAATCCCTGATATGATGTGATGAGAATGGCACTTTCTCTGTGGTCTTCTTCTCCAAAACTCCAAATCCCAGTTAAATTAAAAAAAAAAAAAAAAACAGCAAACCTCAACTGAGAGACATTCTACAAAACAGCTGGTCGTTATTTTCCAATCTGTCAAGGTTATCAAAAACAAGAAGAGCCTGAGAAACTGTCACAGTCTACAGGAGCCTTAGAAGACATGATGATAAAATATAACGTGGTATCTTGGATGGGATCCTGAAATAGCAAAAGGACATGGGTAAAAACTAAGGACATCTGAGTAAGGGATGAATTTTAGTTCATAATAACATAGCAATATTGGTTCATTACTTGTGACAAATGTACCATACTAATGTAGGGTTTTCATAGGGAATGAGTGTGGGGCATATGCACATTATCTGTACTATCTTTGCAACTTTTCTGTAAATTTAAAACTATTCTAAAATAAAAAGTTCATTTAAAAATAAAATTTAAATTTAAAAAATAATATAAAAATTGCTTTTCAAACTTTTGTGTATAGTTCTATGAATTTTAACACATGCACAGATTTGTATAATGACCACCACAATCAGGGTACAGAAGAGTTCTATCACTTTCAAAAACTCTCTCCTGCTATCCCTGTGTAGTTATACCCTTCTGCCACCCATCCCCTGGCAACCACTAATTTGTTCTTCATCACTATAATATTGTCTCTTCGAAAGTATCATATAAGTGGAATCATATAGTATGTGACATTTTGAGGCTGACTTCCTTCACTCGCATTATGCTTTTGAGATCCATTCAAGTTGTTGTGGATATTTATTGCTAAGTAACATTTCATTGGATAGATATGCCACAGTTTGTTTATCCGTGTACCTGTGAAGGAGATTTGGGTTGTTTCTAGTTTTTGGTGATTACAATAGAGCCACTATAAACATTCAAGTACATTCCACACCTGTGAAAGAAATAGAGAAAAAAATCATGTACATGTCTTTGTGTATATTACCACAACTTTTATTTTTCTTGGATAAACACCCAACAATGGAATAGCTAGATCATATGATAGGGTATATTTAACTTTGTAAGAGACTGCCAAACTGTTTTCTTGAGTGGTAACACCCATTGGTGTTCACACCAGCAGTGTATGAGAGTTCTAGTTGCTCCACAGACTCTCCAGCACTTGCTATTGTTAGTATTATTTTATTTTAGCCATTAATATTTTAAAATTTAAGTATACCTGCATGTTTCCAGAAACAATGCATAGAATGACTTTGTGTCTTTACATTTTAAATATGTGGAATAATACTAAATATATATATATAGAGAGAGAGAGAGAGAGAGAGAGTTTCACTCTGTCACCCAGGCTGTGCAGTGGTGTGATCTCAGCTCAATGCAACCTCCGCCTCCCGGGTTCAAGTGATTCTCCTACCTCAGCCTCCCGAGTAGCTGGGATTACAGGCACGCACCACCATGCCTGGCTAATTTTTTGTATTTTTAGTAGAGACGGGGTTTCATCATGTTGGTCAGGCTGGTCTTGAACTCTTGACCTCATGATCCACCTGCCTCGGCCTCCCAAAGTGCTGGGATTCCAGGTGTGAGCCTACCGCACCCGGCCACTGAATATATTCTTTTGATACTCGCTTTTTATTCTTTCAATGTTGCTTTTGAGATTTTTAGTGTTGATTCACATACACCTAGTTCATTCACTACAACTGCCATATGGTGTGCTATTTTACAAATATATTAAAATATTTATGCAAGTCCCCTAGGGATGGCCATCCAGCTTGTTTCCAATTTCTTACTGCCTAAGACGGTGCTAAAGTGGACATCCTGATCCATATCTTTTTGCACATAAATATGAGACATTTATGTCCTAGTGAGAATCACTAGGACAGTGATTATTAAACCTTTTGGTCTCAAGACCCCTTTACACTTTTAAAAATCATTGAGGACCCCAAAGAGCTTTTGTTTATGCATATTATACCTGCCAGTGTTGACCCTATTTGAAACTAAAACTGAGAAAATGTTAGGTATTTATTAAATAATTTTATAAATAATGTTACTTTAATTTTTTTAAATGACACATAGAAGATAAACAAGTATATGTTCATTTCTAAAACAAAAAGATTAGAGAGAAGAGTGAAAGTGTCTTATACTTTTAAAAATCTCTAATGTCTAGCTTAAGAAATCGAATTCTCATATCTGCTTCTGCATTTAATCTGTGTCATATCACATATTATTTAACTTCCAGAAAACTCAGCTGGACACTTATGATATAATGAGAATGAAAAAGCAAAATAGCATTTTAATGTTATTATGAAAATAGCTGTGGCTTCATGGACCCCTTCCGGGGCACTGGGGAGAGAACTTTGAGAACTGCTGTCCCAGGCTACACACCTGGAAGAGGAATTGCCGGGCTATGTAGTTGATACTGTCTAATTGCTTTTCTTTTTTTTATTTTTTATTTTTATTTTACTTTAAGTTCTGGGATACATGTGCTGAATGTGCAGGTTTGTTATATAGGTATACATGTGCCATGGTAGTTTGCTGCACCTATCAACCCATCACCTAGGTTTTAAGCCCCACATGCATTAGGTATTTGTCCTAATGCTCTCCCTCCCCTTGCCCCCTTGCTCCTGACAGGCCCCAGGCCTGTAATGTTCCCCTCCCTGTGGCCATGTGTTCTCATTGTTCAACTTCCACTTATGAGTGAGAACATGCAGTGTTTGGTTTTCTGTTCCTTTGTTAGTTTGCTGAGAATGATGGTTTCCAGCTTCATCCATGTCCCTGCAAAGGACATGAACTCATTCTTTTTATGACTGCATAGTATTCCATGGTGTATATGTGTCACATTTCCAGTCTATCATTGGATATGTGCCACATTGGATATGTGCCACGTATCCAGTCTATCATTGATGGGCATTTGGGTTGGTTCCAAGTCTCTGTTATTGTAAATAGTGCTGCAATAAACATACGTGTCCATGTGTCTTTATAGTAGAGTGATTTATAACCCTTTGGATTTATACCCAGTAATGGGATGGCTGGGTCAAATGGTATTTCTGGTTCTATATCCTTGAGGAATCGCCACATTGTCTTCTACAATGGTTGAACTAATTTATACTCCCACCAACAGTGTAAAAGCATTCCTATTTCTCCACGTCCTCTCCAGCATCTGTTGTTTCCAGACTTTGTAATGATCACCATTCTGACTGGCATGAAATGATATCTCATTGTGGTTTTGATTTGCATTTCTCTGATGGACAGTGATGATGAGCATTTTTTCATGTGTCTGTTAGCTGCATATATGTCTTCTTTTGAGAAGTGTCTGTTTATATCCTTCGTCCACTTTTTGATGGGGTTGTTTTTTTTCTCGTGGATTTGTTTAAGTTCCTTGTAGATTGCTTTTCAAATATATACTTTCACTAGCAGCACATGTGAGTTCTCACGTCCTTATATCTTCAGCAATACTTAATGCTGTCAGGCTTTTTAATATTTGTCCAATCTGATGGGCATGAAATCATGTCTCATTGTTGTTTTAATATGAACTTTTTTGATTATTGGTAGACTAACTCTTGCACTATCTTTGCACACTTGGCCCAGGCTGCCCCTTTTGGTCTAGACCGTACACAGAGAAGGCCGATGTTTACCTCGTTCAGAGTCTGGCATGGAGCTGGCACTCAATATAGTGCTTGTTATTTTAACATGTTATTATTAATGGCATCATACAGACATAAAAACACTTCATCTTGTGCAGATTATTGTACCTTTCTCATTGGTTTTGATTTCCTGTTATTATGTCTATCTGCCTTATAAGGAAGGCCCTGTTTTAAGGCAAGGATTATTTCTTATTCATTTCTTTTTATTCTTTCAGATTAGCTTCTTAGGAAATGTTTGTGGATATGTAATTTTTTACTTATATACCAAGGGACATAGTCTTCCCTCAAGACCTGGACAGTCCAAGGAGGAGTGACACTCTGGTATCATTCCAGGCAGACATTTATTCTCCCTCCTTGGTCCGGCCTTGTTGCCAGCATGCTGGAGGGTCAGCACTGTGCCATGTTGGGTTACCCTCCAAGTGGCAGCATTCATTCTAGGACGGAGGGGCAACACTGCTTTCCCTAGCAAGAGAGGAAAAGCCACTTAGCCTTTCATCCTGGATGCATTTCTCATCATGGTAGACAGAATAATGGCCCCCCCAAAGACATCAAGGTCAGAGGCATAGATGCAGAAGTTGGGGTGATAAGAGCAATGAACCAAGCAATACAACCATCCTCTAGATGCTGGAAAAGTCAGGGAAACAGATTCTCCTTTAGAGCCTCCAGAAAGGAAAGCAGCTCTGCCAACCCATTTTGGACTTCTGATGGCCAGAGCTGTAAGATAATTAACTTGTGTTGTTTTAACTAAGTTCATGGCAATTTGTTATAGCAGCAAAATAGAAACTAATACAATCATATACCCAGAGACAGCATTTGCCTCCTTATAATACATGCTTATGTATGAATGAGTTTTCCTTAGAACAATCCAGTCATTTTATTTTAACCTACTTCTTCTAAGTTTGGCTTCCCTACCAGACTGTTAGAAAGCAGGCTCCTTGGCTGTCGCATCTACTATTGTGCCTATCTCCAGTGTCCTTGTCCATCTGGTTACCCACTACAGCCCAAAAACCTGTCATGGGGCCTGGCACAAAGTAGGCTCTTGAAAAATATTTGTTGAGGGAATAGTACATCTTGACATATTGTTCCACTTATCTATTGCTGTGTAATAAACTACTTCCAAAATGTAGTGGCTTAATACAACAATATTTATCTTGCTCGTGAGCTCTGCAATTTGGGCAGGCCTCAGCAGGGACAGCTTGTGTCTGATCTACTTGGCATCAGCTGGGACAGCTCAAATGCTTAGGGCTGGTGTCATCTGAAGTCCCAATCACTACCATGCTGGTTGCCAGCTGGGACCTGAGCTGGGGCCGGGGCCAGAACACATACATGTGTCTTCTCCAGGTGGCACTTGGCTTCCTTCCAAAATGGTGGCTGGGTTCCAAGGGTGAGCATCTCAAGAGACCCATCCAAAGTTGTGTTACCTTTTAAGTCTCAGCACAGAAGTCACATAGTGCTACCTTCCCAACTGTCACAATCCCAACCAGATTCAAGGGGTGAGACGGCAGGTGGGGAACATGGATGTAGAACACATGGGATGGGACACATTGTTGCAGCCATCTTTGGGAAATGCAATCTGCCACATACATATTCATCACTTACAGACATTTATGAAGTATGCTCCATATGCTGAATACTGGGTTTACAATGGTGAATCATACAGATGGGGTTTCTGTTGCCATAGAGTTTGCATTTCAGTTGGAGTGTTGTCGGGGGAGGATTTAGACACATAAACAAATACATAAGATAAAACCTGTATGCATGGGTTACAAGGAGGATGCTGTTTATATACATCGGTCAAGGAAGGCCTTTCTGGGAACATAACAACTTTCTGAGGCTGGACTAACTGGAAGGAGGCATCTGGGCCAGCAACTGTGGGCAGCATGCTCCAAGCAGAGGGAATCACGAATATCATGGGATAACATTGGCATGTCAATGACACAGGAAGAAAGACCATGTGGCTAGCATGGAAAGATCTCAGGGTGCAAAGTAACGATGGAGAGGCAGATGGGGGCCAGATCATATAAGGATATGCTGAACAACTTGGATTTGACTCCTGAGTGCAACAGAAAGCCGTTGGAGACTCTTCAGCAGTAGCATGATCTAAGTTACATTTTTTAAAACATCATTCATTCTTTCAAAAAACGAAACTCTGGTATCCTACTTTGAAACCGAAGTGTGGAGAATTCTATCCACCACCACAATTTTCATTCATTCATTCATTCTTTTGTTCGTGACACTTTGCAATTATTATATAGTCAGAAATAACATATGCATATAAATCAATATGCTGAAATTAAGTATTACAAGTGTTAAATCATGTCTTTCAATTAATACATATATATTGAATGCCCCCCAAATATTGATATTAACAAGCACTCTTTGCCTGGAGCTTGGTGGAGGAAGATAGGACAGTAAGGATCCTGGAGATGCCGATCTGTGGCTCCTACAAGCCAGGATTGGCTGTGTGTGCTTGGAAATCACAAGCTGCAGCACTTAACCTGGATGCATTAAAATATTTTACCTTTTTTTTTTCTGTCCTGAGATGGGGGTCACACTCTGTCACCCAGGCTGGAGTGCATAGGGCATGATCACATCTCACTGTAACCTGAAACTCCCGGACTTAAGCGATCCTCCCGCCTCAGCCTCCCAAAGTGTTGGGATTACATGTGTGAGCCACTGCACCTAGCCCTTTTTTACTATTTGAACATTTGACTCTAGCCTTTCCCTGCTGCCAAGACAAGGTCTAGGAGAGGCCACAGACGTGAGCTCCAGGGTAGGCTGGTTAACTATTCAGGTGGATCATGGTAAATGGAAACCCAGCTTTAATCTAGTGGTTCTGCCCCGGAAGTCCAGTGTGCGTTCACAGGTGGCCGGCAATGTCACCTGAACATTCTGCATAGATTTTCCTTGGAAAAGAGCTAGAGAAAGTGGTGTCCCTGCCACCCCACACAAATCTGCTTGATGACTGGGCCCAGTGGGGAGGGGATTTGCTCAGCATGCTGGGTGGAAGCTGCCCTGCCAGAGAACTCCAGCTTCAATTAAAGCCATTAAACAGGATGAAGCCAAGGACCATATCCCCTGTTGGGCCCCTTCCACCAGAAGTCTGAGCTAGCAGAGCTGATCCTTGAGGAGGGGGAGTGCTGTGAAAGCCTCCAGCCAGCAAGCGTTAATGGGGCCAGCACCCACTTTCCACTCAGCAGAGCTATGCCCAAATAAACAGCCCATTTCCCACCATCCCCCACCCCAACCTCACCAAAAAAAGTCTCGGGTTTAAGACACAGTGGGCCAGCTTAGGAGGAAATATTCCAGAACACACTTTACTTGCAATCACTCTCTAACCAAGTCCAGTTAGGCCTCTAGGGTGACCAACCATCTGGTTTGCCCAGGACTGAGGGGTTTCCCAGGTCATGTAATGTTAAAATTGAGAAAGTCCCAGGCACATCAGAAAGAGAGGGTCACTCCACCTCTTTACCTCAATGCCCTCCAGCTGTGACACCAAAACAAAGACCAGCTGCACTCTTTCCCCAAGCTGCTGTAACTCCTGGGAGTCACCAATTTATACCCAGTTGTCTTAGATACAAACCCTTTCCCCTAGATTTCCCTGTAGTATCATTAGCTACCATTTATTGAGTGCTTACCACCAGGAGCTGCGAAAAACACTCTCCAATTATTATTTCTATTAATCCTCTTATTAATCTTAAGAGATGAGCAACTTTATTCTTATTTTGTAGATGATGAAACTTGGGTTACAAGGGCTTCAGTAATTGCTCGAGATCACATCAAAAGCACGTGGCAGGCCGGGCATGGTGGCTCACACCTGTAATCCCAGCACTTTGGGAGGCCGAGGCAGGTGGATCACTTGAGGTCAGGGGTTTGAGACCAGCCTGGCCAACAAGGTGGAGCCCTGTCTCTACTAAAAATACAAAAATTAGCCGAGCATGGTGGCACGTGCCTGTGATCCCAGCTACTCAGGAGCCTGAAGTTTGAGAATCGCTTGAACCTGGGAGGCGGAGGTTGCAGTGAGCCAAGATCGCACCACTGCACTCCAGCCTGGGTGACAGAGTGAGACCCTGTCTCAAAGAAAAAAATAAAATAAAATGAAAAATAAAAGCATGTGGCAGAGCCAGGTCTCAAGTCTTTTTGACCTCAGAGCATGTGTAACTATCATGCCATTCTGCCTTCAAAAAGGACTGATTCACTGGATGGACAGTACCTGTCCTTGGGGATGCGAGCTTATGTCTTGCTGTGACCACAGTTATATGTATATAAGATGGATGCCCTTTTTATGGGATTTGTGTTCCTCTGCTGCCCAACCTATTTTTCTGAGAGGAGTCTTCTTCCCTAGCCAGAAGCAAAGTTTCTGGGGATTGGAATAAATCAGAGCCAGCTCACTGGGCCCATTTCAGACCACATGGTGCTGCAGTGCTATAATGCACAATGGGATCGGGGCTTTGCTTTTGTGATCCTGTGTCATGTGGTTTTAGGTTTGAGGCTACCCACGTCAGGCGACTGCAGATCCACTGCTGCTGCAGCCCTCCTCCTCCTCCTCAAAATCCCCCGCCAGCAGCCCCTGTGGCAGCTCAGGCACCTCTGCTTGCAGTAAACATGACCTTTGCCTTCCACCGCCAACATGACATTGGCATGTCGCTGCTGATCTGTAAACACAATTGTGTTTTCAGTCTTCTCACTGAATTTTGTTACCAGGATCCTAACAGGCAGCAGGTCTCTGTTTATCTGTAAACAGCAGCCCCACTCCCTGGCAGAGAGGTTAGGATGCTGTTTGTTTTTATTACTTTACAGTAAGAGGAAAAGGTGATTTGTGACAGGCGTCCACACTTCCCCTTCCTATCCTGCACATCTGCAAAGATAATCCCTCCTTCTTTCCCAGTGCACACACAGATTCATACCCTAGATCAGAGGAAGGACTGGAACAGGTCTCTTACCTTTTAGCATCTCTTGGAATGACATGGAAGAGCCTGGTGGAAATACTTCAGAGAATAAATGTCCAGTGCCATGTAGAATGCCAGCACAATTCCCTGCATGGAGGAAAGGACTACTATGAACAGCTCCCCAGGAAACTCAGCCTAAGGCCCCAGAAGCACCGGGTTCTCCTCCTGACGGTCACTCATCATGGGCAGCCCTGGACATAAGTGTGTGCCTTGAGATATTTGCATATTTATGTCAGTGTGTCTTGGAACCATTTAAAGTCTTTCTACAAAACTTGAGTTTTCTGTTTAAGTGTGTGGATTTCTCTTTCTCCAAAGTTTGTGTTCTAACTAAAAGACTACAGTCTTTTCATAGAAAGCAGAAATAATCTGGTGAAATGAAGTTCTCTAAAAAAGTTTCCAGAGTAATGATTAGCTTGTAAAATTTACAGTTGTTATATATAAACTTCAGCTTTTATTAGTTCTGGCTATGGAAAGCAAAAAGTTAAATTGGTATCTCCTCTTCAGCAAAGCTAAGTTATCGGGGACATTGTGATTTAGGAAAATTTATAGCTTCACATGCATAATAGTGTAGAGAACGTGATGGTAATTTCCCTTATCTCCTCTATCTTTGGGAAACTGGAAAAGGAAATTAAAGCATTTATTCTGATTAGATGACAGGAGCAAAAAAGAAAAAATACTGGCCGAGCGTGGTGGCTCATACCTGTAATCCCAGCGAGGCAGGCGGATCACGAGTGAGACCATCCTGGCTAACACGTGAAACCCCGTCTCTACTAAAAATATACAAAAAAAAATTAGCCGGGCGTGGTGGCGGGCGCCTGCAGTCCCAGCTACTCAGGAGGCTGAGGCAGGAGAATGGCATGAACCTGGAGGCGGAGCTTGCAGTGAGCCGAGATCCCGCCACTGCACTACAGCCTGGGCGACAGAGCAAGACTTCATCTCAAATAAAAAAGAAAAAAAGAAAAAATACTAATAATTTAAAAAGTAAAATGCTGGAAGTTTGGGGAAAATATATGACTAATTGAATTGCAAAGAAATATTTAAAATCAAGTCTGTTCATAGGAATAATTATTCTAGTTAGTAAAATGGGGAGTTGAATGGTTTTCTTTCACTGTCCTAAAGGAAACATCTTTTTAACATAATGTGATTAAAACAATTTTATAGGGTTATCAAAATATATTTTGTTGAGGTAGACAAATAGAATAGTTTTTTTTTTTTTTGAAACAAAATCTCACTCCGTTGCCCAGGCTGAAGTGCAGTAGTGCGATCTCAGATCACTGCAACCTCCCCTCCCAGGCTCAAGCAATTCTCCTGCCTCTGCTGGGATTATAGGTGTACGCCACCACACCCAACTAATTTTTTTATTTTTAGTAGAGACTGGGTTTCACCATATTGGCCAGGCTGGTCTCAAAGTCCTGACCTCAAATGATCCACCAGCCTCAGTCCCCAAAGTGCTGGGATTACAGGCATGAGCCACTGTGCCCAGCCAATAATAGATAATTTAAGAGTAAATTCAGTTGGAATTTACAAATCTAAACTTAGAAAGTGATAAAATATCTAGTTCAACATGACTGAGCATATGTGCTTAAGTGAAATAATGAAATGCATAATTTTAAAATACATTTATAACAGCTTTGAAAACAAGACATGGTGCCATCAACAGCCCAGAAATTTTAAGAGATTTGGTGGAAATTAGAGAACATCTGTGATTAGATTCACAGAGAAAACAGACATCTGATGATGCTGGTTTGCAGACTACACTTTGTGTAGCAAGAATTACAGACAATATACTTCAACCACAACTCCTGCTTTAGTCAGAGTTCCCATACAAATAGACCCTAAGTCAAAGGTTCAAGAACCAGTGGTTTACTCTCTGGGTGAAGGAAACACCAGTTAGAAAGTGTGGCAGTGGGCTGGGTGCTATGGCTCACACCTTTAATCCCAGCAGTTTGGGAGGCCAAGGCGGGCATACCACTTGGGCTCAGGAGTTCAAGACCAGCCTGGGCAACATGATGAAACCCCATCTCTACTAAAAATGCAAAAATTACCCAGGCGTGGTGGTGAGTGCCTGTAATTCCAGATATTCGGGAGGCTGAGGCATGAGAATCACTTGAACCCGGGAGGTGGAAGTTGCAGTGAGCTGAGATCAAGCCGCTGCACTCCAGCCTGGGTAACAGAGCGAAATCCTGTCTCAAAAAAAAAAAAAAAAAAGGAAAGAAAGTGAGACAGTGAAACAGAGGCAACAAGGCAGCCAATAAACATGTATTATCAAGTCAGTTACCACTGTGGCCACCTGGAACTCAAGGACCCTGGAGGAAACTCTGAGAACCAGTGCTAAGTGTGTGCCTCATAGTCATCCCTCACAGGAGGCAAGGGTACGGGAGTACCATGCACCCATTTCCAACATTAATCTGTTAAATGTTGTTTCCTATACAAAGGTATTAAGAATCTTAAAGCAGCTACTATTGCTATCCCTAATGAAGTAAGGTAAATTTTGCTCACAACAAATGAAAAGAGCAGAGAAAAATACAGCGTAAAAGAACCAAATGGAAATTCTAGAACTAAAATACGTAATATCTAAAATTTACATGTTCAAAATGATTAACAGCCAAGTTGAGGTAATAGAGGAAACAGTAAGTGAACTTGAAGATAGATCAATAGACATTAGGGAAAAAACAAAAAGCAACCAAAAATTACACATTAAACATTATCCAATATAAGAAACACAGAGGAAAAAAAATAGCAAAAAGCTGAATAGAGCCTTAGGTAACTGTTAGATAATATCAACTGGTTTCATATATATGTAAGTGTAGTAACCCCAAGGAAAAAAAGAGAAAAGGAAGCATAAAAAATATTTTTAAAATAATGGCTAAAAATCTGTCAAATTTTATGGAGAATGTAAATTTACAGATTCAAAATGCTCAATGAACACTAAGCAGAATCAACATGAGAAAGGCCATACCGAGGCACATCATAGTTAAACTTTTGAAAACCTAAGATAAAGAGCAAATCTGGAAAGCAGCGAGAAATGACAAATTATATGCAGTGGAACAATGATGACAGTGGACTTATCATCAGAAACTACACAGACCAGGAAAGAGTAAGAAAAGCATCTTTAAAGTACTTAAAGAAAAAACTGCCAGACCAGAATTTTATATCTGGCAAAAAATATCCTTCACAAATAAAGGTAAAATGAAGACTTCTTCGCCAGTAACTCTCACTACAAAACAAAATGCCAAAGGAATTATTTATGCTAAATGAAAATATTACCAGATATAAACAAACATTATTAAAAATAAGTAGAAAGCATTGGAAATGGTAAATATCTGGGTAAATAAAAATACTAAGTTTTTTTGCTTCTTAATTTCTTTATAATACATATGGCTATTAAAAGCAAAAATTGAAGCATTTTCTTGTGGGATTTATAACCTATACAGATATACAACATATAACAAGCCTGGGCAACACAGCAAGACCTCATTTCTACTAAAAATAAGATTAAAAAAAAAAAACAAAACAGGTGTGTGTGGTGGTGCATGCCTATAGTCCCAACTAATCAAGAGGCTGAGGTGGGAGGATCCCTTGAGCCCAGGAGATTGAAGCTGCAGTGAGCTATGATCATGCCACTGCACTCCAGCCTGGACAACAGAGCAAGACACTGTCTCAAAACAAAACAAAACAAAAACAAAAACAAAAACAAACAAACAAAAAACAGTTTGGGCGCAGTGGCTCGTGCCTGTAATCCCAGCACTCTGAGAGGCTGAGGCAGGCAAATTGTTTGAGCTCAGGAGTTCGAGACCAGCCTGGGCAACATGGGGAAACCCTGTCTCTACAAAAAAAAAAAAAAAAAAAACTAGCTGGGTGTGGTGGTTCATGCCTGTAGTCCCAGCTACTCAGGAGGCTGAGATGGGAGGACTGCTTGAGCCTGGGAGGTGGAGGGTGTAATGTGCACTCCAACCTGGGTGACAGAGTGAGACCCCCGTCTCAGAAAAACAAAACAAAACAAACAAAAAACCATGACAGTCATAACATAAAGGAGATGATGGCGATAGGAACCTATACAGTTCCAAGGTTTCTGTATTTTTTCATGAAGTAGAACAAGAGTAACTGTAAGTAAACTGTAAAAAGATAAAAATGTATATTGTAATCCCCAGGCCAACCACTAAGGGCAGAAATTGTAAAAATGAATTAAAAAGCCAGACCCAGTGCTATGGACTGAACTGTGTCACCCCAAATTAGTATATTGAAGCCCTAACTCCCAGTGTAGCTGTATTTGGAGTCAGGAAATAGGATTAAGCGAGATCATTAGAGTGGAACCCTGATCCAATAACACTGGTGTCCTTCAAGAGGAGACACCAGAGAGTTTACTCTTTCTCTCCACTATGTGAGAACACAGGGACAGGCAGCCACCTGCAAGCCAGAAGGGAACCCTCACAAGAAACTGAATTGCTCAGAGCTTTGACCCTGGGCTTCCTGGCCTCCAGAGCTGTGAGAATACAAATTTTCATTGTTTAAGCCATCCAATTTATAGTATTTTGTTATGGCAGCCCCCGAGCTAACTAAGACAACAATTATCTTCTTTCTTTAGAAGACACATTGAGGTTGAAAGTCAATAGACAAGAAAGTGCATACTATTCTAACAGCGAGCAGAGAATAAAGCTGAAGTGACTATAGTAATATCAGATAAAATAGATTTCAAGACAAAAAGTACTACTAGAGATAGAGGAACATTTGATAATAGTAGAAAGAAAAATTCATCAGGAAGACAGTAGTCATAAATATGTATACACCAAATAACAGAGTTTCAAAATACATGAAGTAAAACTTCCCAGAATTAAAGAGAGAAAGACACAATTTTGCAATCATATTTTAAAATGTTAACACTTCTCTCCCTTATCAGCAAGTATATAAAAATCAGACCAAAACAAAAAAACCATCAGCAAACACATAGACAAAACGAGTAACACCATCAACCACTTTGAACAGTCCACCTATCAACTGCAGAACACATTCTTTTCAAGTGCACGAGGTATGTTCACCAGAATAGAATACACACTGTGCCATACAATAAGTCTCAATAAATTTTAAAAGATTAGAATAGACCTGGTGTGGTGGCTCACACCTGTAATTGCAGCACTTTGGGAGGCTGAAGGGGGAAGATTGCTTGAGGTCAGGAGTCCAAGACCAGCCTGACAACATATCAAGACCCCATCTCTATAAAAAGAAAGAAAGAAAAAAGACTAAAATCATATCAGCTATGCTCTCTGGCCACAATGGAATTAATTAGAAATCAATGACCATACAAATAACTAGGAAAAAAACATACATCTGGAAATTAAGCAACATAGTTTTACAGACAGTGTTTACCACCCTGGGCTGGACAATTTCTTGTTGTGGGGAGCTATCCTATGCACTTAGGAAGCTCAGTAGCATCCTTGTCTATTCCTACTAGATGCCAGTTGTACCCTTCTAATTGTGAAAACCAAAAATGTCCCTAGACATTGCCAACTATTCCCTGGGGGACAAATCACCCCAGTTGAGAACCATCATTCTAAGTAATTTATAGATTGAAAAAGTAATCACATTAGAAATTAGAAAATATTTTGAATTGACATTTGTGGAATGTAGCTAAAGCTATGCTTAATGAGAAATATATAGCATTAAACTAAATGCTTATTTTAGAAAAGAAGAAAGACCTAAAATGAATGATTTAAGCTCCCATCCTAAGAAATTAGAGAAAGAAGAGCAAATTAAACCCAAAATAAATTGAAGGAAGAAATAGTAAAAATAAGAGCAGAAATCAATGAAAAGCAAAATTAACAAAGAATAGAGAAAAAAAAGGCTCATCCTTTGAAAGGATCAATAAAACTGGTAAAACTTTAGCAAGGCTAGTCAAGAAAAATAGAGAGAAGACACAAATTACCAAAATGAGAAATGAAAGAGGACACCACTGGATATTTTAAAAATTATAAAAAGAATTTTAAAATATTTTAGGCCAGGCACAGTGGCTCACACCTGTTATTCCAGCACTTTGGGAGGTGAGGCAGGAGGATTGCTTGAGTCCAAAGTTCAAGACCAGCCTGGGCAATATGGTAAGACTCCATCTCTACAATTATTTTTTTTAATTAGATGGGCATGGTGATGCACACCTGTAGTCCCAGCTACTCAGGAGGCTGAGGTGGGAGGATTGTTTGAGCCCAGGAGGTTGAGGTTGCAGTGAGCCATGTTCATGCCTCTGCACTCCAGCCTGGGTGACAGAGCAAGATCCTAGCTCAAAAAAACAAAACAAAACAAAAAACTTCTAGAACTTTATGCCAATATAATTGAAAACTTGAATAAATAGACCAACTTCTTGAAAGACACAAATTTACAAAACTTCCTCAAGAAGAAATAGAAAATTTGAATAGCTTAATATCATATAAACATTTTGACTTCATAATTGAGAACTTTCTCACTGTAAAAATCCTAGGCCCAAATGGTTTTAGAGTAGTCCTCTCTTATCTTTGGGGGATACATTCCAAGACCCCAGAGGGTGCCTAAAACCATAGATAGTACTGAACCCTATATATAGTATGTTTTCTCTATCTGATAATCAAGATGGCTTCTAAGTGACTAACAGTGTATAAAGAGTGGATATGCTGGACAAAGAGCTAATTCACATCCCAGGTGGGATGGAGCGGGATGGCCAGAGATTTCATCATGCTTCTTAAAATAGCATACAATTTAAAACTTATGAATTATTTACCTCTGGAATTTTCCATTTAATATTTTCAGATCATAGTTGGCCATGGGTAACTGAAACCACAGAAAGTGAAACCATGGATAAGCGGGGACTACTGTACTTATGAGTTCTATCAACCATCAGAAGAGAATGGATATCCATTCATCCCCTTCCATATGTAATATAAAAACTATGGGCACCACAAGGGATTTGTGAACATGATGTACAAAAATATGTGGGCTTGAAAAAAAAATCCCCAAAATAAGAAGGGGCTCTGCATATTAACCTGTGTCTTGGGTAGTTGGGTAGCATCATCCTGGATGTGGTACCCATATCTGTACGTTGGCCTCATGCCTTTAACCAATAACCTAATATTTGACCATGTCATGGACCGGAATCTTCAACCCAAGAATCTCAGCCTAAATGCTAAATGCAGTCCTTTTTATTGGTAAGAAATGTTGCAAATCTAGGGAAATATATTTATATGCACATACGTACATATTCATGCACATACATACACATACATATACATAAGTGTGTATTGTATATGTATATATGTGTATGTAAATATATACATTTTTATTTTATGTTAATTACCTTTCTATTGCTTGATTTGGGTAGAATTCTGCCCTTCCCCTTCTCTGCCTGCTTCCCTCCCTGTACCCATGGCTGCGGATCTCCATGCTGCATGATTGGAGTTAATTGTGCACACTCATGCATGCACACACAACATCCAGGTGATAACACTCCCTTCATAATTTGTTTCATTACCTGACCTACCAGTTACTGTCTTATAGCCAATATACTGATCCATTTCATTTTTGTTTGTCTCTACCTGCCAATGTCAGCCAGCCTAACAACATTCTATGTTTCTTATTTTACAGATGAGGTTCCTAGGTTAAGAGAAGCAGTGGCCTTTGCCCAAATCTACCATTCACTAGTAGGCACCGCACCTAGGCCCCTGTGGACTGCATGCTGTATTCTCTCTTCCAACATTCAACCAAGGCTTGTCCTCCTCAGCTATAGACCAAAACCATTTTCCTTCATCAAAACGTGTCTGTCCTAGCTAATTCTGTCAAACACTTTTGTGCTATGAAGCAGAATTAAAACTAATAGTTTAATGAGTAACGTGCATTTTCACATGAGGATGAAATACTAATCCCCAGGGAGTGAGACGGAAGATGATTTGCTGACCACATTACAGGTGTAGGTGTTTGGGGACCGTAGTGGGAGGACAGAAGTTCCAGTCACTCAGGGATAAGCCACCCTGCCGCATCTGAAGAACATGCCTTTAGGCTCCTGGGAGTAACTGATGTTGAAAAGTCCCAGGCTTAGCAGGTCCTCCCCACCTCCTCTCTTCCAGGAAGCTCAGTCCCATAGCCAGACAGCTCTCTGTTACCCAACACCCAGCCTGGGAGCGGCCAGCCACCCAGTTTATGCTGTCGGTGAGCTCATTAGAATGAATGAGATGAGTCAACATTCACACAAAGACCTTCTGGCCTGCAATCTGAGAAGAGGTTTAGGAAGAACAAAGCAAGGGGGAGAAATGTAACCAAGAACTATCTCTTTATTGCTTTTGAGTTGTTTAAGGGGATTTTAAGGGATTAGGGCTAAAGAAATGTTGACTGTAGGGAGAGGAGCAGGGTATCAGTTGAACAGAATAGAGGCCTTTGTGCTGACTAAGAGGAGAAGCAAATGAAAAGAATATCTCAGCAGCCTGGCTGCTCGCAGTGAGAGAGGGCTAGAAGTCAAAGGTGAATAAGAATGCCAGGTTTTCAGCCTATAGGGAGAAGTCAAGGCATAGGGACCTTTAGGGTCCCTGTTGGTTAGGAGTAGTCGGCTGAGGACTACCAGAGTTACCCTGGCCCCTGCCTCCATTCTCCTCCCAGACTTTTTATTTTTTATTTTTTAGATGGAGTCCCACTCTGTCGCCCATGTTGGAGTGCAATGGCACCATCTCAGCTCACTTCAACCTCTGCCTCCTGGGTTCAAGCGATTCTCCTGCCTCAGCCTCCTGAGTAGCTGGGATTACAGGTGCCTGCCACCAAGCCCAGCTGATTTTTGTATTTTTAGTAGAGACGGGGTTTCACCATTTTGGCCAGGCTGGTCTCGAACTCCTGACCTCAGGTGATCCACCTGCCTTGGCCTCCCAAAGTGCTGGGATTACAGACCTGAGCCACCGCGCCTGCCCTTCCTCCCAAATTCTTGACTGAAACCCTAGGAGGAAACTCACCACAAGCACTGAACACAAAGAAGGGCTAAGCCCTGGGAGACATGGAGGCAACGTGCCAGGGGACCCAGGGAACCAAAGGGTCACAAACAACTTCAGTGAGGCATATAAGATACATCTTACAGTATGATAGGCTCCATCCTGTTCCTTTCTTCTCTTTTCTCATTTCCTACTTCCCTGTAGGACTTTCTGTTTCTATCATTGTATCCACCCATGTCTGCCTGTCTTGATCCTCTCCCTCTTTCTCATTCGTGTCTGTCACTCTCTTATCCTCTGGATATGCTCCCCTGCCATAGATACTATGGCTGCAACCCCCCCAACTCCCTCAAATGGATGCATGACCAAGAGGGGATTTCCACTGATGAGAAATTTCCTCACCAGCCCCTTCTCTCTCCCCACCTGCTGCACACCCACAGTCAAAGGCATAAAGAACAGATAAGGGCTCTGGGCAAAGGAATTATTTATGCTCTTCTTTCAAGTAAGCAGCCTCAGAAAGCCCAATAATACTTTCTATTTTTATCCTTCACCAGATGTTACCCTCCCATTCTTCCAGCAATCCTGCCAGGTAGAGTTTACCTTCACTGGAAAAATTCATCATAGCTATGGAGGCGGCACGTTGGAGGAGGGGATGCCTTACTTTTTCCTCCATATAGACCTGTCTGCCTTGGAACTATCCATATTTGTTTCCTTTTTTAAAGCCTGTTCAGGACTTTCCTTATTGCTGGAAGTTCTCTCTCTCTGATTGGTCCTGCCATGATCAATTCTGCCTTCCCTCTGTACCATTCATTCAAAGACATGGGTTGAGGCTCTGGCGCTGCCACTGGGAAGCTGTGTGGGATGGGGATGAGGGCTGCTTACCCTCCTTGACTCTTTTTCTCAACTTTCAGATGATGAGCTGTGAGGGAATTGTTAAGACTGTAACTCTAGTTGGAGTTTCATGTGACTCCTTGGAGGGCAGGGACATTTAAATCACCAGGGAAGCTTAGTAAAGCATCATCCATTCTTATCCAGGATGTGCATCAGAATCACTCATGAAGTTTTTAAAACTTAATTTCACATAAACATTGCTCCATTCCAGAAAATTCTGATGCCACGGTTTTGAGGCAGGGCTTAGAGATTTTTCTTTCTAAATTTACCTGATTATTCCTAATGGATTGACAGACCAAATGACATAGATCTCCTTGCTTGTGTCTCCAATACCAAGTGAAACGGATGTATCTAGTTATTATCTCACTATTAAGTTTACCTGAACAACCACAAGTACCAAAGAGGATAAATCTTGACAGAAAAAAGAAACCCACAGGCTCCCTCTTCTAGGCCCTGATTTTTTACTGGAAACTTGGGTAACGTTTCAAATTGCAACAGCCAGAGCCAAAGACAATCTATACTCAAGCTCAGAGAGTTTAATTTATCCACTCTGACAAAAGCTTTAATAGCAGAAGTCAGGGAGAGCAACAGCCGGATGCATGACATAGGACGTAAGAAAGCTGCTTCTCCGTTTTCTCTGTGTTGTAACTTCTTGCGAACGGATTGGAAGGAATTTGTCAGGTATTGAGGGTCTGTAGTGAGGTGTATGGAGGTGGGTTGGAGAGAGGTTGATTTCCAGGAGTGAAATTTATCTTAAAGAATAGGCTGCAGGTAAGGGTGGGAATGGGTAGGTAGTACATACTCAGTTCATTGTGGCTGAGACTAACATTTGCCAGGCCATGAGATGTCAAGCCTTAGAGTTTTTGTTTTTTGTTTGAGACGGAGTCTCACTCTGTTGCCAGGCTGGAGTGCAGTGGCGCGATCTCGGCTCACTGCAACCTCTGCCTCACGGGTTCAAGTGATTCTCCTGCCTCAGCCTCACAAGTAGCTGGGATTACAGGCACGTGCCACCACGCCCAGCTAATTTTTGTATTTTTAGTAGAGATGGGGTTTCACTGTGCTGGCCAGGCTGGTCTCAAACTCCTGACCTCGTGATCTGCCTGCCTCGGCCTTCCAAAGCGCTGAGATTACAGGCTTGAGCCACCGCTCCCAGCCTGAGCCTTAGAGTTTTGTCTATGCATCTCCGCCTATTTAGGTTCATGCTCCTTTCTATGAAACTCTAGGACTTTCACAAATGCATCAGCCTCAAGAGGAAAGCTGAGGAGAGTGGCAGGGGGTGATTCAGAGGGATGAACAGGGACCTCATTTGATAAGACCTTTAGACTAGGATAAAGCATGTTCACCTTATAATATTTGTGTTAGTAAAGCTTCAGAGGGATTTAATGTGCTCTGATTTATGTTTCTAAAAGAATATCTGGCTGCTGCATAGAGGATACAGTATAGGGGATTGGCAAGAGCAGGAGAAGGGATACCTTTTAGAAGGCATGGGCTGGGCATGGTGGCTCACGCCTGTAATCCCAGCACTTTGGGAAACCAAGGAGGGTAGACCACCTGAGGTCAGGAGTTTGAGATCAGCTTGGCAAACATGGCGAAACCCTGTCTCTACTAAAAATACAAAAAAATTAGCTGGGTATGGTGGCTCATGCCTGTCATCCCAGCTACTAGGGAGGCTGAAGCAGGAAAATAACTTGAACCCAGGAGACAGGTTGCAATGAGCCAAGACCGCACCACTGCACTCCAGCCTGGGCGACAGAGCAAGACTGTCTCAAAAAAAAATGAAAGAAGCCTTTACAGATGTCCAGGCTGGAGAGTCTGGTGGCTTCGACCAGAGTGGTGAGATGTGGAAATATTTTGAGATATTTTTATTAGACTTGCTGATGGATTGGATATGAAGAGTGAGGAAGAAAGAAATCAAGGGTGATTTCTGTGTTTTTATACTTGAGGAACTGCTGGCAGGTATAATTTACTGTAATGAAGAAAACCTAGGGAGGACAGACTTGGGTGGGTGATGTGAACATAGAGAATTATGAGTCCCATTTTGGCCATATTAAATTTGAGATATACTTAACTTGTCAAGTGGAGATATCAAGTAGATAGTACAATATATGTCTGTAATTCTCATCATAGGCCAGGGTAAGAGGTATGAATTTGAGGTCATTAGCATATAAGTAAGGTTTAAAGCTATGAACTACATTATCTGTAGTGACAGTATAGGCAGCAAAGAGATGTAAACTTGGGCTGCAGCTCTGGTTCATGCCAAAATTTCAAACAGACCAAAGCGTCCATATCGGCCAGGGTCCATTTGAGAGAACAAAACCACACTCATTATTTAAATAGATAGAACGTGATATAAAGAACTGTTAACTAGACACACTGTTGTCAATTAGCTTACAAAAAGGGTACAGATACCAACATTAAGTTAGCACAGATATAGCAACTGCAGTAAGCAACTGCCACCTCAAAGACTTAGGGAACCAAAAGAAGACACTGGAATATTGAAAACTTAGAAGCTTAGATAAGGGGCTCCACAGAGCTAAAACTCAGGCCTCTGAGCTGATGTTCCTGCCCTAGTAGGGCTGGTATCTCTGAGGTGGGTACAATGAGGCTTGTTCTTCAAATACTGGACAAAGTGCAAACTAGAGTCAGCTTCTGCCAACAGAAGGAATTGCTGCTGCCGGGATGAAGAAGCCTCCCTGGGATGATGCTCGCAGGCGTCAGAAGAAAACCAGCTCTAGTGCTTTATATTGGTAGAGCCTAACAAGGGAGCCAGTAGGCAAAGCAAAAAATGTAGTTTCCAGATTCCCAATGCTACTATCACAAAGCTGAGTAGAGAAGGAGCTGAGAGACAATAACTTACTCACAGGCACTCTTCTACACATATATGAATATTCATACAACAAAATAATTCTGTGTTTCGTTCCTCACAGCAACTATCCAGATAGACAGATCTTCTCACTACCCCAAAGAAAGAGATGCAAAGCCCAATGGTCACGATATTCTTCTCTGACATATGTTAATTACTTCTCAAATGTATTCAAAATCTCATTTGAATATTCTGTTATCTAAGTACTAAATTGTGAAGTTAGCTTCTAACAAAATTTGTATACAATAGTAAGGGAGGCCGGGCGTGGTGGTTCCTGCTTGTAATCCCAGCACTTTGGGAGACTGAGGTGAGAGGATTGCTTGAGCCTAGGAGTTTGAGACCAGCCTGGATAGCATAATGGGATCCCATCTCTAATAAATAAATGAATGAATGAATGAATGAATAAATAAATAAAAATACTAAAGGAAAGGAGGAGAAAGAAGAGGAAAATAATATGTTACACACACACACCAATGAGAAAGCAAATGCGCACAGCTGTTACAGTCTGAATTCTGCAAATGGTCACAAGGCTGCAGCTGATGTTCACGAACTTCCTTCTTCCACTACCCATCCTGTTTTGTCTTCAGCCAGAACCTCAGCTGATCAGGGTCCTTTACCTGGTAGAATAGCACAGATCTTCATTCTTGAAAGGTCTGAATCTTCAGTGTCTTTGACATTTTTGGTTGCTGAAGTTTTCTATTACCTTTTACTAATGAACATGAAAGTAAAGTCACGTGCCACATAATAACATTTTCGTCAGCAACGGATTGCATATATGACAGAGGTTCCATAAAATTATAATATGGTATTTTTACTCTACTTTATTCTATGGTTAGATATGTCTAGACACACAAATACCCTTGTGTTGCAATTGCCTATGGTATTGAGTACAGTAACTTTTTTTTTTTTTTTGAGACAGAGTCTTGCGCTGTCACCAGGCTGGAGTGCAGTGGTGCGATCTTGGCTCACTGCAACCTCCGACTCCCTGGTTCAAGCGATTCTCCTGCCTCAGCCTCCAGCGTAGTTGGGATTACAGGCACATGCCACCATGCCTGGCAAATTTTTGTATTTTTAGTAGAGACAGGGTTTCACCATGTTGGCCAGGATGGTCTCGATCTCCTGACCTCATGATCTGCCCACCTTGGCCTCCCAAAGTGCTGGGATTATAGGCGTGAGCCACTGCGCCCGGCCGAATACAGTAACATTCTTACAGGTTTGTAGCCCAGGAGCAATAGGCTATACCATATAGCCTGGGTACATAGGTGTATTAGGCTATAACATCTAGGTTGATGTAAGTACACTCTGTTACGTTCACACAAGCATGAAATTGCCTGACAAATTTCTCAGAATGTATCCCCATCTTAAGCAACACACAACCTGTACTTAGAGATACCTCAATGTATCTTTTATGTTCCAAACATTGACCTTCATGTTCCTGTTGTGTAGCCACAATTTAATTCCTTCTTGGTAACCAAGATCAATTACTCTATCTCCACAAAGAAGAGTAATACCCTTCCTTGTCTCTTGGGTCTTTGGTATGAGAAACTCAAAGTGGCCAAACAGTTTCATCTAGGAAACCAGTGGAACTATAGATGTGTCTCCTGGTAGAAGCATTCTTTTAGGGGGAATAAAAATTTCAAAGTCAACAGATCTCAGGCCAGGCATGGTGGCTCACGCCTGTAACCCTAGCACTTTGGGAGACTGAGGCGGGTGGATCACCTGAGGTCAGGAGTTCGAGACCAGCCTGGCAGACGCAGTGAAACCCCGTCTCTACTAAAAATACAAAAATGAGCCAGGCGTGGTGGTGTGTGCCTATAATCCCAGCTACTCGGGAGGCTGAGGCAGGAGAATTGCCTGAACCCGGGAGGCAGAGGTTGCAGTGAGTTGAAATTGTGCCATTGCACTCCAGCCTGGGAGACAAGAACAAAACTCCATCTCAAAAAAAAAAAAAAAGAAAGAAAAAATTGGGAATGAGAAACAAATTCTACAAGTGGGCTGTTAGATGTGATAGTAAGAGGACTCACTCCCATTTCTACCTCTTGATTTTCAGACCCATGTATCCTGGCCATGGGAGTGGTAGAAACATAAATTTATCTCCAATTCAAAGCATATAACTCTTTCTATAATATATAATCCTATCTGTTTTATGTATTTATGTGTAGAAGAGTTTTTTTCTCTCCTTGGTTAACTGGTTATAAGGAGCGCATGAAACCACTAGAGTATACTGATGGAGAGAAGGCAATGCAGCAGAAACTGATGTTGGAAAGAGTCTGGGGATCAAAAGCCTCAAAAGGAAAAGCAGTTTGAAGAGCTGACTAGACTTCCTGCAGAGCCTTTGCTTGCTTTGATCATCATTCAAAATTTATAGCCTTCCATATTACTTGGTAAGTGTGTCTAAATAGCACATTCAAATATGGTAGATGTTATTTGTAACACTCAGAAAAGCCTACAAAGCATTGCGTCTCTTTTATTGTGGTAGGTGGTACATAGTATAGCAACTCATCTTTCACCTCAGGGATAGCCTGATGTGCTCCAGACCATTAGATACCCAGAACCTTCACTGGAGTGACAAGCCCTGAATTTCCATGAGGTTTATTTCCTACTCTCTGATTTGCATAAGTCTTATTAAGGCATCTAAATTAATGCTAATTCTAGTTCACCAGATCAGATCAACATAATGTTAACAAGATTGTAGACCAGTGTGGTATCAAGAGGATCGAGATTGTCTCCAGCATGTATTATGGCACAGAGCAAAACTGGTGAAGCCCTGAGGCAAATTTGTGAAGGTATGCTGTTGGCCCTGTGGGATAGAAGCAAGCTGCTTCTGATGGTCCTTACAAATTGGTATAGAGAGAAAAGTATTTGCTAGGTCAGTAGCTACATGCCAGGTAATAGGAGCTATATTGATTTTTGTTTCTGGTGAAGTTTCTATATATTAAACCACAACTTGGAATAACTGCCTGATAAAGTTTATGATAATGTACAGTCATTCTCCAATATCTATCTGCCTTCTGCATGGGCAAACAGGAAAGTTAGATGTGGCTTCACCACCTCAGCATCTTTTAAGTCTTTGATGGTGGTGATAATCTCTGTAATTCTCTCAGGAATATGGTATTGTTTTTGCGATTACTATCCTGACAGAGTAAGTTCCAGTGGCTTCCATTCGATTCTTCCAACCATCGTGGTCCTTACTCTATGGGTCAGACAGCCAAGATTGGTATTCTTCTAGTTACTAAATGTGTCTATCCAATTTACATTAATTAACTGGGGAAATAACTATACAATTGGTCCATGGACATATTGTACCATCTGTGATTTGAAATTGATTTAAGAGTCCATATGTCACCTGGCCACAATAGCCCTTATTTTATTGGTGGCACTGTGGCATTTTGAGTCTCTAGGAGTCAGCATCAATTTAGAGCTAGCGCCTAGTAATTCCTGAAAGCTCTGGGTAATTCCCTTTTCTTAGTAAGTGAGAAATTCTATTAAATGATTCTTATAATCATTCTAGGAAATGGCAGAAAGTTTTTTGGGAGAAGTCTCCAGTAGGTACTTCAGCGTAATCCAACACACATGATGCCACTGTGTGCCTGGATACTAGCATCCAATTTTCCATTGGCAAGAAATGCAAGGCTGTGACTGAACCAATCCCAGAATACCATCTTTGAGAGTCTGTTTCCTGAGGCCACTTTTGCTACCAATTTCTGTATGTCAGTGACCATCCAGATGACACAATCTGCACCATTACTTAAATAGAAAAAAGATAATGTTAAAAATGCTATGTAGGTGTACATTTGTTAAGTAGGTAACTAGAAGGGTAAATCCTAACGTTAAAGGCATAAAAAATGTAAGAATTACAGAAAGCTCCTATCATTCTCAGGGCTGAATGAGCATAAAAAAGAGGCTGGAAATATTAATGCTTAGAAACTTAGAAGAAAGGCACCAAAGAGCCGAAACTCAAAGCTCTGAAGAGGTACTACCTAGCTGGTGTTGATATCTCTTAGCTCAGAGGAGGGTCCCTGTGAGCACAGGAACTAGACCTTTAAGGAGGGGACACCAGACAGCTGGTGCTGGTGTTTCTGAATGAGATATGATAAAGCTGGTTCTGCAAGTATTAGAAAAACTGCAAACTAGATTTAGCTGCTGCTGTTGTAATAATCCCAACTTCTTCCTTTCATTATTCCTGACTTGGAGTTTTCCCTATTGTATGGATTAAGTAATTTTTGTTTTGTTTTATTTTGTTTTGTTTTGAGACAGGGTCTGGCTCTGCCACCCAGTGCTGGAGTGCTGGAGTGCAGTGGCACGACCATGGCTCACTGCAGTCTCAACCTCCCAGGCTCAAGCGATCCTTTCATCTCAGCCTCCTGAGTAGCTGGGACTACAGGCGCATGCCACCACACCCAACTATGTTTGTATTTTTTGTAGATACAGGGTTTCACCATGTTGCCCAGGCTGGTCTCAAACCCTGGGCTCAAGTGATGCACCCACCTCTGCCTCCCAAAGTGCTAGGATTACAGGCATGAGGCACCACACCCAGCCAGATTAAATAATTTTCTAGTAGGCTCTTCATCTGTTTCATTCCTGGGGATACTGTGATCAATCAGCCACTAACAAAAAGGAGTCAAAATACCTTGATGCTTGCTCTACTACTGTTTCCCATTGCTATAAATGTGCCTACCTTATCTCTGGTAGTTAAAGTCTGCCACTTGGTATCTACTATACCCAAATCTCATCATCTTACTGAAATCTCAACTGTGCAAGTTCTATTGTCATACATACCATAAAGTTTTAAACACCGGTGTTCCCCTCATGCATATCTTTCTTAATTTCTTGGTGAAAATTGTGTCCCCTGGCTTTCTAGGGTGATGCAGTAAAAGAGGGAGATATCAACACTCTCGTCCTCTTTGTATTCCTTTTTTTTTTTTTGGCATTATGTCATCATAGATGCTGTAGCATCTCAAACTCATAAAATTATTGTTGAGTCCAAAATTCAATGAACTAAGTAAACTGTTAGAGCCACTTTCAGCTACTTAAGTAGACAGATAAAATACAGAATCTCGGGTAAGAGTACTCATATCAAATTTAGCCTGATATAAATTTGCAATCTATCCCTTGGAATAATTCCCACATATATTCTTCATGTTACTGTCAATTTATATTTGCAAAATATTGCAGTTTTTTGGAATTATAGCTTATAAGTCAAACTTCATGTTTGTCCCCTAGAGCATTAAGAGATATGACCCTTATTATAGGTAGAAGAAACAAAGGATAGTTGGGATGTGTCATGATATTGTTACAGTGTCTTCAAGCAATGATAAGTGATTCTCCTCAGATATGAGAGTGCAGGTTATATCAACTGGTAAACAGAAGATCAGAATGGCTTAGAGGTTCAAGATTCTCAGCTTCATCTCTACCAAGATATCCCCCTTCCAAGTCTCAGGGTCCTCCTACTTTCCAACCAATGCCCTGATATTCATGCAAGAGATTGGATAAGGCTGTAGTTTATAGTTACATAATAATTCTTCAAACTGCACTATTCAATTTTGCATCAGTTTTCATGGAAGTTAGTCCTGTGACTATAAGAAATGAGATTCCTTTTTAAAATGTATTGTTATTCACATGATTGTCAGTGTGCAAGAAATGAGATTCCTTAAGGCTGCCATAGAAACTTTCTGGTTGTGTCACTATAACTTGATCTGGGAGTTCATAGCCCTAAACCTGTTATTTTCTTTCTATAAGCATTCCAATATACTCTGAAGCAACCATCCTACTCCATAGTCTTTGTAGCCATTATTACCATCATAAATGTCAAGTACTGTAATTGTTAGTAAGCACTGACAACAAACACAGATGATAGTTGGATTATTTGCATTACCACTACACGCTGTGAATTACCTTCTTCCCATTTCTCACTGGCAAGGACCTCAGCACTGCATTCAAGTTCAAGAACAGGACCCAAACAATATCGTATCTTTGAAAGTTTGCTTTCTGGGACCATTCCTGGAAACAGAAACCATACCAGTTATTTTGGCAGGGAGAATTTAATATAAAGAATTGCTAACCAAGTATTGGAGAACTGAAAAGGCAAAAAGGACACACTGAGGTATCATGAAAGTAGTAGCTCCAGAGAACTACAGACCACTGCTCAGCGAAATAAAAGAGGACACAAACAAATGGAAGAACATTCCATGCTCATAGATAGGAAGAATCAATATCGTGAAAATGGCCATACTGCCCAAGGTAATTTATAGATTCAATGCCATCCCCATCAAGCTACCAATGATTTTCTTCACAGAATTGGAAAAAAACTACTTTAAAGTTCATATGGAACAAAAAAAGAGCCCACATTGCCAAAAGAACAAAGCTGGAGGCATCATGCTACCTGACTTCAAACTATACTACAAGGCTACAGTAAACAAAACAGCATGGTACTGGTACTAAAACAGAGATATAGACCAATGGAACAGAACAGAGCCCTCAGAAATAATACCACACATCTACAACCATCTGATCTTTGACAAACCTGACAAAAACAAGAAATGGGGAAAGGATTCCCTATTTAATAAATTGTGCTGGGAAAACTGGCTAGCCAAATGTAAAAGCTGAAACTGGATCCCTTCCTTATAACTTATACAAAAATTAATTCAAGATAGATTAAAGACTTAAATGTTAGACCTAAAACCATAAAAACCCTAGAAGAAAACCTAGGCCATACCATTCAGGACATAGGCATGGGCAAGGACTTGATGACTAAAACACCAAAAGCAATGGCAACAAAAGCCAAAATAGACAAACAGCATCTAATTAAACTAAAGAGCTTCTGCACAACAAAAGAAACTACCATCAGAGTGAACAGGCAACCTACAGAATGGGAGAAAATTTTTGCAAGCTACCCATCTGACAAAGGGCTAATATCCAGAATCTACAAAGAACTTAAACAAATTTACAAGAAAAAATCAAACAACCCCATCAAAAAGTGGGCAAAGGATATGAACAGACACTTCTCAAAAGAAGACATTTATGCAGCCAACAGACACATGAAAAAATGCTCATCATCACTGGCCATCAGAGAAATGCAAATCAAAACCACAATGAGATACCATCTCACACCAGTTAGAATGGCGATCATTAAAAAGTCAGGAAACAACAGGTGCTGGAGAGGATGTGGAGAAATAGGAACACTTTTACACTGTTGGTGGGACTGTAAACTAGTTCAACCATTGTGGAAGACAGTGTGGCGATTCCTCAAGGATCTAGAACTAGAAATACCATTTGACCAAGCCATCCCATTACTGGGTATACACCCAAAGGATTACAAATCATGCTGCTGTAAAGACACATGTACATGTATGTTTATTGCGGCACTATTCACAATAGCAAAGACTTGGAACCAACTCAAATGTCCATCAATGATAGACTGCATAAAGAAAATGTGGCACATATACACCATGGAATACTATGCAGCCATAAAAAAGGATGAGTTCGTGTCCTTTGTAGGGACATGGATGAAGCTGGAAACCATCATTCTGAGCAAACTATCGCAAGGACAGAAAACCAAACACCGCATGTTCTCACTTATAGGTGGGAATGAACAATAAGAACACTTGGACACAGGGTAGGGAACATCATGCACCGGGGCCTGTTGTGGGGTGGCGGGAGCGGGGAGGGATAGCATTAGGAGATATACCTAATGTAAATGACGAGTTAATGGGTGCAGCACACCAACATGGCACATGTATACTTACGTAACAAACCTGCATGTTGTGCACATGTACCCTAGAACTTAAAGTATAATAATAAAAGAAAAAAAAAAAAGAAAGTAATAGCTCCAGAAAGCAGCAACCACCTAGGAATGGGATAATTAAAGGAAGAGTATTAGTACTGGGATGTGCAAATTTGAAGAAGAGTTCTATAGAGCTGGCACCAAGATGTCTGAGAAAGAAGGATTGCTGTTCTGGTGCTGGTGCCTCAAGACCTCAGAGAAGGAACCACGAGGGGCTGAGACTCAGATTTCTGAAGACGATGCATCCATCACCTGGGACTTGCTGGTGTCACTTCATGGGCACAATGAAGCTGATTCTGAGAATATGGGGGAAAATGAAACTGAAAACCAACCACTGCCACTGGAACCAACTGTGAGAAAATGCTGTCGTGATGACGCTGACAGGAAAAAGGAGCAAACAGGAAGGAGCAGATCCCTTCCCTTCCTTCAGCCTCCCAGCCTCCCACTGGCACCCCTCTGGGCAAAGTCTAATGGAGAGCCAGCTGGCAAAGCAGACATGTGGTGTGCAAGGTCTCAGGCCCAGCTCCCAGAGCAGAGTATAGACAGGTGCATTGAAAATGAGCAACAGCAGCTAAATAAATGGGAACACAGGAGACCCAATATAGGAAACTTGGGAAAGCATTTCTGAAATGACAGTGAAGGGAAGCTCCAAGGTAACAGTGCAGTCTCTGTTTACCCATTCTTCTGATTTTGAACCCCAGAAGTTTAAGAACATAGTTTACAAAGACGAAATATCCTTTGAGCAGCAGGGAAGTGGGAGAAGACAAGTGGGCAAAGGCAAAAGTTTCTTCAGCTGCTGGAGGGATGGAAAAAGAGACAAATTGTTAACATGTAAGTTGTTTTCATTCTTATGACACATGCAAAGCACTTCTCACAATGCTTGGCATGTAGCAAGTACTCGACAAACATAAAATACTATTTATTACTATAAGTAGTAAATAGTAGAAGTTATAGAAAAGTACCTGGTACCAGACAGGCTCCCAGTAAATGAAGATTATTCCTACTGTTCGTATCTGTATATGACAGAGCATAAAACTTTAGAAAAAAGAGCCCACCAAAAGGATTTATACAGCCATAAAAAGGAATGAAATCATGTCCTTTACAGCAATGTGGATGCAGTTGGAGGGTGTTATCCTAAGCGAACTAATGCAGAAACAGAAAACCAAATATCGATGGGTGCAGTGGCTCATGGCTGTAATCCCAACACTTTGAGAAGCTGCAGCAGGATTGCTTGAGCCCAGGAGTTCAAGACCAGACTGGGCAACATAGTGAGTGAGACCTTGTATCTAAAAATAAATAAATAAAATCTAAAAAAGGAAAAAAAAAAACAGGTATTGTGTGTTCTCACTTAAAAGTGGAAGCTAAATCTTGGGTTCACGTGGACATAAAGATGGGAACAATAGATACTGAGGACTCCAAAGGGAGGGGGGAAAGGGCTGAAAAACTTCCTATTAGGTACTATGTTCACTCTCTGGCTGATGAGATTGATAGAAGCCCAAACTTCAGCACCACGAAATATATCTTTCTTTTTTCTTTGAAACAGGGTTTCACTCTGTCACCGTGGCTGGAGTGCAGTGGCATGTTCACAGCTCACCGCAACCTCAACCTCCTAGGCTCAAACAATCCTCCCACCTCAGACTCCCAAGTAGTTGGGATCACAGGCATGCACCATCACACCTGGCTAATTTTTTAATTTTTTGTAAAGATGGGGGTCTCACTTGGTTGCCCAGGCTGGTCTTGAACTCCTGGCCTCAAGCAATCCTCCTGCCTCAGCCTCCCAAAGTGCTAGGATTACAGGCATGAGCTACTGCACCTAGCCAATATATCCTTGTAACAAACCTGCACATGTACTACCTGGATCTAAAATATAAATTGAAATTTTAAAAATATATATTTAGTAGAATCTTTGGATGTGTCAATCTGAAGAACCCCAGATCCATCCACTTTTATCCTTCCTTTAGCCATGAACTTGCATTGTGGTAGGCAGAATAATGATCCCAAAAGATGTTCACATCCTAATCTCTGGAATCTGTAAGTCATTTTACATAGCAAAAGGGACATTGCAGATGTGATTAAGGATCCTGAGAGGGGGAAGGTATCTTGGATTATCCAGGTGGGCCCAACTGATTACATGAGTCCTTCAAAATGGAGAGCCCTCCCAGGCTGTGATCAGAGGCACATGTGATAACTAAAGAGCCAGAGATATGGCAGTGTGAGAAGGACTTAACCTGCCACTGCCAGCTTGGAAGACATAAGAAGGAGCCATGAACCAAGAAATGCAGACAGTCTTCAGGAGCTGAAAGTCAAGGAAATGAAAATCGATTGTCCCAAAGAGCTCCAGAGAGGGATGCAGCCCTGATGACAGCTAGACCCTGCCTGATGACACCTGTGTTGGAATTTCAACCTACAGAACTGTACGATAATAAACTTGTGTTGTTTGAAGCCACTAAGTATGTCAGAAGTTTAACAATAGAAAACTAATGCAAGCATTGTAGTTCCCTTTGCTCTCTTCCTGGCTACACTTGGGGATAAGTCCCTAATCTCAGCACTGAGCACTCAGTGCTCTGATGTCCCTATACCCTGGGAATCAATTTTGGAATTAAGCAAATGGTTACTTTTTTCCCATGTCCCCAGCAGTGGGAGAGAGTCCCAGCTGAGCAGGCAAACAGGGACTCAAAGGGCTCATCACCAGGCCTTGTGATGACCTCAAAGGGATGAGCATGCTTTTCTTTTTTTGAAATGGAGTCTTGCTCTGTCGCCCAGGCCAGAGTGCAGTGGCACAATCTTGGCTCAGCGCAATCTCCACCTGCCGGGTTCAGGCGATTCTCCTGCCTCAGCCTCCTGAGTAGCTGGAATTACCGGCACCTGCCACCATGCCCGGCTAATTTTTATATTTTTAGTAGAGTTGGAGTTTCACCTTGTTGGCCAGGCTAGTCTCGAACTCCTGATCTCAAGTGATCTGCCCAACTCGGCCTCCCAAAGTGCTGGGATTACAGGCGTGAGCCACCATGCCCGGCCAAGCATGCTTTTCAACAACAGTGTCTCCTCAGCTCACCTGAGCTCCATTTCCTTCCTGGGAACATCTGGGCATTGATCCCCCTTGTTCTGCACCACAGTGACAAAACATCTACCTTTAATTTATTAAAGTGAGACTCCTCCTTGCTGTGGCCTACAAGGCCTGTAAAGTCTGGTCTGCCTCACCAAGTTTCCTTCTGACCTCTCCTCACCTCATCGTTATGCTCGAATCTCAGCAACTCCCTCCTGTATATTTTCCGGATGACTCTCATGATTTCCCACTGCAGGGCCTTTGCACCTATCATCCCTCTGCCTGGAACAATCTCCCTGTTCTTCATGGGTGGCTGCTTCTCATTCTTTACATCCCAGCTCAAACGTCACCGCCACAGATCCCCTTTTCCCCAAGATGTTCTCTGTTAGGTCGCTGTTCATTCGCTTCACAGCACTTATTACAATTAGAAGGGAATTCACTTTGTGTTTATTCACTTGCCTTCTGTCCCCCTTGGAATGTAAGTTCCATGAGATCAGGGGCCCTGTCTGGCTTGTTGGCTGCTCTTTTCTCAATGCCTGGAAGAGTGCCTGGCAGATCACTGACATGCAATAAATGCCCGTGAAGGAGAGGAAGCCAGAGAAAATAGCCTGGCTATGTCCCCGGTTCCAGGGTCCCTAACATCATCCAGGCTTTACCCCAGGCCTGTCATATTCCAGGTCATAATTGAATGCCTCCCTTGGCTTCTGAAACTACTTCTTGGTGTTGTTTCTTGGCTTTGCCCTTGAACTCTTAGTAGAGCAGGCAGAATCTGGTTCTGCTGACGCTTCGATAATGACCCTGTTGCGTGAGTCTGGACCCAGGAGCATCATTGCTTGTGGACAGGGTCCTGTTCTGACTTTCAGCAGAGTGCTGAGTAGGCTGCCAGTTTTGGAGTCAGAGAACTGTGTTATGAATCAAGGCTGTGCCACTTATCTTGTGTCTTAGTCTTCTCAGGCTGTCATAACAGAATGCCACAGACTGGTGGCTTAAACAACAGAAATTCATTTTCTCACAGTTCTGGAAGACAGAAGTCCAAGATCAAGGTGCCATCAGGGTTAGTTTCTAGTGAGGTCTCTCTTCCTGGCTTGCAGACAGCCACCTTCTCCCTGTGTCCTCACATGGTGTAGAAAGAACGAGCTCTGGTGTCTCTCTCTTCTTACAAGGACACTAGTCCCATTGGACTAGGACCCCTCCCTAATGCCTTCATTTAACTTTAATGACCTCCCTAAAGGCCCTATCTCCAAATAGTCACAGTGGGAGTTAGAGCCTCAACATACGAATTTTGGGACACAATTCAGTCCATAAAATCTTGTGACTAATGCCCACTGTGCTTTGGTGGTCTTGCCTGTAAATTAAGGATGGTAACTCACTCCTCTTCATAGTTACTGAGAGCATAAATAGGGCCAAGAAACTTTATGTGTTCTGATTATTCGATACTGTACAGCAAGCTACCCAAAAACCTAAAAACCTAGTGAATTAAAACAGCATTTTATTTTTATTTAATTTTTTTTTAGACAGAGTCTCACTCTGTCACCCAGGCTGGTGTGCAGTGGCACAATCTCGGCTCACTGCAACCTCTGCCTCCTGGGTTCAAGTGATTCTCCTGACTCAGCCACCCAAGTAACTGGGATTACAGGTGCACACTACCACATTTGGCTAATTTTTGTATTTTTAGTAGAGATGGGGTTTTGCCATGTTACCCAGACTGGTCTCAAACTCTTGACCTCAAGTGATCCACCTGCATCAGCCTCCCAAAGTGTTGAGATTACAGGTGTGAGGCACCACGACTGGCCCTAAAACAGCATTTTTGTTCATGAGTCTGTGGTCTGGGCAGGGATTGGCAGGGACAGGTCATCTCTGCTCCATTTAGCATCATCTGGAGGGGTTGGGGGCTGGAGTCCTCTGAAGCTCACTCTCTCCCATGTTTGACACCGAAGCTGAGAACATTTGAACATCTCAGGACTGGAACAACTGGAGTTCAATGTCTCTCTCTCTCTCTCTCACCCCATCTCACCTCTTCTCTCCCCGTCTCTCGTTTCTGTTTCTCTCTCTCTCTCTCTACCCCCCACCCCTCACCCCGTCTCTCTCCGTCTCTCTTGTTTCTGTAGAAAATGGCCTCAGGATAGCCAGACTTCTTAAACTTCAATACACACATCTCAAGAGAGAAAACCAGGTGGAAGCGATACCTATCACCTTTAAGACCAAGCCTTGGAAGTCAGGGATCATCACTACCCTGCATTCTATCAGCTGAGGCGGTCACAAAGGCCTGCCCGGGTTCAAGGGGAGGGGAAATAGTCTCCACCTCTTTATGGGGGAGAGATAAGGCACGTGAGACTGAAAATACTGTTGGAGCAATTTCTGGAAAACACAATGTGCTACAGGAGTCAAAATGTGACTTGTTTTGGACTCAGTGTCCAGATTGTAACCCCGGCCCTTGGTGGGCTTTCTGTTCCTCATGAGAGCAGTGAAGTCTCATAGCTGTCCCCGACCACCTGCCTGGCTGGGCCCAAAAGACATAGGGAAAGGTTTCTAGCTCTAGAACCAGTGATCTCACGTCTGTTTGCCTTCTTGGAGTTCCTGTGGTTTGTCACACTGCTGTTCATTCAGAAGGCTTTGAGGGATAAGAAACATCTAGGATCGTTTTCTAGCTACAGTTTCTCATTCCCCTGTCTCTGGTCAACATGGATATCCCATCTGAAAGATGTGGGCCTGTCTGTGTTGGCCTAAGGGCTGGAACTGTAGCCCAGGACTTTCCACACCCTCAGCGGGAGTCCTGTGCTCAGCCACGAGCAAATCTCTCCTTCCCCTGCTTTAGCCAGGGGACCCTCCTGAGCCCCCATGCTCAACTCCATCATCACCAGCCAGCTCGCCATATCTTGCACAGGGTCCTCTGCCTCAAACAAATGCCCTTTTAATGAGAGACCTAGTGGCTCCTGTGGCCATGCCGTCTCCTCCCCTTCTTCCTTCTCTTGCTTTCCTCTCTTCCTCACTCACTTTCTCATTCTGCACCAGGCCTTGTTCAAGAATGGAGCCTTACCGTGCAGCCATAAAAAAGAATGAAGTCGTGTCCTTTGCAGCAACATGGATGCAGCTGGAGGCCATTATTCTAAGCGAATTAATGCAGGAACAGAAAATCAAATACTGCGTGTTCTCCCTTATAAGTGGGAGCTAAACGTTACACACGGATGCAAAGATGGGAACAACAAACACTGGGAACTACTGGTGGGGGGAGGGAGGAGGGTAAGTGTTGAAAAGCTGTTGGGTACTATGCTCAGTACCTGGGTGGTGGGCTCATGCATGCCTCATACCTCAGCATCATGCAATATATAACCAGGTAACAAACTCACACATGTACCCCCTAAATCTAAAATAAAAGTTAGAAAAGAAAAAAAAAAGGCCAGGCGCGGTGGCTCACACCAGTAATCCCAGCACAGCACTTTGGAAGGCTGAGGCAGGTGGATCATGAGAGCAGCCTGGCCAACTTGGTGAAACCCTGTCTCTACTAAAAATACAAAAATTAGGTGGGCGTGGTGGCGGACGCCTGTAGTCCCAGCTACTCGGGAGGCTGAGGCAGGAGAATCGCTTGAACCCCGGAGGCAGAGGTCGCAGTGAGCCAAGATCATGCCACTGCACTCCAGTCTAGGCAACAGAGCAAGACTCCGTCTCAAAAAAAAAAAAAAAGAAAGAAAAAAACGGAATGCAGCCTTGAGTCTTTCTGTTCTAGCTGCAGAGGGATCCACCGGAAGTGAGATACAACCTCCCCATTCTAGGAGAGGTGGTGGCCTGGGGCCATAGGGGCCGCCACCCGCTCTGGTTCCCTTTCTCCTGGGGCTCTGCTTGAACTGTGACTGGCTCTGGGTCCCTGAGCACTGTCTCTCACCTCTGCCTGCCCTGACTCAGAAGAAAACCCGCTTTGGGCCAGGCGCGGTGACTCACGCCTGTAATCCCAGCACTTTGGGAGGCCAAGGCCGGTGGATCACGAGGTCAGGAGTTGGGCCAACATGGTGAACCCCTCCTCTACTAAAACCACAAAAATTAGCCGGGCGCGGTGGCAGGCGCCTTGTAATCCCAGCTACTCGGGAGGCTGAGGCAGGAGAATCGCTTGAACCCGGTGGGCGGAGGTGGCAGTGAGCCGAGATCCCACCACTGCACTCCAGCCTGGGCGACAGAGTGAGACTCCATCTCAAAACAACAACAACAACCCGCTTTGTCCTTGAACTTTTTGAAAGGATCTCTGCAGATTTAAAGGAAAGCAACTGCTAGAAGGATAGCCTGAACAACTTTATGTAATTGATGTGTTTCCCTCCTACTTTGGCCACCTTCTGGCTGAAGGTAGGCACGTGCAGGGGCTGATGAGACCAGGGTGAAGGGAAGGAGGTCCTCGCCTCCCTCCTCTCTTGAGTGACACCTGATGGACTTCTCCTTGCAGATGGGGTGGGGCCGCCTTCTGGAGGACTAGGCCAGGTTCAAAGAATACAATATTTCCGATGACCACCTTAGAGTGCCTTTCAGGTGGAGTTTCCCAACTATTGATTTGTGCGCAGTACTAACCTGATAATGTCAAGCAAGGCTAAGCTATGAAATAATTTTACAGAACAGGCTAGAAAAGGTAAACAGATACGAATGCTGCTCTGCCACCCATCGCTGGAAAGCCGACTTTCCTGGGCTTCAGTTTCCTCACCTGTCAGGTGAAGCACTGGGAAGCAAGAAAAAGGACAAGCCAGACTCAGGCTGGCAGGACAAAGGGCCCCGCCGCATGCGCTGGACGCCCCGTTCCCGACCTGAAATCCCTTCAGGAAACTGTCATCGAACTATTTCTTTCCCGAAAGCTTTGCTTCCAGTGGGTCTGGGGAGGAGGAGGGGTGGGAACTGCAGGTGGAGAGGGAGTGGGGGAGGGAAGTTCATAAACAGGCTGGCGCCACCCCTCCCCTCCCCCGGTGGCCGCCCCACTTGGAGGTCTGGGTGGGGTGCTCCTCCCGAGGGCACAGGCTGCCAAACTCCCACCCACTGCCGCCGGCGAAGCCCCCAGGAGACCACAGAGCAGAAGGAATTCAAAGGAGCCTTCTCAGGTACAGGTGTGTGCATTCCAGGCCTGCCAGCCGCCTCCCCCGCCGCCTTCCCGGGCCGTTTGTCCGAAGGCATTATGCAAAATAAAGCCGCCTTGTTTCCCGCGCCTGGTAACCCCGGGCTTCCCGGAGGCTTTCTTGGTGAGAGGGAGGATCCCAGAGCGGCGACCCGGCTGAATCACCGCGAGCCGCGAGCCTTCTTCCTGCCACTTGTTCTGGCCCACCTGAGAATTCGCAGTGGGGAGCAGAGGAAGATCAGACCCAGCTTCTACCTCAGCAAGTGTGGCCCCATAACGCCTGGGCAGCCTCTAGCCAGGAGACCGCGCCTCAAACACCTAGCACTGCGCGGGAGGAGATGGACCTGCGCCACGGCGGCGCCGGCTGGGGGATTGGAATTCAGGCCGCGAACCAACTTGCAGGAAGAGGAGTTCCATGTTGGACCTCTAGGTGGCGCGATTCTTCCCGGGGACGCGTGGGTGAAACCCTGGCTGGGCCTGCGGCTGTGGCATAGTGAGGCGTGGGAAGGGTACAGGGCACAGAGTGGCGCCACTTTTCCAAGTTAATCAAGTCCCACAAGAGCTAAAAGGCAGCCCAGAGACGATAGGTCCCCGAACTGGATTTCAGCATCTGGAGAGGCATAACAGTGGGGCAGAAAAGCCAGGGTCCTAGATCTGGTTCCAGCATGTCCCCTACTGGTGGGCTCCCTTGTCTACTCATTGATTTCCTAGTGCACCCCCGCCCTCTCTCTTCTCTGTCGGTACCAAACTGCTGAACAGGGAACACCTGGATGAATAAGAGAGCATCACTCCTCCCTCTTCCACAGAGAACACCTCCAGCTTGACTCATGGCCTAGAGAAGAAACGTGTGTTGTTTTGAGTTTTCTTGGGGAAAGCAGTTTTATAAGCAGATAATTACAATGCAGTATGATACGGTTATAATAAAAGGCATGTACCAAGTTTTCTGGAAGTTCAAGGAGAGGGAAATTAACTCTTCCTGGGACGTTAAACGAGGTTTCACAGAGGAACTGGGTCCTGATGAAGAGTAGGCGTTTGAACGACAGGAATGATAGAAATTCAGACAATAACTTCAGAATCAAAGACCTTGAAGCAAGAAAGTGCAGACAATAATTGAAGAATGGTATTACTATTTTCAGAAGATGTGAAGATCTACACTGAGAACACAAAAAGAATCATCTGAAAAAGTATTAGAGCTAATTAGACCTGATTACAAAATAACCGGAAAAAAATCGTTTGAATTTTTTTTTTATTCTAGAAGTAAGCAATGAGCAAAAAGGTTTTCCTTTTGGTAACAATAGCAACAACAAGCAAAAGAGCAAGAAATAAAGGTGCAGAATGTAGATGAACAAAATTTCAGCTTTTTTTTTTTTTTTTTTGAGATGGAGTCTCGCTCTGTCGCCCAGGCTGGAGTGCAGTGGAGCAATCTCGGCTCACTACAATCTCCGCCTCACGGGTTCACGACATTCTCCTGCCTCAGCCTCCTGAGTAGCTGGGACTACAGGCGCCCGCCACCACGCCCGGCTAATTTTTTATATTTTTTAGTAGAGACGGGGTTTCACCGTGTTAGCCAGGATAGTCTCGATCTCCTGACCTCGTGATCCACCTGCCTCCGCTTCCCAAAGTGCTGGGATTATAGGCATGAGCCACCGCGCCTGGCCCCAGCACTTTGTATTTTTTTAGCCATTTTGTTCTGTCACCCAGGCCGGAGTGCAGTGGCATGATAGCTCAATTATTGCTCATGGCAGTCTTGAACTCCTGGGCTCAAACAATCCTCCTGCCTCAACTTCCCGAGCAAACAAGAACGACAGGGGCATGCCACCACTCCTGTCAATTAAAAAAAAAAAAATCTTTATAGAGATGGGGTCCCACTCTGCTGCCTAGGCTAAAACTTCAGCACTTTCTGAAGGACACTTACAACTCTAAATGGAAAGACACAAATATACATAAAACTTTAGTGTGTAATAAGGGGAGGCACTTTCAAATCAACATGCTATGCATCTATTCCCTAAAAAGAATAGAGAGAGAACTGGATAATCATTTGGAATAATTATAAAATAAGATCCCATCACACTCCAAAATCGGTTCCAAAAAGATTCTAGTATTTCTCACCCCTTGCTTGTGACTTTAAATCTTCTTGCCAGAGTTCTCATGAGCCAGGCCTTGCGTCTGTAGGTAAAGGCCTCATAAATGACGGAAACCCATGGACACTGACTCTGGCAAACCCAGACTCTGCCTGAGTTCATGAGTAAGGAAAATGAGGAGAAAGTATTTGCCTTCTTTGAGGAGTCAGGCTGTTATATCCTGACACAGAAGCCTAGAATACCAGAGGTTAAAACCAGCAGATGACATTCTGCCAGATTGCTGAGGAGAGAACTTTGTACCACAGAGATCATAGTACTGTATTTCACATATATTGTCTTTCTCTGTTATGGGTTGAGTTGCATGCCCCAAAAAGATATGTTGAAGTCCTAACCCCCAATACTTCATTCAGAAGGTAACTTTAGCCAGGCGCAGTGGCTCATGCCTATAATCCTAGCACTTTGGGAGGCCGAGGCGGGCAGATCACCTGAGGTCAGGAGTTCGAGACCAGCCTGGCCAACATGATGAAACCCCGTATCTACTAAAAATACAAAAGTTAGCCAGGCGTGGTGGCAGGCGCCTGTAATCCCAGCTACTTGGGAGGCTGAGGCAGGAGAATCAGTTGAACCCAGGAGGTGGAAGTTGCAGTGAGCCAGGATCTCACCACTGCACTCCAGCCTGGGTGACAGAGCCAGACTCCATCTCAAAAAAGAAAAGAAAAGAAAAGAAAAGATGGTAAGTTCATTTAGAAATAGAATCATTACAGATGTAATTAGTTAAGCTAAAATGAGGTCATACTCAATTACACTGGGTCCTTAATTCAATATGACTGTTGTCTGTATAAGAAGCACACAAGGGGCCGGGCGTGGTGGCTCCCAGCTCTTTGCGAGGCCGAGGCGGGTGGATCAAGAGGTCAGGAGATCAAGACCATCCTGGCTAACATGGTGAAACCCCATCTCTACTAAAAAAATACAAAGAAATTAGCGGGGCATGGTAGCGGGCGCCTGTAGTCCCAGCTACTCGGGAGGCTGGGACAGGAGACTGGAGTGAACCCGGGAGGTGGAGCTTGCAGTGAGCCGAGATCATGCCACTGCACTCCAGCCTGGGCAACAGAGCGAGACTCCATATCAAAAACAAAAGAAGCAGCACACAAGGGGCCGGGCACAGTGACTCACTGGCTCACGCCTATAATCCCAGCACTTTGGGAGGCTGAGGCAGGCGGATCATCTGAGGTCAGGAGTTCAAGACAAGCCTGACCAACATGGAGAAACCCCGTGCCTACTAAAAATACAAAATTAGCCGAGCATGGTGGCACATGCCTGTAATCCCAGCTACTTGGGAGGCTGAGGTAGGAGAATCGCTGGAACCTGGGAGGCGGAGGTTGCAGTGAGCCCAGATGGTGCCATTGCACTCCAGCCTGGGCAACAAGAGCGAAACCCCATCTGAAAAGAAAAAAAAAAAATGCACACAAGGAGAAGCCATGTGTAGATGGAAGCACAGATTGGAATGATGCACCTACAAGCCAAGGAATGCCAAGGGCTGCCAGCAACACCAGTAGCTAGGAAAGGGCCATGGAACAGATTCTCCCTGGGAGCCCTCCGAAGGAGCCAACCCTGCCAACACCTTGATTCTGGACTTTGAACCTCCAAAACTGTGTGAGAAGAACTTTCTCCTGTTTTAAGTCCTCCAATTTGTGGTACTTTGCTGCAGCAACCCTGGGAAACCAATGCATTCTCTAAAAAAAGAGAAATACAGTTCATGCATTATTTGAGTGAGTTCTTTTAAAGTCTACTAACCACCAAGTAAATGATATTTAATGGAGTCATTCTACTTGTATTTTTAATAAAGTGATGCTGGTAACATAAGTGTGCAAGGCTATTGGCAGGCATATGAGAGGGCTGAGCCCCCCTCTCCCCAGCCCCAACCTGTACCCTGGCTTTCCCTCAGAAGACCAAAAGGCAAGTTGGCTGCCTTCCCAGGCAGCTGCCCCCCAAGGGAAAGCCACCCAAGCTTCCTGCGTTAGTTTGGGGATGCAGTTACCTGCTGAGGAAAATGCCTCCCAAACAGCACAAGAAAAGGAAGGTGGGACATTGAGTAAAGGAGTCTGAGGGTGTGGTATTTGCCACCCAGACCAGCCATTTGCTTTAAGTCTTAATAAATGTACAGGGTAATCTCATCTATTAAGCATGGACCCAAGCTTGTGGGCAGTTTAGGTTTTCCATCCACAGTGTCCTAAATGATACAATGAGAATAACCTCTTGCTGTTGAAGAGAGTGGGGAAGGTCCTCTGTACATCCTGGAACCTTTATAAAGATAAGAGAGGCTGCCTACGGAAATCACACCAAAGATTTCAACTGCAGTGGGAATCTCATTGCTCCAACCCAGCCTAATAGGCTGGATGGAGCAGGTCTTTCTGGGTTGGTTCATACTGAGCCTTCTTCCTTTGTGCCTCCCCTTCCTACCACAAAGGCTTCATATGATTGCCACCTCTGTTTAAAATACTCTTCCCAGTTTTCAAAACACTGTGTCTCCCCTGCTCCTTACCCAGCCCCCTCTTATACGCATCCTTCGAGTCTCAGGTTTAACATCATTTTATGGAGGAATTCTCCATGTGACACCCCATTATTTCTGCTCAAAATTCTAGATAAGGGATCGTTAAATGATAATTCTAAAACTATATGATTAAGTATGAGTTCAGGATTTCCAGGAAGAAGGTAACCTAAATATACTGAAATCCTCCAGTGCACAACAGCTTCACCCTTTACAATGCCTGGATGAGCTTACAAAAAGAAAGTCAAACAACAACAAAGGGAAATCCTTGTGAGAAGAGGCAATGCTGGGTAATCATCAGCTCTGAATCCTCAGCTGCCCTGAGGGCACCATTTCACCCCTGGTGCCTAGAGTTTAGACCACTTGCTGGGAACCAGACAAAGAGCCAGGAGTAAGATCAGAGACCCGCTTTTAAAGCTGGACCTCCACAAAGGGCTACACCATAGGGAAACAGTGAGACAGGAAAAAAAAAAAAAATCTGTATAGGAAGAAGACAGCATGGAAAAGAGTTTATCTTGGCCGTGGCTCTAGGTAGGTTCAGGGAGAGTCTTCTCAGAAAACTCATAGTCAAAGGCCTGAGTTTCTTTAGGTGTGATAATGGTAATGTGGTTTGGGGCTTTTAATAAAGTACTTATCTATTAGATGTACACAGTGAAATATTTATAGGTACAATTATAAGTTGTTGTAATTTACATGTAATGATAAGTGAGGAGGATATGGATAGAGGCTATCAGTGGAAACTAGAATGTCCATGAGTTGACAATTATTGAAGCTGGGTGATGGAGAGATGGAATGTTATACTATTCCAATTTTGCATATGTTTGAAAATTTCTATCATGAGTTCACATGGTTTAAAAATATTAAATGGAAGGCCAGGCACAGTGGCTCACGCCTGAAATCCCAGCACTTTGGGAGGCCAAGGCGGGTGGATCATTTGAGGTCAGGAGTTTGGGACCAGCCTGACCAACATGGTGAAACCCCGTCTCTACTAAAAATACAAAAAAATTAACCGGGAGTGGTGACGCATGCCTGTAATCCCAGCTACTCGGGAGGCTGAGGCAGGAGAATCACTTGAACCCAGGAGGCAGAAGCTGTAGTGAGCTAAGATCGCACCAATGCACTCCAGCCTGGGAGATAAAGGCAGACTCCATCTCAAAATAAATAAATATGAAATAAAATATTCATTACTTGAATATTATTAGGGACAGAAATACAAAAGAATTAATAAATGGCCTTAGCAAAATTGCTGGATACAAAATCTTTTTAGAAAACGTAACTGCATTCCTAGATACTAGAAATATACAATTCAAAAATCAAATTTTAAAAATATCATTTCCAGTAGCATTGAAAAACACCAAATACCTAAGAAAAATCTAACAAAAGAAGAACAGAGCATTACAGAGAAAACTAAAATCATTATTGAGTAAAATTAAAATCTAAATAAATACAAAGACATACCTCCTTCATAGATTTGAACACTCAAGTTCATAAAGATGTCAGTTTCCCCCAACATAATCTATAGATTTGATGCAATTACAATCAAAATCTCAACTGTGTGTGTGCCTGTGTGTGTTTATAATTGCTTAGGGTCAAGAATAACTGACAATCTTAAGGAAAAAGACAAAGTAGGAAGACCACTTTTGCTGATATCAAAACTTATTTTAAAGCAATTGTGATAGAATTGTGGTGTTGGCAAAGGATAAGCAAATAGACTGATGGAACAAAATGAAGAGTTCAGAAACAGACTCATATATAAATGTTCTCTTAGTATGAATACACTTATTTATGTATTTCTATAAATAAGAATTACTATGAATACACAGTATATTTCTATAAACAAGAATTACAGTTGATTTTTAAGACTCAATAGAAGAATTAAATAGGAGAATATACATTAAAATGAAAACTGATGAAAGGGAGATAAATATAAAGAAATTATGAAAAATGTGACTTGGAGAAAAAAAGGTGGAAAATATAATAAAGAGGTTAAGTAAAAGAAATGATAGATGGCTGCGTGCGGTAGCTCATGCCTGTAAACTCAGCACTTTGGGAGGCCAAGGTGGGTGGATTGTCTGAGGTCAGGAGTTGAAGACCAGTCTGGCCAACATGGTGAAACCCTGTTTCTACTAAAAATACAAAAAAATTAGACAGGCCTGGTGGTGTGCGCCTGTAATCCCAGCTACTCAGGAGGCTGAGGCAGGGGAATTGCTTGAACCAGGGAGGTGGAGGTTGCAGTGAGTCGAGATTTCGCCACTGCACTCTAGCCTGGGCGACAGAGTGAGATGCCATCTCAAAAAAAAAAAAAAAAGAAATGATAGAATAAGTTTTACCATATATTAAAACAAACTCTTAGAAAAGAGAATAGAAACAATGAAGGAGAGGTGGTATTGAAAAAGATGATTGCGGCCGGGCACGGTGGCTCATGCCTGTAATCCCAGCACTTTGGGAAACCGAGGCGGGCAGATCACCTGAGGTCAGGAGTTCGAGCCCAGCCTGGCCAACATGGTGAAACCCCATCTCTACAAAAATACAAAAATTAGCCAAGCATGGTGGTGGGCACCTGTAATTCCAGCTACTCGGGAGGCTGAGGCAGAATAATCACTTAAACCTGGGAGGCAGAAGTTGCAGTGAGCTGAGATTGTGCCATTGCACTCCAGCCTAGGTGACAGAGTGAGACTCTGTCTCAAAAAAAAAAAAAAAAAAAGATGATTGCTAGAATTTTTCAAAATTGATGATAAACATTGAAAAGATAAAAACTCTCATGCATAACATATAAAAAGAACTCCATACTGAGACATAGCTTAATAAATCTGAAGAACATTGAAGACAGCAAGATTATTGAAAAGTAACTAAGAATGGATCAGAGATGGACATGAGATTAGAAAAAAAAAAAGTAACTAAGAAAAAAAAGAAACTCTATATAGTAATAAGAATTGCACTGGAAGCTAGCTTCCCAACAGGAACAAATGAATATCGAAGACAGTAGAAAATATCTTCAATGTGAAGCTATCTTCACATTGAAACAATGAAGACCTTTGTTAGATAAGAAAAAACTGAGTGAGTTTATAGCAATAAAACTTCACTAGTGGAATTCCTAAAGTGTGTATTTCAAGAAACCAAATTTTGATGTCAAAGGATGACTTGAGATTCAAGGAGCAATTTCAGCAAAGAAAATGGTAAACGAGGGGAATTGTTGAACAAACATTTCCACTATAAAACAATACTAGAGGTGGGGTGTGATGGCTCACGCCTGTAATCACAGCACTTTGGGAGGCTGAGGTGTGTGGGTCACCTGAGGTCAGGAGTTCAAGACCAGCTTGGCCAACATGGTGAAACCCCTTCTCTATTAAAAATACAAAAATTAGCCAGGTTTGGTGGTGCACGCCTGTAATGCCAACTACTCGGGAGGCTGAGATAGGAGAATCACTTGAACCTGGGAGGCAGAGGTTGCAGTGAGCTGAGATCATGCCACTGCACTCCAGCCTGGATGAAAGAGCAAGACTCCATCTCAAAAAATGATAATAATAAAAATAAAAGTAAGTAGTGGTAAAACAGTGGACAACAAATAATAGCATATAAGCTGGAAGCTTGGTGATTAGAGTTAAGGCTTCCAGACACATTTGAATAGTTCAGGACCAGCCTGAAGATAATAACTCAACTTTAGCCTTTAAGTTAAAAATGCAAATTAGGCCAGCCATGGTGGCTCATGCTGGTAATCCCAGCACTTCAGGAGGCCAAGGTGGGAGGATCGCTTTGAGGCCAGGTGGGCAACATGGCAAGACCATATTTCATAAATAAATAAATAAATAAATAAAATCACAATGCAGAAAAGGTAAGAAAAACAAAAGGTGGAAAATATATGGTAGAAATAAATCTAAATGTGTAACAATACGTGGAAACAGATTAAGCCCTCCAGTTAAGGGGCATAATTTGTCAGAGTATATGTTATTAGGAAATACACCTAAAAATAAAACCAAAAAACCTTAGAAAGGTTGAAAGTAAAATGATGTAAACAGATATTATAGTAGATAAGAAGAAGACTAATCCAGCTTCTCTACCTCAAGAATCATGAGTGAGTAGGAGCTCCAAGAAATTGTGTTCCAGGCTGGGTGTGGTGGCTCACACCTGTAATCCCAGCACTTTGGGAGGCTGAGGCAGGTGGATCATGAGGTCAAGAGATGGAGACCATCCTGGCCAACATGGTGAAACCCCGTCTCTACTAAAAATACAAAAATTAGCTGGGTGTGGTGGTGTGCACCTGTAGTCCCAGCTACTTGGGAGGCTGAGGCAGGAGAATTGCTTGAACCTGGGAGGTAGAGGTTGCAGTGAGCTGAGATCACACCATTGCACTCCAGCCTGGTGACAGAGTGAGACTCCGTCTCAAAAAAAAAAAAGGAATTCTGTTCCAAAACAGTAAGACTCCAGAAATGATGCACTTTGGTAGGAAATGCTGATCAATCTCTCAATCTTATAGGAGTTATTAGAGATCCCCAAAGACAACCCCCTAAAATTAACTAACGAAACAAAATAATTTAAAAAGCTAAATCCTGGGTGAGGGAGGAATAGGGGGCTTGGAAAATCTGGGCCCTGGGGCCTAGGGTGTCAGAAGCCAGCTCTATACATGTAGGTAGGTGAGGCCATGGTGGCAGGAGATCAGGGCCAGAATGGCAGAGAGCAGGAGGAGAGCCGTGGGAGAGTCAGGAAGTCAGACCTAACAAGCTGGCAGCAAGGATAGCACGGTGTCTACATCAGTCTGTTCAGGCTGCTATAACATAGTACCATTGATTGTGTAGCTTATAAACAACAGAAATTTATTTCTCACAGTTCTGAAACTGGAAGTCTAAGATCAGGGTGCCAGCATGGTCAGGTTCCGATGAGGACCCTCTTCTGAGTTGCTGATGGCCAACTTCTAGTTGTGCTCTTACATGGCAGAGAGGGATGAGAGCTCGCTGGGATTTCCTTTTATGAGGGCATTAATCCTATTCATGAGGGCTTCAAGCTCATGACCTAATCACCTCTCAAGGGCTCCAACTCTGAATATCATCAATTTGAGGGTTAGGATTCCAACATATGAATTTGGGAGAACACAAACATTCCATTCTTAATAATGCCCTTACTATCCCAGCGCTAAAATAGTATACTGATTTTTTGAAATAACAAGAAGGGTAGGGGTGTACCCAACCCCCTGCAGAAGCAAAGCCAACTCCAATCTGAAAAACGTTCCCAAAGCAGGCCTATAGCACTGTCATAAATGAAAATCAGGAATAAACTAAAAAACAAAGAACTCACAACATGTAAGAAAGAAAGCCGCTGTGAGGCAGTTTATAGAAACAAGACAATAGATTTAGATCCCCAACTATAAAGAGGTGGAAATGTCAGGTAGAGAATACAAAAAGGCTGTGTGTGAGATGGTTAAAGAAATAAAAGATGCAATCACAAAGATGAGCATAACATAGGAAAACATCAGAAATAAAGAGGTAAACTTAAAAAAAAAAGATGGAAATGGTAGACAGGAAAATTCCAATAATTGAAATTACAAACTCAGAGACTAATGCACAGCAAGTTAGATAGTATTCTTTTCCTAACTTTTAGTAGGATGCTTATTACATTAATTTTCATTTTTCTTAGTTTCTTTCTTTTTTTTTTTTTTTTTTTGAGGAGTTTCGCTCTTACTGCCCAGGCTGGAGTGCAGTGGTGCAATCTCAGCTCACTGCAACCTTCACCTCCCAGGTTCAAGCAATTCTCCTGAGTAGCTGGGATTACAGGCACCTGTCACCATGCCCAGCTAATTTTTTGTATTTTTAGTAGATACAGGGTTTCACTATGTTGTCCAGGCTGGTCTCAAACTCCTGACCTCAGGTGATCCGCCCACCTTGGCCTCCCAAAGTACTGGGATTACAGGTGTTAGCCACTATGCCTGGCCAATTTTTCTTAGTTTCTAATACAAGCATTTGAAGATCTAAATTTTTTTTTCTTTTTTTTTTTTTTTTTTTTTTTTTTGAGACAGAGTCTCGTACTGTCGCCCAGGCTGGAGTGCCGTAGCGCAATCTCGGCTCGCTGCAACCTCCACCTCCCGGGCTCAAGCAATTCTCCTGCTTCAGCAGGAGAGCTTTAGCTGATTAGAGCTTTCGCTGCATCTCATGATAGTTTATATTTTTGCTAAAATTAAATTATAAATGATTTCTAATATTCAACAGTTTTGGAAATCAACATTTCTTTCAATTCAAAGATTTGTTTCTTGCACCATGAGATAATTTGAAGTGTGTTTTTAAGGTTCCAGGTGATTTTTTTAGTTATTTATTAATGATGTCTTACTGAAAACCTTTATTGACAAAGAACATAAAGTCTAGACCAGATTTTTGAAGTTTAGTTTTATATTATGGCATAGTGCCTAGTCAAGTTCATAAAGCTTTCTCTTTTTTTTTTTTTTTTTTTGAGATGGAGTCTTGCTCTGTTGCCCAGGCTGGAGTGCAGTGGTGCCATCTCAGCTCACTGCAACCTCTGCCTCCTGAGTTCACGCCATTCTCCTGCCTCAGCCTCCCGAGTAGCTGGGACTACAGGTACCCGCCACCACACCCGGCTAATTTTTTGCATTTTTACTACAGACGGGGTTTCACTGTGTAAGCCAGGATGGTCTCGATCTCCTGACCTCGTGATCCACCCGCCTCGGCCTCCCAAAGTGCTGGGATTACAGGCTTGAGCCACTGTGCCTGGCCCTAGTTCATAAAGCTTTCTAATGTCCCTCAAGAGATGTTATATTCTCCAATCATTTCTATACGTGCCCATCAGATCAACCTTGTCAATAGGTTTTGTTCTAATTTTCTGTATTCTTAAAGATATTTAACATTACTAATCATTAAGGAAATGCAAATTGAAACCACACACTTCACACACATTAGGATGGCTATTACTGAAAACAAACAAAGAGGCCAGGGACAGTGGCTCATGCCTGTAATCCCAGCACTTTGGGAGGCCAAGGCAGGTGGATCTCCTGAGGTCAGGAGTTCGAGACCAGCCTGGCCAACATGGTGAAACCCCATCTCTACTAAAAATACAAAAAAAAGCTGGGCATGGTGGAGGTGCCTGTAATCTCAGCTACTCGGGAGGCTGAGGCAGGGGAATCATCTCTTGAACCTGGGAGACGGAGGTTGCAGTGAGCCGAGATCATGCCATTGCACTCCAGCCTGGGCGACAAGAGCAAAAATCCGTCTCAAAACAAACAAACAGAAAATAACAAGTGTTGATTAGGATGTGGAGAAATTGAAACCCTTAGGCACTGCTGGTAGGAATTTAAAATGGTGCAGCAGCTGTGGAAAACAGTCCAGTGGTTCCACAGAAAGTTAAATCAATGTGTGGATAAAGAAAATGTGGTAGATATATCTACCATGGAATACTACTCAGCCATAAAAAAGGAATGAAATAATGGCATTCGCAGCAAATTGGATGGAATTGGAGACTATTATTCTAAATGAAGTAATTCAGAAATGGAAAACCAACCATTGTATGTTCTCACTCATAATTGAGAGCTAAGCTATGAAGACGCAAAGGCATAAGAATGATACAATGGACTTTGGGGACTTGGGGAAAAGGGTGGGCGGGGGTGAAGGATAAAACACTACACATTTGGGTACAGTCTACACTTCTTGGGTGATGGGTGCACCACAATCTCAGAAATCACCACTAAAGAACTTATTCATGTAACCAAATACCACCTGTTCCCCAAAATCCTATTGAAATACAAAATAAATTTAAAAAAACAAACAAACTATGTAGAATTACCATAGAACTCAGAAATTCCACTTTGGGCATATACCCAAAATAATTGAAAATAGGAACTCAAACAGATATTTGTATACCCAGGTTAATAGCAGTATTATTATTATTATTTTTTTTTTGAGACGAAGTCTCGCTCTTGTACCCCAGGCTGGAGTGCAATGGGGTGATCTCGGCTCACTGCAACCTCCACCTCCTGGGTTCAAGCGATTCTCCTGCCTCAGACTCTGGAGTAGCTGAGATTACAGGCGCCTGCCACCACCCCCGACTAATTTTTGTATTTTTAGTAGAGACGGGGTTTCACCATGTTGGCCAGGCTGGTCTTGAACTCCTGACCTCTGGTGATCCGCCTGCCTCGGCCTCCCAAAGTGCTGGGATTACAGGTGTGAGCCACCGTGCCCAGCCAATAGCAGTATTATTTACAATAGCCAAAAGGTAGTTACAACCTAAATGTCCATCAACAAATGAATGGATAAACAAATGTGGTATATACATAAAATGGAATATAATTCAGCCTTACAAAGAAAGAAAATTTTGATACATACTACAACAGGGATGAAACTTAAAAGTGAAATAAGCCAGACACAAATGGACAAACATTGTATGATTCCACTTATATGGAAAACCTAGAATAGTCCAATTCATAGAGACAGGAAGTAGAATAGTGGTTATCAAGGGGGAAATGAGGAGTTACTGCTTAATGAGTACAGACTTCCAGTTTGGGATAATGAAAAAGTTCTGGAAATAGATGGTGGTGAAGGTTACCCAACAATGTGGATGTACTCAATGTATACTTAATTGTATACATTGTATACAATGTACTCTTAATTGTATACTTAAAAGTGATTAAATTGGGCCGGGCGTGGTGACTCACACCTGTAATCCCAGCACTTTGGAAGGCTGAAGAGGGCGGATCACCTGAGGTCAGGAGTTCGAGACCAGCCTGGTCAAAATGTTGAAACCCCGTCTCTAATAAAAATACAAAAATTAGCTGGGCGTGGTGATGCACATCTATCATCCCAGCTACTTGGGAGGCTGAAGCAGGAGAATCGCTTGAACCCAGGAGGCAGAGGTTGCAGTGAGCTGAGATGGTGCCACTGCACTCCAGCCTGGGCGACAGAGTGAGACTCCATCTCAAAAAAAAAAAAAAAAAGTTAAATTGTGAATTTTATGTTCTGTTCTGCCCACCCCCCTCGCCCCCACACACTCTGACAGTGTTTTATTTTAAACTCTGATCCCTGCCCTGTGATTACAAACAGAATACTGCTGGTTATCTCCCACAGCCCCTGCTGTGGGAAAAACTGGTATCCGACATTCTCTGAAACATACTGCCTTTCATCTAGACTCAGAAGCTAGATACACAATTTAAAAAAGAAGAGGATCCAAGGCCGTGTTATACCTGCCACCTGCCTGGGGCCAGCCATCAGCCATGGTTGTTGACGGTGAGACTGCTGAAAAGACCCGAGCAGGACGGGAGAGAACAAAGGTATTTCTTTCTATAGCATGATGGAGATGGAAGACTTTAAAGCTTCCAGAAGCCTCATCACCCAGGCTTCACCCCAGAAGTTATTCTTGCCATCAGGCTAGCTGAGGCTTCTGGGCCTCTCCTTGTGCCTCTTCATATTCTTCCCCTGGTTTCAGCTGAGGGCCAGGGATCATAACCATCTTAAGGATGGTGCTTAGCGGGTGCCCATGGGGGAACGATCTTGCCATGCATTCTCCAGCTTCCATAGGGGTTTGTCAGGTGCTTTTCAAATACAACATACTCCAGGACATTCTTGGGTACATCTTCCTGTCCATACATCAACCGGCCAAACCAGTCACAGATGGCCAGAGTCTGCTGGGTGTGCATGCCTACGGTGACTAGCCGTATATGTTGCCCTGGTTCATCAGACTTGAACAGCGAACTTGAACCACATGGTGGGGCTCTAAAGATTCCAGGAAGCTCCAGCGGATGGTCTTATATTTGATGTCTCAGATCATGTCTGGAAAACAGTGCTCAGTTACCAAGGTATGCAGTCAGTCATGTGTGAGTTGTTTAGACAAAGGTGAACTTCAGTAAATATATCCTTAGCTTTTTCAGGAAAGTCCTTTGTTTCAAAATTGTCGTCATCCTCTTTTATCTTCTGGATTGAAAATTGTGATGCCACATTCTTCTTCATTTGTTCAGTTCTCTGTTTCAGTCCTTCCTTTGAAAGAGATGGCATGTGAGCATCACCCTCAGGAGGAACATAGGCATCAAAGATACCAGCTGTACAGGACAGATGTATGGGATGATCCAGACGTTCTGGAGGAATAACCAGTCCTGCTTTCCAGGCGTGTTTCATAAACTCCTTTTCTGTTTTGTATTTAGGTTGATAAATAGGAGGTGTGAAACGTTTTTTAGTTCTTACTGGAACTATAGCTGCAGACTGACTCACCAGAACTGGCTGCGGAGATCACCAGCCCAAAACCCTTGATAAAAGAGACAACCCCTGAGATATGGGGGCTGCCATTTTGTTCACGCAAATGCTGCTGGGAAGGTTTTTGTTTGTTTGGTTTTGGTTTTGGTTTTGGTTTTTTTAGACGGAGTCTCGCTCTGTCGCCCAGGCTGCAGTGCAGTGGCACGATCTCGGCTCACTGCAATCTCCACCTCCCGGGTTTACGCCACTTTCCTGCCTCAGCCTCCTGAGTAGCTGGGACTAGAGGTGCCTGCCACCACGCCCAGCTAATTTTTTTTGTATTTTTAGTAGAGACGGGGTTTCGCTATGTTGACCAGGCTGGCCTCAAACTCATGATCTCAGATAATCCACCCACCTTGGCGTCCAAAAGTGTTGGGATGACAGGCATGAGCCACCATGCCCGGCCAATGTTCTGTATATTTTATCACAATTTTTAAAAAGGAATGAAGGGCCAGGCATGGTGGTTCACACTTGTAATCCTAACACTTTGGGAGGCTGAGGCGGAAGGATCACTTGAGCCCAGGAGTTTGCAACCAGACTGGGCAACATAGGAAGAACCTGTTTCTTAAAAAATAATAATAATAATTAGCTGGGTGTGGTGGCACATGCTCCTGGTCCCAGCTACTTGGGAGGCTGAGGTGGGAGGATCACTTGAGCCCAGGAGATGGAGGCTGCAATGAGCTGTGATCACGCCACTGCACTCCAGCCTGGGCTACAAAGTGAGACCCTGTCTCAAAAAAGAAAAAAAAAAAAAAAAAAGGAAGAACTTATACATGCTACAATGCAGATGAACCTCTAAAACATGCTAAATGAAGGAAGCCAGACACAAAAGGTCACATATTACATGATTCCATTTATATGAAATATCCAGAATAGGCAAACCCATAAAGTCAGACAGCAGATTAGTGGTTTACCAGGGCCTGAGCAGAAGGGAAGATAGAGAGTGACTGCTAATGGGAATGAAATCTCCTTTGCGGGTAATTAAAATACTTTGGAACTAGATAGAGGTGGTGGTTGTACAACATTATGAATATACTAAATGCCACTGAATCATACACTTTAAAATGGTTAATTTTATATTATGTGAATTTTACCTCAAGTTAAAAAAAAACTTACTTGATGCTACACATTAGTTGGGATTGAAAAAGAGAGATAAATAAATACTTGAGAATAAAGACAAACCATGGAGACTGTAACGACTAAAGAAATTGAATGACGGGCCGGGCGCGGTGGCTCAAGCCTGTAATTCCAGCACTTTGGAAGACCCAGGTGGGCAGATCACGAGGTCAGGAGATGGAGACCATCCTGGCTAACACGGTGAAACCCCGTCTCTACTAAAAATACAAAAAAATTAGCCAGCCGTGGTGGCATGCGACTGTAGTCCCAGCTACTCTGGAGGCTGAGGCAGGAGAATGGCGTGAACCCGGGAGGCGGAGCTTGCGTGAGCCAGATTGCGCCACTGCACTCCAGCCTGGGCAACAGAGCCAGACTCCGTCTCAAAAAAAAAAAAAAAAGAAAGAAAAAGAAAAAAAGAAAGAAAGAAATTGAATGACTATTTGAGAATCTTTCCACAAAGAATACACTAAACCCAAGTGGATTTACAAGTGAATTCTTCCAAATGTTCCAATACCCAAATGTGTAGTTGAGTGGAAATGTCAGAAAAAGTTTTAATGGCTGGAGAGCAGAGTGTGGGATGGGGTGGTGCTTGGTGAAAGGTGGGCTGGAGAAAATGGGCAAAAACCAGTCATGGTAAGAGTCTATCACGGGGTTTGAACTATCTTAAGGGGCCTTAGGAAGATTTTGATGGGTCTGAGCAGGAGAGTGAAATACTACCTTTGAACCTCTGCCTTATGTGGTGGGTTTGACTGTAAATAATGCTCTCAATAACCATTATGAGTATAACTTTTAAATTTTTAAAATTTATTTTTAAAATATCCTTGGCCGGGCGCAGTAGCTCACGCCTATAATCCCAGCACTTTGGGAGGCTGAGGCAGGCAGATCACCTGAGGTTGGGAGTTTGAGACCAGCCTGACCAACATGGAGAAACCCGTCTCTACTAAAAATACAAAATTAGCCGGGCGTGGTGGTGCATGCCTGTAATCCCAGCTACTCGAGAGGCTGAGGCAGGAGAATCGCTTGAACCCGGGAGGCAGAGGTTACGGTGAGCCGAGATGGCGCCATTGCACTCCAGTCTGGGCAACAAGAGCGAAACTACGTCTCAAAAAACAAAACAAAAAAATCCTTGCACAACGGCCATGCTAATATTCTTGGCATCATTCTAATTTTACTGTATGTGCTGCTGAAGCAGATACTACATAACTTTTATAAGCTTTATTAACCAATGCCTTTTGTTTGCTCTTTTCATTTTTCCTTCTATTCTTTTATTTATGTATTTTTAAATATTCTTTGTAGAGATAGGGTCTTGCTTTATCACCCAGGCTGGAGTGCAGTGGTGTGTTCTCGGCTCACAGCAACCTCTGCCTCCCGGTTCAAGCAATTCTTGGCTCACTACAGCCTTAAACTTTTAGGTTCAAGTGATCTTACCACCTTAGCCTCCCAAGTAGGTGGGACTGCAGGCACGCACCACCATGCCTGGCGAGTTTTTTGTATATTTTGTAGAGAGGGGGCTTCCACCATGTTGCCCAGGCTGGTCTCAAACTCCTGGGCTCAAACAATCCACCCACCTTGGCCTCCCAAAGTGCTGGGATTATAGGCATGAGCCATCACACCTGGCCTCTCCCATTCCTTTAAATGCAATCTAAGACATAATGAACAGAAGTTTTAAAAATGAGTTTTAGTTTATTAAGATTAATTCATCCTTTTAAACTGTTGACATGCTCATTAATTCTGTCCTAACCATGATGTTATTGTATTATTATTTTTTGAGACAGAGTCTTGCTCTGTTGCCCAGGCTGGAGGGCAGTGGTGCAATATTGGCTCACTGCAACCTCTGCCTCCCAAGGTTCAAGCTCCTGCCTCAGCCTTCTGAGCAGCTGGGACTACAGGCACATGCCACCACCCCTGGCTAATTTTTGTATTTTTAGCAGAGACAGGATTTTACCATGTTAGTCTTGAACTCCTGACCTCAAGTGATCCACCTGCCTTGGTCTCCCAAAGTGCTGTGATTACAGGCGTGAGCCACTGCACCCGGCCTTTAACCATGATTTTTAAACATAACTTGTTTTTTGTCTCTTTTTTCTAACTTTTTATTTCTGTATTTTTAATATTTATTTATTTATTTAGAGACAGGGTCTCACTTTGTAACCCAGGCTGGCATGATCATAGCTCACTGCAGCCTTGAACTCCCAGGCCGATGTGATCCTCCTGCCTCAGTCTCTGGAGTAGCTAGGATCACAGGCACAGACTGTCACAGATGGCTAATTTTTTTTTCTTTTTTTAATTTTTAATAGAGATGAGGGCTCACTATATTGCCCAGGCTAGTCTCAAACTCCTGAGCTCAAATGATCCTCCTGCCTTGGCCTCCCAAAGTGTTGGGATTACATGTGTGAGCCACCACGCCTGGCCTCTAACTTTTTGTTTTGGAAAATTATAAATATGCTCAGTTAGAAGGAATGGTGTAATGAAATCTCATGTATACAACATCCAGCTTCAACAAATTTCAAGTAATGGACAATCTCTTTCATCTATACTGTCACCTACTTCTTTACTCTCATTATTTTGAAATAAAACCTGGACATTGTATCAGTTTATTTGTAAATATTTTATTATTAAACATAATCATGTTCCATTATAAAATGAGATTACCAAACTTCAATTCTCAGGTGTCCATTATACATGTTTGTATATCATGCTCATTGAAGATATTCCAAAATTATCTTTAAAAATAAAATGTGGGCTCGGCACAGTAACTCACACTTTTAATACCAGCACTTTGGGAGGCCTAGGTGGGAGGATCACTTGAAGCCAGGAGTTCAAGACTGGCCTGGACAACATAGCAATATATCATCTCTATTTTCTTTTTAAGGTAATTAATTAATTAAAATAAAATAAAAGGTGGCATGTATGTTTGGAACTTTGTTCACAGATGTCAGGAAAAATTATAAAATGCACCATTACCCATTTGAAATAGCTTTTAACCTGGTTTCATCAACAAGGTGTCTCTAAGAGAAAGAGTAACAGATATAATTAAAAATTATTTGTTAACTTTGTAAAAGGCTTTATGATATATTTCTCAGGAACTGAGAGAGGGAATAACACTAATAACTTGGAACACATTGTTTTCTTCATTGAATGGTTTCTATTTCTTTGAATTTTTTTTTCTTTTCATTTGTTGACTTGCTTTAATCCTCACAACCTACCCAAGGGCTATTGAGAATCCCACTCCATCATGTTTCAGCATTGTATAATTGGTATGGTTGTCTCTCTAAGTTCTATCCCCTTCAACAAAGAGGTAGTATCCAAAATTGCCACCTGTCTGGTCCAAGCCGTGATGACCTCAAGACTTCATTATTATAATAAACTTCTTTTTTTTTTTTTGACACAGGGTCTCGCTCTGTCACACAGGCTGGAGTACAGTGGCGTGGTCATAGCTCACTACAGCCTCAACCTCCAGGGCTCAAATGATCCTCCCACCTCAGTCCTCAGAGTAGATGGGACTACAAGTGCGTGCACCACCACATCCAGCTAATTTTTAAACTTTTTCATAAAGACAGGGTCTTACCATGTTGCTCACGCTGGTCTGGAACTCCTGGGCTCAAGCGATCCTCCCATCTTGGCCACCCAAAGTCCTGGGATGACAGGCATGAGCCATATGTCTGGTCAATAAAAGACTTTCAAGCAAAATTATATTAGGATAAGATTCTGGGAGAAAAAAAGAAATATAAAATTTCCAATTTTTCAAAATTGTTTATGTATTTGTCAGTGGCTGATAAATACAAAAGTCACTGTGGAATTTAGATTACATTGGATAAATACAAATTGGGGAAACAATCATATTTTAAAATTATGTATGTATGTATATGTGTTTATGTATTCAAAAATCACATTTTTCAAACTAAACAAATTAAAAAATTGTAATGTCTGTTATATGAAATAGCATATAGTTTTAAAAAATTCTACCACAGGGTACACGAGCCAAAAATGTTGGAAGCCATTCCTCTAGATGGCCTGTCTTCAGGAAAGCATAGAATCTTGGGAACTCCTCTCCCCTAACATCTGCCTTGAAATATTTACTGATTTTTAAAATTCTTTTTTTTCAAGATTTCCTACCACAATGAGCCACTTGATCCACCCCATCAACCTTAGGCCCTCTTCCCTTTCTCGTTCAACAGTGGACCCGTCCCTGCCTCCATTTCTCCTACCCTTCCCCAAACTCCCTTCCCATCATCCTAAAGCCCAAGACCCTCTCAGCCTGGTTGGAGCTCTGAGCTGCCTGTAAACCTGAAAGGATTTATACCTCCATGACTAAAATGAACTTTTACTGCCATCATCTAAGTCACTTAATTGAAAAGTACATTTGTCCCTTGGTATCCGGGAGGGACTGGCTCCGGGAACTCCCTCAAATACCAAAATCTGTGGATGCTCAAGTCCTTTATATAAAATGGCATAGTATTTTGCATATAACCTACACACATCCTCCTGTATATTCTAAATCATCTTTAGATTATTTATAGTACCTAATACAATGTAAATGCTATGTAAACCATTGTTGTACTGTATTGTTTAGGGAATAATGACAGGAAAAAAGTCTGTGCATGTTCAGTACAGATTTTTTTTCTTTTTCTGAGACAAGATCTGGCTCTATCGCCCAGGCTGGAGTTCAGTGGCGCAATCTCGGCTCACTGCAACGTCCACCTCCCAGGCTCAAACCATCCTCCCATCTCAGCCTCCTGAGTAGTTGGTAGCTGGGACTACAGGTGCACACTACCACAGCCAGCTAATTTTTGTATTTTTTTGTAAAGGTGGGTTTTGTCATGTTACCCAGGCTGGTCTTGAACTCTCGTGAGCTCAAGCGGTCCTCTCAACTCCGTCTTCCAAAGTGCTGCGATTACATGCGTGAGCCACCACACACGGACAGAGGCAATTTTTTTCTCCAATTTTTTTTTCTTTTTTCTTTCTCCAGTGTCAGTGTTGATCCAAATATTTCCAATCTGCAGTTGGTTGAATCCACCAATGCAGAACCCACAGAAACAGAGATCTGACTGTATTGGACCTTGAATCATTCAGGTTATATCCAGAACAGTCCATGTAGCCTCCTGTATTTTTGTCTATGAGTGACCTAAGGCTGAAGGCTGACTTTGACCTCGAGGTGAGTGCCTGAAGACACCAGTTATCACAGCCCTTCAGGCCACTCTTGTTTAATACCTCTCAATGGTGCCAAATACTGTGGAAAACAGAATGCAATCTCCCAATTTCCCTCCTTGACTGGGCCAACCTTATCTTACTGAACTCAGTTAAGGTCACTTTCCTCCTCTCCTTTCTCACTAAACTCAATCACCCCACTGTCCTTAAGCCTCTGGTACAGGTCTAGCTCTCTTGTGCCCCTCTCCTCTGCCTTCACCTTCAAGGTCCTTTAGCCTGAAGTGTTTTCCAGACTCCTTCAGTGATTGGCTGCCTCTTTCTCTTCGGGTTTGTTGCAATTTGACAGTAACTGTCAAGATGTAAGATAGTTACCTATGAGCCCATATGAAGAAATATTCATATAGTAGCCCATAACATTAAAAGAATGATTATTGCAACATCTTTTATTTTTATTTTTTACACAGAGTCTCGCTGTGTCACCCAGGCTGGAGTACAGTGGTGCAATCATAGCTCACTGCAGCCTTGAATTCTTGAACTCAAGTGATACTTCCACCTTAGCCTCCCTGGTAGCTGGAACTATAGGCGTGCCACCACTCCTCACTAATTTTTTTATTTATTTTTATTTTTTATAGAGATGGGTCTAAGTATGTTGCCAAGGCTGATCTTGAACACCTGTACTCAAGAAATCCTCCTGCCTTGGCTTTCCAAAGCACTGGGATCACAGACATGAGTTACCACACCCAGCTCAGCATTTTTTTGTTTGTTTGTTTGAGACAGGGTCTTGTTCTGTTGCACAGGCTGAAGTGCAGTGAAACAATCATGACTTGTTGCAGCCTTGATTTCCCCAGGCTCAAGCAATCCTCCCACCTCAGCCTCCTGTGTAGCTGGGACTACAGGCATGTGCCACCACGCCGAGCTAATTTTTAACTTTTTTTATAGACTTGGGGGGGTCTCACCATGCTGCTCAGGCTGATCTTGAACTCCTGGGCTCAAGCGATTCTCCTGCCCTGGCCTCCCAAAGTGCTGGGATTACAGGTGAAAGCCACCACACCGGCCTTTTTTTTTTTTTCTTTTTTAATAGATAAGGGATTTCGCTGTGGTGCCCAGGCTTGTCTCGAATTCCTAGGCTCAAGCAGTCCTCCTACCTCTACCTCCCAAAGCGCTGAGATTATAGGCATGAGCCACCAGGCCCAGCCTGGCCGTTTTTTAAGAGAAAAAAATTGTTAAGAATTTAAACACCCTTTAAGAAAGGAATGGTAAAATGGTTGTACATATGCAGCCATTAAAAAGAGTGAAGTAGATCAATAAGTCCTGGCATGGGTAGAGGTCCGTGGTACTGAATATTGCATGTAAAAGAAGAAAATCACAGCACATATAGAGTGTGTAGTCCCATTCATGTAAATACCACAAAGCTACCAGCCTGTGTGGATATAGAAAAAGTTCCAGAAAGCCTCACACCAAGCAGGAGTGGAAGAATAGGAGAAAGGGCATTTTTCTTTTCCTCTACTTATTTCTATTTTGTGTGAGCACTTTACAGTAACTGTGTGTTTATGTACTAATATAAATTTGAGGTGAATTTGAAGGCAAGGAGCTATCTGCAAATTGGTGTCATGCTAGGGAAATATAACCTTCCAAAGAGATACCAAAAGTTTAAAGCAACCTCCCTGGCACCTGCCTTGAGCTGAGCAGGTAAGATGTGACCCATTGCCTTGGTGCTAGAATTGTCAGCTTGATGCCTATTGTCCATGGCCAGGCACGGTGGCTTATGCCTGTAAACCCAGCACCTTTGGAGGCCGAGGCGGGTGGATCACTTGAGGCCAGGAGTTTGAGACCGGCCTGGTCAACATGGTGAGGCCCCATCTCTACTAAAAATACAAAAAATTAGCTGGACGTGGTGGTGGGCACCTGTAATCCCAGCTACTTGGGAGGCTGAAGGAGGCTGAGGCGGGGGAATTGCTTAAGCCCGGGAGGCAGAGGTTGCAGTGAGCTGGGATCGTGCCACTGCACTCCAGCCTGGGCGACTGAGCAAGACTCTGTCTCAAAAAACAAAACAAAACAAAACAAAACAAAACAAAAAAACGCTTATCGTCCAGAACAGGATCACATCTTTTGACATAAAGCTGTTGGATGGCACAGGCGGGGCCACCATGTGCATGGATGTCATCATGGTTAGTGTGTTAGGCCATTCTTGCATTGTTGTAAGGAAATACCTGAGGCTAGTAACTTGTAATAAAAAGAAGTTTAATTGGCTCACGGTCTGCAGGCAGTACAAGAAGGCTGGTGCCAGCATTCATTTCTGGTGAGGGCCTCAGGAAGCTTACTTCTTGAAGTATTATGTGGTGCAAAAGTAATTGCTGTTTTTGCCATTACTTTTAATGGCAAGTAAAAGTATTACTTTTGCACCCACCTAATAAGTACTTACTGGCTGAAGGTGAAGTGGGGAGCAAGTGTCTCACATGGTAACAGCAGGAGCAAGTGGTGGTGGGGGGGGAAGCTCTGCACACTTTTAAACAACCAGATCTCAAGAGAACTCGCTATCTCAAGGACAGCACCAAAGGGATGGCACTAAACCATTCATGAGAAATCATCCCCATGGTCCAATCACCTTCCACCAGGCCCCACCTCCAACTTTGGGAATTACAATTCAACATGAGGTTTAGCAAGGACAACATCCAAACCCTACAGTTAGAAATGGTTCATTTCTTCTTGCTGGGGTTCCCAGCCAAGGCAAAGCTTGTTTTTCTTCCCTGGGGCAAGAGAGGGAAATGGGGAGAGTGGCAGGGGCCAGGAGATGAGACAATAGAAATGGAAGAATAAATGAATCAGGAGAATAAAGAAGAGAGGAGAAGAACAAAGGGGAGAAGATGGAAGAAGAGAGAAGGGAATGGGATGGGACAGGCAAGAGCAGAGAAGAGGAGAAGAAGGTGGAGAGGAAATGTGAAGGGAAAGGAAGGAAAAGGAAAGGAGGAAATATGAGGGGAGAGGAGGAGAGGAGAGGAATTCTTATCACTCAAATTTTAGGTCAAAGAGGGGCAGTTGAGAAAGGATGGAAAGAAAGAAGGGAAGACAAAAAGGAAGAGAGAAAAAGAATGAAAACTCAACCTGATGGTGACTACTATTTTAATTTCTAAGCCAAGTAGGAGGAGAAGATAAATATACACCATAGGTTGTTTTTGAACAGCTGATATTTGGGAATGCTTTGCTTTCCGACCTCTGCCAGTCTAAATAAACCAAGGTGTCTATTGCTGCATAACAAATTAGCCCAAAACTTAGTAGCTTAAAGCAACAAACATGTATTATCTCACACAGTTTGTAAGAATCAGGAATCCAAGGGTTTCTTAGCTGGGTAATTCTGGCTCAGAGTTTCTCATGAGGTTGAAGTCAAGATACAGCCAGGGCTGCAGTCATCTGAAGGCTTGACTGGGGCTAGAGAATCAGATGCTTCATCTACACTGACTACAGGCCTCAGCTCCTTGCCAGCTGGGCCTGTCTGTAGGACTGCTTGAGTATCCTCATGACATGGCAGCAAGCTTCCCCCAGAAGGAGTGATCCAAGAGAGCAAGGTAGAAGTCACAGTGTCTTTTATGACTTACCTTGGAAGTCACAGACCATCACTTCTACCCTATTCAGTTGACCATACCCACCTTTTATACAGTGTGGAAGGGAACTACAGAACAACATGAATATCAGAATCTGGGGATCATTCAAGGCCATCTTGGAGACTGGTAATCACACAAGGCAGAAGAAAAAATTCTTTTTTTTGAGACAGAGTCTTACTGCTCACTGTCACCTAGGCTGGAGTACAGTGGCACAATCATGGCTGACAGCAGCCGCAACCTGCTGGGCTCAAGTGATCTCCCCACCTCAGCCTCCCAGATAATTTGGACTATAGATGCTCACCACCATGCCTAGCTAATTTTATTTTATTTTAGTAGAAACAAAATCTCGCTATGTTGCCCAGGCTGGTCTCGAACTCCTGGGCTCAAGCAACCCTCCCACCTCAGCCTCCCAAAGTGCTGGGATTACAAACACCTCACCTGGTCTAACAGATAAATTTCTGATGAGTGGTCTCTTCTCTAGATGTTTACAGTGACTCAAGAATTAGTCTTGTCAAATCTCTCTGGGATGCTTATCACTCAGCTCAGCAGTTTCTCTTCTAGCTGTATTCTCTGGAGATATGTGTACTAATGGACAAGAATATCCCTAAAAGCATTGTTCTTGGACAAAAGATATTTGATAGCCCAAACACTATTCAGCAATTAACCACATAAATTGTGCTATATTTATATGACATAATACTCCAACTATAAACCCACTATCATGATTAACCAACTATGACCATATGCAACAACCTAGATGAATCTCACAATGTTGAACAAAAGAAGCCAGACCAATATATACTGTATTAGTTCCCAGTTAGATAAAGCTTAAAACACTCAAATCTAAACTAAACTGTTCAGGGCTGCCTACTTAGGTGATAAAACTATAAATAAAACAATGAACTTATCAGCATAAAACTCAGGGGAGTGACTTCTTTTTTGGGGTGATGGAAGGCGTTACAATCAGGAAGGGGCAGGATGAAGCTTCTGACAAAGTTTTATTTCTTTGTCTGAGTGCTGATTACAAGTGTTTCCTTTTAAATAATACCTTAAGCCATAGATTTACGTGCTGGGCACTTTTATTTATATGTATCATTTCACAATAAAAGGGCTTTTAAAAAAAATCTTAATGCTCCAAGATCCTGTCTTAGAAAACAATCAACAATGATGATAATAATAATCAGCCTATAATGTGCACGTAGGCCCCATCCCTCTGCAGTATGGGTGATGGGGATTTGCAGCGAGTAGGGAGAAGCTTGTACCCTCAAATCAGTGACACGCAGTGAACCCTGACCCCTGGTGCCCATGGCTGCAGAGCCTCACGTTTGGACTCTGGGAACTGAATCCCTATTGTGGTGACCTCTGAGCTACTCCTTCCAGAAACCTTGGTCCTGGAGGAATTTCAGTCTTGTTCTGCCATCATGGGTCTCTCCCATCACCCATCCTTCTTTGCCTGCTCCCTCCCACCCCTTCCAATCCTAGCTTTTCTGAATTTCTTTTGTTAAGCTGACAGAAGCCATAATTGAGCCTCCTGACAAGAGCTGGACTGTGCTTTTCTCTCTCTTTTCCTTTTTTGCAATCTACAATGAGCCTTCCAAGTTCATTACCGCAGATGGTCCTGGTCAGGACCCAGGGCCCGATGGCAGAAGCTTATTATCCAGCCTCGGGGACAGTGAGAACTGGCTGGCAGCCGCAGTCATTTTGAAGCAGTCATGTTCAATTAGAAGAAACATTAGGCACTTTCCTTCTGGAGCCCCATTAACAAATTAGTCGTACCACAAACTGAGAGAGACTGGATGGGACCAAATACCTTTTGACCACTGGATAATTTGATAATTTGGAGAAGAAACAGTACAGAACACTGCTGTGTGTGTGTGTGTGTGTGTGTGTGTGTGTGTGTGTTGGAGGTATGAGATAGCAGGTGGTTTGGGAGGAGGATTTGACCCCATATGCCTGTGCCACCCAGGAATGAAATCTTTCTAATACTAAGCTATGCCTGTTACTGGGTTAAAATGGTCAGGGATTTGGCAAGAATGGCTGTCTTTTTTTGTGGTCAGTATTTCATCCATGCTGGACTTGCTGGATTGTAGAAGCTGGCACTGTGTCCTTATGAATTTTTGTTAAGTTTTAGTTCCAGGAAGTTTGTGGGAAGAGTGTTGGGAAATCCAATGCCCCATGTACCTGCTGTGATAAAATAATCTTAATTTACTGTTTTAAAATTATGTTGGGTTTTTAAAATATTGGTTGTAAATGGCTTGCTCAGGAAAAGTACTAATTAGACCTCTGAGATTTTTTAAATTCCAAAGTCTGAACCACAAATAAGTTTTTGTTGCTAAGGAAACCACTGCATTCAAATTACCATTGCAAATTTAAATTGCCATTTTAGGTTCATTTGCAATAGAGCAAAAGATTGGAGCAACTCCTCTAAAAGGGAGAGAGAGAAAGGAAGATGAAGTAAAGAGGAAAGGATGTTACTGGTGAGAACACAATTCCTATTTTTGGTCGACAGCTGAAGAACTAAGAAAATCTAGAAGCAGAGGACTGCAGAGAAGGCATGACAGGTTATCAATCTTGAAGTCTCCCATTAGAAAGATTCTTAGAGATTTTCTGCCAACTCCTATTCAGTGCAGGAGTGTTCTTTTTATTTACTATAGATCTTACACATATAAACAAATAATAAGAGAATCTTATAAACAACTGCATGCCAATATGTTCAACAACCTAGATAAAATGGATGGGTTCCTTTAAAAACATAATTTATCTTATCTGTCATAAGATTAGAATTAAAAGAATAAAAATTATAAAAAATTAAAAGAAAAAAGTAACTTATCAAAACTAACCCAAGGAGAAATTTTAAAATCCAAATAGCTTCATATCTATTAAATATGTTGAATTGTTATTATTATTTTTTGAGACAGTCTCGCTTTGTCACCCAGGCTTGAGTGAGTGCAGTGGCATGATCTTGGCTCACCGCAGCCTCCGCCTCTCGGGTTCAAGTGATTCTCCTGCCTCAGCCTCCTGAGTAGCTGGGATTACAGGCGCCTGCTACCACGCCCGGCTAATTTTTGTATGTTTAGTAGAGCTGGGGTTTCACCATGTTGGCCAGGCTAGTTTTGAACTCCTGATCTCAGAAGATCCACCCGCCTCAGCCTGCTAAAGTGCTGGGATTACAGGCATGAGCCACTGGGCCTGGTCAAGACCGTTATTTCTAAAAAGCAGTGCTGAAACTGTGTATCTTTTAAGGAAAAAAATTTAATCCCAACCCCATCTCACTCCACATGTAAAATTAATTTGAAATTAATCACAGACAAAACATAAAAACCAAAACCAGAAAGCTTCCAGAAACAAAACACAACAAAAAGCAATCTTGAAGTTATCAAAGATTTCCTGAACAGGACACAAAAAATGTTAAAGAAGAAATAAATAAATTTGACTTTATAGATACTTCTATTCTCCAGAGATAATAAAAGGGCAAGCCACAGACTGGGAGAAAATATTCACAACGTGCATATGTAGCAAATGTCTTTAATCCCAATAAGAAATAGTTCAGGCTGGGCGCACGGCCCATGTCTGTAATCCCAGCACTTTGGGAGGCTGAGGCGGGAAGATCACCTGAGGTCAGGATTTTGAGACCAGCCTGACCAACATGGTGAAACTCTGTCTCTACTAAAAATACAAAAATTAGCCGGGTGTGGTGGTGGGCATCTGTAATCCCAGGTACTCGGGAGGCTGAGGCAGGTGAGTTGCTTAAACCTGGGAGGCAGAGTTTGCAGTGAACAAAGACCATGCCATTACACTCCAGCCTGGGTGACAAGAGCAAAACTCTGTCTCAAAAATAAATAAGTAAATTAATTCATAATAATAATTCATGCAAATTAATAATAAGAAAACCAACCCTTTTTTTTTGAGATGAGGTCTTGCTATGTTGCCCAGGCTGTTTTGGAACTCCTGAGCTCAAGTGATCTGCTTGCCTTGCAAGTGATCAGCTCAGGCTGCAGTGCAGTAGCTGTAGCCTTGACCTCCAGGGCTCAAGGGATCCTCCCACCTCAGCCTCCCAAGTAGCTGTGGAGGCCAGAGGATCACTTGAGCTTCTGCGGATATTATATGTGTGATTTCCACGCATATAATCCATTTAATATTCCCAACCATTCCGTGAGGTGTCTGCTTGTATTCTCATCCTGGAGACAAAGAAAGTGAGATTCAAAAAGGTTCAGAGAATGTCTCAAGAATCCCTCCCAAAGTGCTGGGATTACAGGCGTGTGCCACCATGCCCAGCCCCCAACCCAATTTTTAAATGGTCAAAATTTTGACTAGAAACCACCAAAAAAGATATGCAAATGGCCCATAAACACATGAAGTTATGTTTGACATCATGAGTCATCAAGGAAATGCATATGAAAACCACAATAATAGCTAAGTGTTAAAAGACCGATAATTACAAGAGTTGACAAGGATGTGGAACAATGAGAACTTCATACACAGATCATGGGAGGGTAAAATGGTACAACCACCTTTGAACACCGATTGTAAGTTTCATATAAAAATGACACGGCCGGGTGCTGTGGCTCACACCTGGAATCCCAGGACTTGGGAGGCCAAGGTGGGTGGATCACGAGGTCAGGAGTTCAAGACCAGCCTGGCCAAAATGGTGAAACCCCGTCTCTACTAAAAATACAAAAATTAGCCGGGAATGGTAGTAGGTGCCTGTAATCCCAGCTACTTGGGAGGCTGAGGCAGAGAATTGCTCAAACAGAATTGCTCGAACCTGGGAGATGGAGGTTGCAGTAGGCTGAGATTGCACCACTGCACTCCAGCCTGGGCAACAGAGAGAGATTCTGTCTCAAAAAAAAAAAAAAGACAAAAACACCTATATTACGATCCAGCAAATTCCACTTCTAGGTAGCAGCGGATGTCCACAAAATCACTTCTATATAAATGTTTATATAATTGTAGCTGCCATGTTCTGAATGTGTCCCTCCAAAATTCATGTATTGGAAACTTATTTTATTTTATCATTATTTTTTAAAGACAGGATCTCGCCCTGTTGCCCAGGTTGGAGTGCAGTGGCACCATCATGGCTCAGTGTAGCCTTCACCTCTGGGGCTCAAGCAATCTTCCTGCCTCAGGCTCCTGAGTAGCTGCGACCACAAGTACACACCACTGTGCCTGGCTAGTTGTTTAATTTTTGTAAAGATAGGTTCTCACTATATTGCCTGGGCTGGTCTTGAGCTCCTGGGCTCAAGCCATCCTCCCGCCTAGGCCCCCCAAAGTGCTGAGATTACAGGTGTGAGCCACCATGCCTGGCCATGTTTTGGAAACTTAATCCCTAATGCAACAGTGTTGAGAGGTAGGGCCTTTGGGGAGGTGATTAGATCAGGAGAGCTCTGCTTGCATGAGTAGATTAATGCTGTTATAAATGGGCTTGATGGAGGAAATTGGACCCGTTTTTTCCTTTCCACTTTCCACCATGTGAGGACACAGTGTTCCTCCCCTCTGGAAGATGCAGTGTTCAAGGCTCCCTCTTGGAAGCAGAGAGCAGCTCTCACCAGATGCTGATGCCTTGATCATGGACTTTCCAGCCTCCAGAACCCTGAGAAATAAACTTCTGTTCTTTATAAGTTACCCAGTCTAGCATTCTAATATTATAGCAGCAAAAACAGATTAAACAGTAGCTTTATTCATAATAGCCAAAAACTGGAAATCAACCAAATGTCCATCAATGGGGGACTTGATAAAGAATCTGACGTACATCTACACAGTAGAATATTACTCAGCAAGAAAAAAAAACACTGAATTATTGATACATGCAATAACACAGATGAATCTCACAATTATCATGCTGAGTGAAAGAAGCCAGACAAAAAGACTACACTGTGTATTTCATTTACATAAAGTTCTGTAGCAAGCAAAACTGATCTGTGGTGACAGAAATAAGATCTGTCATGAGCTGGGTGAACAGTCACCACAAAGGGGCAGGAGGGAGCTCTGTGAGGTGAAGGAAGTGTTCTACATCTTGAATAGGTGGTGGGTAAATGGCTTTATAAGTACCAAAACATAGCCAACTGACTACCAAAACGGGTCCCTGTCCTATACATAACTATACCTCAATCAAGGTTTTTTTTGTTTGGTTGGTTGGTTGGTTGTTTTTTGTTTGTTTGTTTTGAGATGGAGTCTTGCTCTGTTGCCCAGGCTGGAGTGCAATGGCGTTATCTCGGCTCCCTGCAACCTCTGCCTCCCAGGTTCAAGCAATTCTCCTGCCTCAGCCTCCCAAGTAGCTGGGATTACAGGCGTGTGCCACCACGCCTGGCTGATTTTTGCATTTTTAGTAGGGACAGGGTTTCACTGTGTTGGTCAGGCTGGTCTCGAACTCCTGACCTCAGGTGATCCACCTGCCTCGGCCTCCCAAAGTGCTGGGATTACAGGCGTGAGTCACTGCACCTGGGCTTCAAGTTTTATTTATTAATTTTTACATGGGTGGGACCAGATTAGAAAGAGGTGTGAAGATTGAAGAGGAGCTTGTGTTGTATCCTGCAGCCAGTAAGAAACCACCATAGTTGCTTACCAGAGAGTGATAGGATGAAATTAATCAGAATCATTTTAATTCACCAAATAGCTGTTGGGGCAAGGCATTGTGCGAGATAGTGCAGCAATTCTGATGGAAATAATACAAATAAAAGTCATTTATTCTTGTTACATTTTACCTGTTCCACAACCAATGCACTTCCCAGTACACTGAGTAGACTGGACATCACCCCCAAAAAACCTGCTAAGATGAACCACCACATCCGGCGAACTCCTTTCACTCTTTTCTCTCTTTTTTTTTTTTTTTTTGAGACAGGGTCTCACTCTGTTGCTCAGGCTGGAATGCAATAGCTGCAGCCTCGACCTCCAGGGCTCAAGGGATCCTCCCACCTCAGCTTCCCAAGTAGCTGGGACCACAAACACATATCACAATGCCCAGCTAATTTTGTTTTTGTTTTTGTTTTTTTGTAGAGAGGGACACTCAATATGTTGGCCAGGCTGGTCTTGACTCCTAAGCTCAAGTGATCCATCCGCCTCGGCCTCTCAAAGTGCTGGGATTACAGATATGAGCCACAGCACCCCGCCAACTCCTTTCAACTGTCAAAAACAGGCCGGGCTCAGTGGCTCACGCCTGTAATCCCAGCACTTTGGGAGGCTCAGGTGGGCGGATCACGAGGTCAGGAGATCGAGACCATCCTGGCTAACATGGTGAAACCCCGTCTCTACTAAAAATACAAAAAATTAGCCGGGCGTGGTGGTGGGCACCTGTAGTCCCAGCTACTTGGGAGGCTGAGACAGGAGAATGGCGTGAACCCGGGAAGGTGGAGCTTGCAGTGAGCCGAGATGGCGCCACTGCACTCCAGCCTGGGCGACAGAGCGAGACTCTGTCTCAAACAAACAAACAAAAAAAACTGTCGAAAACAAAAAAAAGTAAATATGAGTGGTGATGGATATGCTAATTAGCTTGATTATGGTGATCATTTCACAATGTATACATATATAAAAACATCACATCGTACACCTAAAATATATACAATATTTATTTTTCAATTATGCCTCAATAAAGCTGAAAACAATCATTTAATATGAAAGGACTTTTCTGACTGGGCATGGTGGCTCATGCCTGTAATTCCAGGACTTTGGGAGGCCGAGGCAGATGGATCCCCTGAGCCCAGGAGTTTGAGACCAGCCTGGGCAACATAGCAAAACTATGTCTCTACAAAAAAATACAAAAATTACCTGGACATTGTGGCTTGAGTCTGTAGTTGAGCTACTCAGGAGGCTGAGGTGAGAGTATCTTCTAAGCCCAGGAGGTCAAGGCTGCAGTGAGCCGAGATCATGCCACTGCACTCCAGCCTGGGTGACAGAGCAAGACCCTGTCTCAAAAAAAGTAAAGAAAGAAAGAGAGAGAGAGGGAGGGAGGGAGGGAGGGAGGGAAAGAAAAGGAAAGAAAAGAAACAGAAAAGACTTTTCCTTTCTGGCTTAAACTAGGTTTTATTCATCTCAATTTCCCCTTCTCTCTCTCTCTCATTACCCCAAATCTTTATTTATTTATTTATTTTAATGGAACACTCCAGGAATTTGCATGTCATCCTGGCGTAGAGGCCATGCTAATTTTCTCTGTATTGTTCTAATTTTCAGTATATGTGCTGTGGAAGCAAGCCTAAATCTTCACTGGTTTTTTAAAAATTATTGTAAAAGTATACATTCTTATTGTAGAAACAAAACCAAACCAAAGAAATATAAACATTTATGACTTAGATTTGGAGTGGTAAATGCCTCTGATTTCATAGGGAGTCATTTACAATGGAAACAAATTACATGATATTGCTGTAAAAAGTGTTGTTGTTGTTGAAAAAGTGACACCTGGCTGGGTCTGGTGGCTCACTCCTGTAATCCCAGCACTTTGGGAGGCAGAGGCAGGCGGATGACGAGGTCAAGAGATTGAGACCATCCTGGCCAACATGGCGAAACCCTGTCTCTACTAAAAATACAAAAATTAGCCGGGTGTGGTGGTGCATGCCTGTAGTCCCAGCTACTCAGGAGGCTGAGGCAGGAGAATTGCTTGAACCCAGGAGGCAGAGGTTGCAGTGAGCTGAGATCGCACCACTGCACTCCAGCCTGGGTGAGAGAGCAAGAGTCCATCTCAAAAAAAAAAAGAAAGAAAGAAAAAGTGACATCCTGCCTGCTTAACTAGTCTCCATCATCACTGGACCCCTGAAGCCATGTGAGTTTACAACCCCTTCTGTACGCTCAGTCCTCATCCTTGGACTGGTTACTCCCCTCATTGGGGTGGAGGAAAATTCCAGCTGGCATTTACAGGTCCCTGCTATGAACTAAGTGCCTTTCCATGTAGTATGTCATCAGATCCCAGGGACTAGCCTTAGAGGAAAGGCACTGCTCTCCTTATTTTTCAGATAAGGGCATGGGGAGTTGAAGCTCAAGGTCATGTAGTCTGTGCAAGGTCAACACTAATGAATACAGGACTCTAGTCAAATGTAGAAAATTGATTCTGAACCCTGTGCATTTAACTCTAGACTGTACCGCCTCCCTAAAGAGGCCCAAACCATGCCTTGTAGCGACCTTGAAGGATAAAGGCAGGTCCAGCAGAGGGTCTAACATCCAGGGAAACCTCCCTGGAGAGCTTGGGCTTCACTAGGGATCCTTGGCTCCAGGTGGAATAAGTCCTGAATGGGTGCCTTTCGGGTTGGGTGACAAACCAAGGGAAAGATATTCTGGGGGGAGGGGATGGGACAATAGGAAAGCAAAGTCTCTTTAGCACCCTCCATGTTGATGATTTCTATTTTTAGAATTGTCAAGTTTCCTTTCCTTCCTTCCTCCCTCCCTTCTTTCCTTTCTTTTTTCTCAATCTCTCCTTTTTCATCCAACTGAAACCTGTGGGAAATGCTGGTATCTTCCTGAGCTGAAACCTTTTAAAAAATTTTTAATCTGATTTCAGAGAGGCATGTGTTGATCCCTCCATTGTCTATGATGGAACAAAATCTCAGACCCGTAATTATCTCTTCTCCTGGCAGGCCTTAAGATGAAACAGACAGGAAGACCTGAGCGGATTCTTCTCAGATGCCACCTCTTAGCACTGGGCTTTGCGAGCCTGTTATTTGGGGCGCTGCAGAAGGCAAGGACCTATCCCGCCAAGGATCAATGGGAAAATAAGCAGTTGCTTGTGAATAGACTGCGGTCTCCTGCAGTTGTCAGGCCTCCTTGGTAATGGCTATTTATCCCCACTTAATTGCTACCTGGGTTCCCCTCATTCTGTGCTGGCTGGCACTTCCCACCACTGCCACCCTGGGCAAACTCAGGGCAGCCTGCAGAGGTGCAGCATGCCTGCCCGCCAGCCCCTTCACAGAAGCTGAAGATGCTGGTGACCTCAGCAAGTGTGCATTGGTGACACCACCCTTTACTGTCTCTCTCCTGCGTGGTGTTACCCTGATCATCGATGCCTCGTGACAGCTGCACTGGCTGAGCCTTGAGATCTGCTTGCCAGCCATGCTGTGTCCGGGTGGTTCGTGGGTAGACTTGAGTGATAGTACTTCTATCTGACAACAAACAGTCTGAAGCTGAAAGAAAAAAAAAGAAAAGAAAAGAAAAGTGTGTTCCTGGAAAGCGGAAGAGCCCAGAGAACTTCAGAGAAAGGGCCTCTAAGCCCATCTATGTCTGGATGTCTTGTTATGTGATATGATAAATGGATACCCTTAAAATAAGAGAGAAAAACACATTAGCACCTAAGTAAAAATCCCACACAAAATCGGATAAACCAAACCACACAGTATAGCATGAGTAAATTTGACAAATATAAACTAGCTTGAACTTGGAAAATCAAATCCTGTAATTTATAAGCATCAAGAAGAGACAACTCACAGAATAGGAGAAAATATTTGTACATTATCTACTAGACAGTGGCCTCGTGTCCAAAATATATAAAGAACAATGACAGTTTAACAGTAGAAAAACAATGCTAGCCTGACAAAGGCAAGGCAAAAAAAAAAAAAAAGATAATCCGATTTAAAAAGATTTGAACAGGCATTTCTACAAAGAAAATATACAAATGGGGCAGGGCATAGTGGCTCACACCTGTAATCCCAGTACTTTGGGAGGCTGAGGAGAGACGAACCCTTGAGACCAGGAATTTGAGACCAGCCTGAGCAACATAGTGAGACCTCATCTTTACTAAAAGAAAAAAATTAGCTGGGCATGGTGGCTGGTGCCAGTAGTTCCCGCTACTTGGGAGGCTGAGGTGGGATGATGGCTTGAGTTCAGAAATTCGAGGCTGCAGTGGGCTGTGACTGAGCCACTGTACTCCAGCTTGGGCAACAGAACAAGTCCCTGTCTCAAAAAATAAATTAAATAAATAAAGAATGCAAATGTCCAATAAGCACATCAAACAATGTTCAACACAATCATTGGGAAAATGTAAATCAAAATTACAATGGACTACCATTTCACATCCACCAGGATGGCTATAAGCAGACATATAGACAATAGTAAGCGTAGGCAAGGAAAAATCATACATTCTCATACATTGCTGCTGAGAATGTAAAATGGTGCAGCCACTTACATGCTGGAAAAAGTATGGCAGTGCCTCAAAAGTCAAACATGGAATTACTATTCAATCCTATGCATAGAGCAGCACTTCCACTCTTAGTTCATGAGAACTGAAAACGTTATGTCCACGCAAAAGCTTGAACACGAATATTCATAGCAGCATTATTTACAGTAGCCAGCAAGTAGAAACAACCCAAATGTCTATCATCAGATGAATGGATAAATAAAATGTAGTACAGGTTGAGTATTCCGAATTTGAAAATTTGAAATATAAAATCTGAAGCTTTTTGAGCACGGACATGATGCTCTTTTTATATGTTGAATGTTCAAACATTCAATATATAAACATATAAACATATGCTTTCAAACATTGCTGTTCAACATCATCTAATTATCAATAACTTATGTTTTTATTTTCTGAGGTGACCACAAATCACATTATTCTTGATGGATTAATTGATTCATGACCTCCTAAAAGACAAAAATGGAAAGAAGTTCAGAGAATAAATAGCATCAATTATTCAAATTTTAATTAATAAGAATATAAAACATTTTTCCTAAGCAACAAGGAAAATAATAGTCATGTCAGTAGACCTGGAGACACCTCCGTTCGATGATGTGAGGAGTGACTTTAAGACTCAGACGTGACACAAAGACTCTTATGTTTTTATTTGTTCACTTACTCATCTCTCAAACCACTACTGGTTGTTAGTTTGTGCTGGGCCCTGGGGAGAGACTGTGATGATGCTCAAAGGAAATGTTGATTGGGAACATTTAGAATTTTTGATTTTTGGATTTCGGATGCTCCACCAGTAAGTATAATGCAAATATTCCCAAATTTTAAAAAAATCCCAAATTTGAGTCCGGACACGGTGGCTCACGCCTGTAATCCCAGCACTTTGGGAGGCCAAGGCAGGCGGATCACCTGAGGTCAGGAATTCGAGACCAGCCTGACCAACATGGAGAAACCCCGTCTCTACTAAAAATACAAAATTAGCCGGGTGTGGTGGCGCATGCCTGTAATCCCAGCTACTTGGGAGGCTGAGGCAGGAGAATCGCTCGAACCCGGGAGGTGGAGGTTGCGGTGAGCCAAGATAGTGCCATTGCACTCCAGCCTGGGCAACAAGAGCGAAACTCTGTCTCAAAAAAAAAAAAAAATCCCAAATTTGAAACATTTCTGGTCCCAAGCATTTTGAGTAAAGTCTATTCAACCTGTATATTCATACAACGGAATATTACAGAGTAATGAAAACAAATTTGGTATGATACATACTACAATGTGGATAAGCCTTAAAAACATTATGCTACAGGTAGGCATGGTAGCTCAAGCCTATAATACCAACACTCTGGGAGGCCAAAGCAGGTGGATCACTTGAGATCAGGAGTTCGAGACCAGCCTGGTCAACATGGTGAAACCTCGTCTCTACGGAAAATACAAAAATTAGCCAGGCATGGTGGCACACGCCTGTAATCCCAGCTACTTGGGAGGCTGGAGCACGAGAATCTCTTGAACCCGGGAGGCGGAGGTCACAGTGAGCCAAGATCACCTGAGCACTCTGTCTTAAAAAAACAAAACAAAACAAATTATGCTAAGCGAAAGAAGCCAGTTGCAAAAGGCCAACAGTGTATGACTCCATTTACATTCATGTGAAATGTCCAGAATAGGCAAATCCATGGAGTCAGAAAGTACATTAGTGATTGCCAGGGGCTGGGGGAGGAAGAAATGGGGAGTGACTGCTAATGTGTATGAGGTGTTTTTTTTTTTGTTTTTTATTTTCTTTGAGACGGAGTTTCGCTCTGTCACCCAGGCTGGAGTGCAGTGGCACGATCTCAGCTCACTGCAACCTCCGCCTCCCGGGTTCAAGAGTATGAGGTTTTTTGGGGAGTTGATGAAAGGTTCTCAAATTAGACAGTGGTGATGATTGCACAACTTTATGAATACACTAAAAGCCACCAAGTAGTACACTTCTAAAGCATGACTTTTATGGTATGCAAATTATATACCAATTTTTTTAAGTCTAAAGCACAGTTCTCACTCTCAAATAGCTGACAGTCTTCAGTGTTCAAACATTGCTGTTCAACATCATCTAATTATCAATAACTTATGTTTTTATTTTCTGAGGTGACCACAAATCACATTATTCTTGATGAATTGATTCATGACCTTCTAAAAGACAAAAACGGGAAGAAGTTCAGAGAATAAATAGCATCAATTATTCAAATTTTAATTAATAAGAATATAAAACATTTTTCCTAAGCAACAAGGAAAATAATAGTCATGTCAGTAGACCTGGAGACACCTCCGTTCGATGACGTGAGGAGTGACTTTAAGACTCAAACATGACACAAAGACTCTCATGTTTTTATTTGTTCACTTACGCATCTCTCAAACCACTACTGATTGTTAGTATGTGCTGGGCCCTGGGGAGAGACTGGGAGTTTCCTCAAGGACCTCAGTGTCTAACGTAAGGGCTAAACCTGTGACCAAATTCTTGTAGTGCTGATGATAATGGGCTAGAAGGGCCATCACAGCAATGTTCCAGGCCCAGCAGGACCTGACCGACAGTGCAATTGTTTTTATGCACAGATATTCTCAAAGGGCCCAGAATCAGCCCAGCATTTGACTGCATTTCCTCTCTTACCAGCAGCATTTTCTCCAAGTATATGTTATGACCCCAAATCGTCAACTGACAGCACAATCATGACCTCTACAATGTATTAAAAATGTGAAGTAAGTAGCCATGGACAGTGGCACATCACCTATGGGACCCACTACTTGGGAGGATCAGCCCAGGAGTATTGCTTGAACCCAGGACTTCAAGGGTGCCTTGCACTGTGCTATGATCGTGCCTGTGAATAGCCATTGCACTCTAACCTGGGCAACATAGCTAGACCCTGTCTTTTAAAAAATTAGCCTGGAGTGGTGGTGCACCTGTAGTCCTAGCTACAAGGGAAGCTGAGATGGGAGGATCCTTGAGCCCAGGAATTTGAGGCTGCAGCCAGCTATGATGACACTACTGCACTCCAGCCTGGGTGGCAGAGCAAGAGTCTGTCTTAAGAAAAACAAATAAATAAAAATTAAAGTTTTAAACAAATCAGCAACATATAAAAAACAGTGGCCGGGCGCGGTGGCTCACGCCTGTAATCCCAGCACTTTGGGAGGCTGAGGTGGGCAGATCACGAGGTCAGGAGATTGAGACCATCCTGGCTAACACGATGAAACCCCATCTGTACTAAAAATACAAAAAATTAGCCAGGCGTGGTGGCGGGCGCCTGTAGTCCCAGCTACTCAGGAGGCTGAGGCAGGAGAATGGCATGAACCCAGGAGGTGTAGATTGCAGTGAGCCGAGATCGTGCTACTGTACTGCAGCCTGGGCGACAGAGTGAGACTCCGTCTCAAAAATAAAATAAAAAAAATAGTGGCCAGGCACAGTGGCTCATGCTTGTAACCCCAGCAACTCGGGAGGCCAAAGTGGGAGAATCACTTGAGGCCAGGAGTTTGAGATCAGTCTGGGCAACATAGCAAGACCCCATTCTCTACAAAAAAAAAAAAAATTAGTTTATAAAAATAAATAAATAAATATGTAATAACAATTAAAAGATTTTAAATAAAAATCAAAATGTCTAGTTTCTTTTAAAAATCTGGGCTGGGCCAGGTGCGGTGACTCATGCCTGTAATCCCAGCACTTTGGGAGGCCGAGGCAGGTGGATAACTTGAAGTGAGGAGTTCGAGACCAGCCTAGCCAACAGGGTGAAACCCCGTCTCTACTAAAATATAAAAATTGGCCAGGTGTGGTGGCACGCACCTATAATCCCAGCTACTTGGGAGGCTGAGACAGGAGAATAGCTTGAACCTGGGAGGCGGAGTTTGCAGTGAGCAGAGATCACACCACTGCACTCCAGCCTGGGCAACAGAGCAAGACTCTGTCTCAAAAAGAAAAGAAAAAAAAATTTGGACTGAGTGTGGTGGCTTACTCCTGTAATCCAAGCACTTTGGGAGGTGGATTGCTTGAACCCAGGAGTTTGAGACCAGCCTGGGCAACATGCAAAACCCCGTCTCCACAAAAATACAAAAAGTAGTTGGGAATGGTGGCATATGCCTATAGTCCCAGCTAATTGAAAGACCCAGGAGGGAGGACCACTTGAGCTCAGGAGTTCAAAGCTGTAGTGAGTTATGATCATGCCACTGCACTCCAGCCTGGGCAACAGAGCAATATACTGTGTCTAAATTAAATAAATAAATAAAATATTTTTTTAAAAACCTGGCAGTGCTGGACTTCTGTACTGGCATATAACTCCAAGCTAGCGTAGAATAGTAGCTGTTTCCACTGACCAGATGCACGAATGGGCCAAGACTTCCATAACCTGCCTAGGATCGATGAGCTGGGTGATGGGTTCAAGGGACTGCATTATGCTGTCATCTCTTCTTTGCATATATTTTTAGATGTCTATAATAACAGGTATAACAGGTTTAAAGCAAATGAAAAATTCAGGGTATGCATTCTTCAATTGGCCACAGTCTCCACCCTGTGCTACTGTAATTGAGGCAGAGTGTTAGTTACCATTCACTGGAATTGAGCTACTCTTTTTCTTAGTAGTATTGAAAGTCTACTGATGGCCGGGTGTGGTGGCTCACACCTGTATCCCAGCACTTTGGGAGGCCGAGGCAGATGGATCATTTGAGGCCAAGAGTTCGAGACCATCCTGGCCAACATGGTGAAACCCCGTCTCTACTAAAATACAAAAGATTAGCCAGGCATGGTGGTGCGTGCCTGTAGTCCCAGCTACTAGGGAGGCTGAGGCAGGGGAATTGCGTGAACCCAGGAGGCAGAGATTGCAGTGAGCTGAGATCACGCCATTGCACTCCATCCTGGTGACAGAACAAGACTCCGTCTCAAAAAAAAAAAAAAAAGTCTACTGACATGTTTTCACACCTCTCCTATTTGCCTCATTTTCTTTTCCTGTGCGTGGCTCCTGTACACTCCTTCAAGTACACTGTCTCTAAAAGAAGTCTTAAGCAGAGGGCACAGCCTGGTGGCCAATGGCCAAACTCTGCCCACAGATGTGTTTTGCTTGGCCCAAAGAATGTTTTCCTTAATAAGAATGTCACAGGTGGGCATCACTTGCTAGTTTTCCTAGTCCTTGCCTCCCACTACCTTATGTTCCTCTGGCCCAATACACATTTATGTTCCTTACCTTGTCCCTGTAGGCATCTGAATTTTAGAATCTAAGACAAGAAAGACAGTGATTGTATTCAGGATTTCTACTGGTATATGGATGGACCCTGCTAATCTTCAAGAGTCGTAGAAGTCCTATCTGCCATTAATCCTTTCCATTTAGGGATTGTTGTAAGTATCTTCTATTTGGGGAGTTTAAAACAGCTCTTTATCTTTCTTAATTTTTGACTAAATGAGCAGCTATGTTCTGCCCAATATTGGTCATCATCATCACCTCCATCTCTGACTATGTCTCATTATTATTAAATGTTCAACAGAAGCAGGTGAAAGTAACTAACTCAATGTGACCAAATATAGTTTATACTCAAGAAAATGCAGACAGTCTATGATCACTTCAAAAACTTACAAGCTTCCTAGTAGGGGGGAAAAATGCAACACCAAATAGGTTTAAGATATTATTATATCTCTACTGAGTTGATTTCAAAAATTAAAAGGGTAACATTCTGTGATTATGAGAAACAGGTTCACTTGCACATCACTTGGTAGCTGCAAATTGGTTGGATCAGGTAAGTAACTTGCAAATATTATAATAGGTGTGGTTAGGTAATTTCATTGGAAGATAAACCCTCCTCAAAAAATAACCAAAAATGAAGTGGACAAAGATATTTCTACTAGTGCCATTTATAAGATAAAAAAAAATGTAAGCAAACCCCAATGCCAAAAATAAGTGATAGACTAAGAAAACTTTCATTTATTATCATTATTATTAAAGATGAGGTCTTGCTGTGTCTCCCAGGCTGGAGTGCAGTCGAGCCATCATAGCTCACTGCAGCCTTGAACTCCAGGGCTCAAGTGATCCTCTCACTTCAGCCTCCTGAGTAGTTAGGACTACAGATGCACACCATCATGCCTGGCTAATTTTTTATTTTTTGTAGAGATAGAGTTTCACCATGTTTCCCAGGCTGGTCTTGAACTCCTGGCCTCAAGCCGTCTTCCTACCTCAGCCTCCCAAAGTGTTGGGATCACAGATATAATATAGTTTTGATGTTTGTCCCTTCCACATCTCATGTTGAAATGTGATTCCAAATGTTGGATGTAGGGCCTAGTAGGATGTTTGGGTCATAAGGGTAGATCCTTCATGAATGACTTGGTTCCCTCCCAGTGGTAATGAGATCTGGCTGTTTAAAAGATTCTAGGATCTCCCCCTTCTCTCTCTTGTTCTTTCTCTCACCGTATGACACCCCTGCACTTGTTCATCCTTTGTCTTCCACCATGATTGTAAGTTTCTTTTTTTTCTTTTTTCTTTTCTTTTCTTTTTTTTTTTCTTTGTCTTTTTGAGATGGAGTCTCTTTCTATCACCCAGGCTAGAGTACAGTGACATGATCTTGGCTGACTGCAACCTCCACCTTCAAGGTTCAAGTGATTCTCCTACTTCAGCCTCCTGAGTAGCTGGGACTACAGGTGCATGCCACCATGCTCAGCTAGTTTTTGTATTTTTAGTAGAGACAGGGTTTTGCCATGTTGGCCAGGCTGGTCTTGAACTCCTCCTAACCTCAGGTGATCTGCACACCTTGGTCTCCCAGAGTGCTGAGATTACGGATGTGAGCCACCACACCTGGCACCTGGCATCATGAGTGTCTTTAGGCTTTACCAAAAGCTGAGCAGATACTTGTGCCATGTTTGTATAGCCTGTAGAACTATGATCCAAATAAACCTCTTTTTAAATAAATTACCCAGCCTCAGGCATTCCTTTAGAGCAATACAAATGGACTGACACAGAAAATTGGTACTGAGGAGTGGGGTGCTGCTATAAAGATATCTGAAGATGTGGAAGCAGCTTTGGAACTGTGTAATGGCAGAGATTGGAAGAGTTTGGAGGTTACAGAAGAAAACAGGAAGATGAGGGCAAGTTTGGAATGTCTTAGAGACTGGGTAAATGGTTGTGACAAAAATGCTGATAAAATATCAACAGTAAAGGCCAGTCTGAGGAAGTCTCAGATGGAAATGAGGAAATTCTCAAACTGGAAAAAAAAAAACCCTTGAATTGGTTATGCCCTAGCAAAGAGCTTGGCTGGATTGTATCCACAGGAATTTGTGGAAGTTTTAACTTAAGAGTGGTGGAGGAATTTTTTTTTCTTTTTTTTTTTTTGAGACAGAGTCTCATTCTGTCACCCAGGCTGGAGTGCAGTGGCGCGATCTCGGCTCACTGCAACTTCCACCTCCCCAGTTCAAGCTATTCTCCTGCCTCAGCCTCCCAAGTAGCTGGGACTACAGGCGCCCACCACCACGCCTGGCTAATTTTTTGTATTTTTAGTAGAGACAGGGTTTCGCCATGTTGGCCAGGCTGGTCTCAAACTCTGATGTCAGGTGATCCACCCGCCTTGGCCTCCCAAAGTGCTGGGATTACAGGCATGAGTCACCATGCCTGGCCAGGTGGAAGAAATTTCTAAGCTGCAACGTGTTCAAGATGAAGATGTGGCCTGGTCAAACAACCTATGGTCAGGTACAGGAGGAAAGCAATGACTTAAAGTTGGAACTTATAATTAAAAGGGAAGCAGAGTACAAAAATTTGGAATATTTGCATCCTGGCCCCATGGTAGAGGAGGACAAAGCATTTTCAGGGCCGGGTGTGGTGGCTCATGGTGAAACCCCGTCTCTACTGAAAATACAAAAATTAGCCGGGTGTGGTGACGTGTGCCTATAATCCCAGCTACTCAGGAGGCTGAGGCAGGAGAATCGCTGGAAGCTGGGAGGCAGAGGCTGTAGTGAGCTGAGAACATGCCACTGCACTCTAGCCTGGGTAACAGAGTGAGACTCCGTCTCAGAAAAAAAAAAAAAAAGAATATAACAAAGAACATAAATATGTATATATCTCTCTCTCAAAGCTTGAACCACAGCACCCCCTGGCATATAAAAAAACTATAAATCTCTGATTGTTCTTGAATTATTTCTATGTATATGTCATATCAGCTCAGGTCAATTGTAAACACACGTTTTAGGAATAGTGAATGGCATCACCATAATTTATATAGTGCGTAACCTACCCAACTGTTCCTGCCTGTCCTGATTATGATTAGTTTTATATGTGGAGGTTAAAAGGTTTTGCTGTGATGCTCCTTCTGTATTCTTTAAGTTTTTTGATCTTCCTGCTCTTCCTAAGAAATACAGAGAACAATCCCACTTCTCAGAATGATCTGAAGCTATCCTGCCATCTTTTAAGTAGACTGCTATTGATTATTTAATTTATCAAATAACTCATTTAGCAAACATGATTTGGGTAACAACTACAGGCCAGGCTCTGGTGCCCAAGCAATGAAAAGAATAAGATTCCCCAACTGCAAAAGAACCAACATAAGATTGTCCTCATGGGGATTAGAAAATTAAAATTAAAAAATCAAAAATATCTCTCCTTTCTTTTATCCTTAAAGAGAAAACAGTTGTCAAAAATAATTTTTTTTTGAGACAGAGTCTCACTGTGTTGCCTAGGCTGAAGTGCAGTGGCTATTGACAGGTACAATTATCACACACTATAGCCTCGAACTCCTGGGCTCAACTCCTCGATCCTCCTGCCTCAGCCTACTGAGTAGCTGGGACTATAGGTGTGTACCACTGTGCCCAACTGTCTCCTTTATGTTCTATTTAAAATAATACACAAACTTCCTACAGCTTTTTGAAACTACTCACTTTAGTTAGTATCTATTCCCCCCTTTCTTTTATCTACAAAATGAGGGTAAAGATGTGAATAATCTACGTCCGATTAGCAGCAAGCTACTTAACCAGAAAACACCAAAGAGGTGGTTGGGAACAGTTCATGAGCAAATAAATTTGGAAAATGAGTCAAGTCATATTCCATCTTGGGGATTTACATGCATATTCACTTATTAAAGGGCCTGAAAAATAATTTTTTAATTTTGGCTAATCCAGAATTTCCAAAACATATCTGACAATAGAACCACTTTTTTCATAGGTTTTCCAGCACTAACTTTAGGGACTGGTGAAGTGTTAGCCATAGGCATTCTGCATGAGAATCACCTGAGGGTAACTTTATCAAAATCTTGCAAAGAGACTTTCAAGGGTTTAAGTTAACATTTAGATCATTAATGCTTTACAGGTAATAGTGTGTTAATGGCCAGCAGGACTAGTAGCCAGAGAGCAGAAATGGGCAGGGTGAGTGCGACAATGTCCCTAGGAAACTCCAGGCTGATGACAATAGGACTGAATTAGGAATCAAGCACCTAAATTTTAGTCCTGGTGTCCCCTCAAACCCATGTTTCATCTTGGGGAAGCCACTTTCCTCCCAGGACCATCTGTTAAGGGAGGGGTTGAATTAGACTGGATGGCACTACCCCTATAGGGTGTGGAAATGTATGAGGCCATTTTTGCTTGTCAGTGACTGGGAGGGTCACCACTGACATGGAGCATGGAAAAGGACTATGGATGCTAGAGATTTGTGGCATGCCAGATAGTTTCACACCTTGAAGGTTGCATGATTTTCTGATGTTCCTCTGGACATTCACATAGGAGGTTAAAAAAAAACCCCAAAATCTGATTATCTCAGATACCAATGATCCAAGCCTACAACCTAATCCCAAACTGTACATAAATGGTTTAGCATGCACTAAAATTTCCAAGAATGCAACTACATTGCAAATCAAGAGAGAGTTGTACTTGATATATTCTTAACTTTGCCAAGAACTTTGGAATATTGCATCATTACTCATAGGCTTTAATTAAATTACCAATATTTCAAGTCTGTATCAGTCTTCGCTTGTAGCTATAGCATTCACGTTGACTCTATGCAGGGGTGTAAGCATCTGAATGTTATGTCATCTAGAGCAGGCTAAAGTGTCAGTATGCTGATAAGGAGTCTGTACTGGACTGTTTCTGTTAACATCTTGCTTCTTTCATCAAGAAAGTCTTTGGCCGGGTGCGGTGGCTCACGCCTGTAATTCTAGCACTTTGGGAGGCCGAGGTAGGTGGATCACCTGAGGTCAGGAGTTCGAGACTAGCCTGGCCAACATGGTGAATCCCCATTTCTACTAAAAATACAAAAATTATCCCGGGCGTAGGGGTGCTACTTGGGAGGCAGAGGCAGGAGAATTGCTTGAATCTGGGAGGCAGAGGTTGCAGTGAGCCGAGATCACGCCATTGCACTCTAGCCTGGTTGACAAGAGCCAAACTCCATCCTCCCTCCAAAAATAAAAAAATTAGCCAGGTGTGGTGGCACATGCCTGTAATCCCAGCTGCCTAGGAGGCTGAGGATGGAAAATCGCTTGAACCCGGGAGGCAGAGGTTGCAGTGAACCGAGATCACAACACTGCACTCCAGCCTGGGAGACAGAGGAAGACTCTGTCTCAAAAAAAAGAAAAATAAAAAAGTCAGCCAGGCGCCGTGGCTCACGCCTGTAATCCCAGCACTTTAGGAGGCTGAGGCAGGCGGTTCATGAGATCAGGAGATCAAGACCATCCTGGCTAACACAGTGAAACCCTGTCTCTACTAAAAATACAAAAAAAAAAAAAAAAAAAGATTAGCCAGGCGTGCTGGCACGCACCTGTATTCCCAGCTACTCAGGAGAGTGAGGCAGGAGAATTGCTTGAACCCGGCAGGCAGAGGTTGCAGTGAGCCGAGACTGTGCCACTGCACTCTAGCCTGGGCGACAGGGTGAGACTCTGTCTCCAAAAGGAAAACAAAAAAGTCTTAAAAAAAGATTTTTTTTTTAAATAAAGACAGGGTGTCACTATGTTGTCCAGGCTGGTCTTGAACTCCTGGGTTTAAGCTAGACTCCTGTCTTGGCATGAGCCTCTGTGCTTGGTAAAGAAAGTCTTGCTTGATGGAGACTAAAAAAAATGTCAACAAAACTAGTGTGCTTAGTGATGTATTTGATTTTATTCTGGTGTAAGCTTTTTACCTCATTGCAGACCAGTAACAATTTATTTTATGTTTATAGCATCTTGTTCTTTTATAGTCATGTATATAAGCTTTATTATAGATATTATAGACGTATTTTATTTCAGAAAAGGAAAGAGGACATAACAAATATTGGTTATGAAAAAAGAAAACTGGGCACAATGGGATTAATATCATTGGATCTAAGGGTGGGTTGCCAAGGGCAGGAGCAGGGCATGGCAGGGTTGGGTGAGGGGCTTTAGTTTGCCTATAGCATCATTAGCTACCCCACTCAGTTCTCTGATAAGGATAATTGAGAAATCTCAACTTGGCATAAAGTGAGTGCACTTTGGGACACCTCTTTCAAACAGAACACAGGCCATGAGCCCCATCTATGTAGAAAGTCTGGGGCACTCTGCTAGTGAAGTCTAAGTTCTTTTTCAGACTTTTTGTTCCCAGTTTATTTCTACATCTTTCAAGATTTGCAATTCTATGTCTTGACCTATCAGTATAGCTACCCACGTCACAGAAAGAATTGATGCTACTCTATCAGGGGAGCAATTCAATGCTTTTCCCACCCCTAAAATAAGGATAATTACCTCCTCCATTTCTCTGTCCCCTGAATGTGTACTGGGAAATTGACGGGAGTAAATTTTCTTTACATAGTCAATGCAATTCAGCCCAGCAAGAGTTAAAGCTGGCTTCCTGTCTCTGCTGGGGAGCCAGGCTGGATGGGGCTCCTCCTGAACTGGGCGCAGATGCCGCCATGCTTTGTTGATTACAATCTCCCACACCAAGGAGGCTTTGACTAGGTTTGACATAATCAGCTCACAGCCTCTGCCTGCACTCTTTCACAAACAGGCCATTTTCACATCTTTTTCATAGAATCCGACAAGCGGAAAAATAATTAATGTTACCTCAGCCCAACAATGACCCTGGCTCTGATTCAAAAAGAAGGCATGTTGCATAAACTGCCCTTTAATTGAGGGTTGGGGGCAGACCCCACATACTCCTGTATCGGTTCTGCCTCCCTGGCCAAGGATGATTAAGGCTTTCCTAAGATTGAGGACCCATGGTCACTGAGTAGTACTCAGTTTCAGGTTCAAAGAGCTTCCGTGAAAGAATTCTGTTCATAGTATTTAGCAAGCACAGACCTGTTGTGCTGGTCAGAGAATTCCAGATGGTACTGTTGCTTATTCCCATTTTACTGATAAAAACAAAGTGACTTCCTCTTTGCAGAAAACACAAAATTAGAACCCACAACTATTTTTTCAATGTTTCTTTTCTTTCTCTTAAAAAAGAAAATACAAATATTTGTTATTGTGGAAGTCTATGTGGTTACCTTCACGGCTGTTGTGAGTGTGAAATGGTGCAGCCACTTTGGAAAATAATCTGTAAATTTCTCAAATGGTTAAACGTAGAGTTACTATTTGATCCAGCAATTCCACTTCTAGATACATATCCAAGAGAAATGAAAACCTACATTCACACAAAAAGCTGTACCTGAATATTCATAGCAGTATTATTCATAATAGCCAGGAAGTGAACACAACACAAATGTACATCAGTTGATAAATGGATAAACAAAATGTGGTATATCCATGCAATGGAATAGTATGTGATCATAAAAAGGAATGAAGTACTGATAGAGGTTATAACATGGGTGAACCTTCAAAACATGCTAAGAAGTCTGTCACACACACACACACACAATGCATATTATTTTATTTATACAAAATATTCAGAATCGGCAGATATAGAGAGATAGATTAGTGATTGTTTCAGGCTAAGTAGCATAAAGCATTGAGGGCTGAATAGCTAAGGAATGTGACATTTATTTTTGAAATGATGAAAATATTCTAGGGCCAGGCTCAGTGGCTCACGCCTGTAATTTTAGCACTTTGGGAGGCCAAGGCGGGCGATCACCTGAGGTCAGGAGTTCAAGACCAGCCTGGCCAACATGGCGAAACCTTGTCTCTATTAAAAATACAAAAATTAGCTGGGCATGGTGGCAGGCACCTGTAATCCCAGCTACTTGGGAGGCTGAGGCAGGAGAATTGCGTGAATCTGGGAGGCGGAGTGCCCTATACTCCAGCCTGGGTGACAGAGCGAGACACTGTCTCAAAAAAAGAGAAAAGATTCTAAAATTGATTATGGAATTTGTTACACAACTCTATACTAAACTATACTAAAAATTATTAAACTGTACACTTAACAAAAAGTGTAAAGTGCACCCCAATCTTACTCTAGAAAAATAATTGTCAAATTGTGGGCCAAGAGCCCTGAAGATTCCGAAGGTTTTGCAGGGGTTATCTGTGAGTTTTTACCTTTTCAACTATATACTCATGTGAGACTGGACTTCCTAAATCATTCAGCTTAAAATATCATGAATTTCTTTATATAATTTAGCAATAAAACATAGTACAATGGATTGAATAAAAAAAGCAGAGATAAGAATCAAAGTGTCAATTTTTGACCAAGCCATAAGAAATCTTCAATAATTTAAAAAGAAAAAGAGTTAATTAACATGGTCACCAGAGAAAATCTGGAAAATATGGAAAAGTAAAAAAAGACAGTGAATGTCTTTCAGGATCCGACTAACCACAGAGAACCACTGATAGCATGTGGGCACGCTTCCATCTGGTCTTTTTCTGCCTCCTTGAGTCCCACCCACATCTTGTGAAGTGGTGAAGCTGTGGCAAGGGACCCAGCTCTGCTGAGCAAGCCCCTTCCCTCTTTGTCTTTCCACCATTCTCTTACAAGTAGAATAGCCAATATCTGCTTGCTTCAGGGTGGCAGGATCCCATTTATAACTGCTTAAGACTATGTTTACTTACTGAATACAAAAGTAGCACATGATCATTCTAAAAAAATATTGTGTGTGTGCATCTGTGCATCATGAATGTATAAAGCAGAAAGCAGGCTGATACGGTGTACTGGATCCAGGTGGCAAGTGCAAACACATCTCTTAAACTTGCCAAACCCAAATCCCTTAAAATGACAGAAAAGTGGCTTAACGATAAGTTTATTATAGTAAATGAGAACAGATGTCACTAACAGACCAGAAATCATGAAGAATTCCCAGAAGACAGAATGTAGAATGGAAACAGATGAATGAGAGGAGAAACTCCAAACATACTCTGTCAAAAAGTACAGATGAAGAAAAAGAAATCCAGAGAAACACCAAATTCCAAGTCAAATAATAGATTCACTGTCTCTTGTCTGCAATTCTTAAATCCAAAAGGTTCTCAAAACAGAAAGATTTTTTTCCCCTAAGTTTGGCACAAACTCAGTTGCAGCAAAATCTGACCAGGACTGATGTAAAGCTATTTGTAGATTTTATTTATCTTACTTTGTGTGAATATTCATTTCTTTCTTTGCAAAAAAAGTTAATATGTCTGATTACAGGATGCTACCCTAGACCCACTGGGAGTATTATGAAATATCAGTAGATGCTATGCTAGTTAACACTGAGTGTCAACTTGATTGGATTGAAGGTTGCAAAGTATTGATCTTGGGTTTTTCTGTGAGGATGTTTCCAAAGAAGCTTAATATTTGAGGCAGTGGGCTGGGGAAGGCAGACCCATCCTTAATCTGGTGGGCACAACCTAATCAGCTGCCAGCAAATATAAACCAGGCAGAAAAATGTGAAAAGGTGAGATAGGCCTAGCCTCCCAGCCTACATGTTTCTCCCATGCTGGATGCTTCCTGCCCTCAAACATCAGACTCCGAGTTCTTCAGTTTTGAAACTCAGACTGGCTCTCCTTACTCCTCAAGCTTGCAGACAGCCTATTGTGGGACTTTGTGATTTTGTAAGTTAATATTTAATAAACTCCTATATATATATATAAAATATATCTCCTATTAGTTCTGTCCCTCTAGGGAACCCTGACTAATACAGATGCTATGAACATCCTTTCTCTGTTTTTTTTTTTGAGACAGAGTCTTACTCTGCCACCCAGGCTGGAGTGCAGAGGCACGATCATAGTTCACTGCATCCTCAGACTCCTGGGCTCAAGTGATCCTCCCATCTCAGCCTCCTGGGTAGCTGAGACCACAGGCTCACACCATCACACCTGGTTAATTTTTTTTGAAACAATCTTCCTAAATTCAAAAAATTAGGCCGGGTGCGGTGGCTCATGCCTGTAATCCCACACTTTGGGAGGCTGAGGTGGGAGGATCACCTGAGACCAGGAGTTCGAGACCATCCTGGCTAACATGGTGAAACCCCATCTCTACTAAAAATACAAAAATTAGCCAGGCGTGGTGGCAGATGCCTGTAGTCCCAGCTACTCGGGAGGCTGAGGCAGGAGAATTGCTTGAACCCAGGAGGCGGAGGTTGCAGTGAGTTGAGATCACACCACTGCACTCCAGCCTGGGCAACGGAGCAACACTCTGTCTCAAAAATAAATAAATAAACAAGTCAATTATAAAATAAAATAAAATCCAAAAAGTTTAGAATTTCAGCATACAACTGGATCCTAGAGATTTGGATAAAGAATGTGGGCTTATGATGATATCAGAAGAGGTACCTAGAATAAAATAAAAATTAGATTTTCAACAATAGGAAAATGAATAAACAAGTGGGTATATATGCCCATGAATTAAAAGGAAATTAAAGACATACATATTGGAAATGAAGAAATAAACTGCCCCTATTTGCAGAGGACACAATTGCCTAGAGAATCCCCGAGGAATCCACCAAAAAAGAAAAATGCCAAGAACTAATAAGTGAATTTAGTAGGTTTTCAGGATTCAAAGTCAACTTACAAAAAGGAATCATGCTAGAAAGCATATACTAGGATGAGCAATTGGAAACAGAAATTAAAAACACAATACCATTTATAATTGCTCAAAACTAGAGGAAATACTGTGTATACATCTAACAAAACATATACAGCATCTGTATGATAGAAACTGTGAAATACAGATGAAAAAGGTTTAAAAAAAAGCCTAAATTAATAGTGAGATATACCATGTTCATTAGTTTGAAGACTAACCATAAAAGTGTCAATTATGTCCAAACTAATCTATCAAAGCCTCAACAGGATTCTTTGTAGATACAAACAAGCTGACTGAAATTTATACAGGGAAGCAAAGGAACTAGAATAGCTAAAACAATTTTGAAAAAGAATAAAATGGGAGGAATCAAATTACCTGATTTTAAGACTTACTTATTATATGGTAACAGAAATTAAGACAGTGTGGTGTTGGCAGAGGAACAGACACTTGTGATCACTGGAACAGAGCAGAGTACAAAAATTGGCCAATATATTCACCAACAGATTTTTGACAAAGGTGCAAAAGTGATTCAATGGAGGAAGGATAACCTTTATAATAAATAGTCTTGAAACAATTGGATATTTATAGATTAAAAAAAGAACATTGGCCAGGTGCGGTGGCTCGTAACTATAATCCCAGGATCCCAGTGCTTTGGAAGGCTGAGGTGGGAGGATTACTTGAGTCCAGGAATTTGAGATCACCCTGGGCAACATGGCAAGACCCCATCTCTATAAAATATAAAAAATTGGGTGGGCACGGTGGCTCATGCCTGTAATCCCAGCACTTTGGGAGGCCAAGGTGGGGAGATCACTTGAGGTCAGGACTTCCAGGCCAGCCTGGCCAACATGGTGAAACCCCGTCTCTACAAAAAATACAAAAATTAGCCAGGCGTGGTGGCTCATGACTGTAATCCCAGGTCCTCAGGAGGCTAAGGTAGGATAATCACTTGAACTTGGGAGGTGGAGGCTGCAATGAGCCTCCAGCCTGGGCGACAGAACAAGACTCCATCTAAAATAAAAATAAAAAAAAATTAAATCAAAAATTAGCTGGGCATGGTGGTGCATGCCTGTGGTCGCAGCTATCAGAAAGTGGGAGGATTGCTTCAGACTAGGAGGTCGAGGCTGCAGTGAGCCATGATCATGCCACTGCACTTAGCCTGGGCAATACAGTGAGACCCTGTCTTAAAAAAATAAACAAAAAAAACGAAAAAAAAAAAACCTTGAGCTACACCCCTCACACTTCGTGCAAAAATTATCTCAAAATGGATCATATTCCCAAATGCCAAACAAAAAACCATAGAGCTCTTAGAATAAAATCTTCATAGCCTAGGATTAGGTGAAGAGTTCTCAGACATGATAACAAAGACATGATTTACAAGACAAAAAAAAATCAATAAATTGCTCTTCATCAAAATTAAAAACTTTGCTCTGTGAAAGATTCTGTTAAGAGAATAAAAAGACAAACAACAGACTGTAATAAAAGGTCTGCAAATCACACATCCAACAAAGAACTTGTATGCAGAATGTATAAAGAACTCTCTAAATTCAACAGAAAAGAAAAATCTCCAATCAGAAAACAGAAAAAAAAACACTTTACCAAGGAGTATATATGTATGGCAAACATGCAGATAAAAAAAATTCACATCATTAGTCATTAGAGAAATGCAAATTTCCCTAATGATGAAATATTACTAAAAGCTGTGATGAGATATTACTACACATCTATAAGAATGATTAAAAGAAAAACAATTAGCTGGGCACGGTGGCTCACGCCTGTAATCCCAGCACTTTTGGAGGCCGAGGCGGGCGGATCACGAGGTCAGGAGATCAAGGTCATCCTGGCTAACATGGTGAAACCCTGTCTCTACTAAAAACATAAAAAATTAGCTGGGAGTGGTGGCGGGCGCCTGTAGTCCCAGCTACTTGGGAGGCTGAGGCAGGAGAATGGTGTGAACCTGGGAGGTGGAGCTTGCAGTGAGCTGAGATCACGCCTCTGCACTCCAGCCTGGGCAATAGAGCGACGCTCCATCTCAAAAAAAAAAAGAAAGAGAGAAAGAAAGAAAGAAAGAAAGAAAGAAAGAAAGAAAGAAAGAAAGAAAGAAAGAAAGAAAGAAAGAAAGAAAGAAAGAAAGAAAGAAAGAAAGAAAGAAAAAGATTGATTAGTAATACCAAGTGCTGGTGAGATGTGGAGCAACTGGATCTTTCATACATCGCTCATGGGAATGTAGTGTGATTTAGCTACTCAGCAGTTCAGCTGTTTATGATAAAGTTTAAACATACTCATTACTTACCTAGCAGTGAAAGTCCTGGCTATTTATCCCAGAGAAATCAGAACTTATATTCATACACACAAAAGGAATGAAGCATTGCTACATGCAGTAACTTGGATGCATCTCAAGGGCATAATGCTGAGTGGGAAAAACAAAAACAAAAAACAGGCAGGGTGTGGTGGCTCACGCCTGTAATTCCAACACTTTGGGAGGCCGAGGTGGGTAGATCACTTGAGGTCAGGAATTTGAGACCATCCTGGCCAACATGGCAAAACCCCGTCTCTACTAAAAATACAAAAATTAACCAGGTGTGGTGGTGCACAACTGTAATCCCAGCCACTCAGGGGGCTGAGGCACGAGAATCGCTTGAACCCGGGAGTCAGAGGTTGCAGTGAGCCCAGATTGTGCCACTGCACTCCAGCCTGGGTGACAGAGCAAGACTCCATCTCAAAAAAATGAAACAAAACAAAACAAAACAAAAACAATAAAGTGACAAAATTATAGTGATGGAGAACACATCAATGGTTGCCAGGGTTGTAAGTAATGGACCAGTTCTGTATCCTGGTTTTGGTAATATCTACTGGACTCTATGAGTGATAAAATTTCATATAACTATACACACACACACACACACACACACACACACACACACACACACACCAAAGTACATATAAACTGGCAAAATCCAATACGATCTTTACTTGAATTAATATTATTACACCAACCTTAATTTTCTGGCTTTGATGATGTACTATGCTTATATGTATAAGATATTATTATTAGAGGATGCTAGGTAAATGGTATACTAGAACATTCTGCACTATTTTTACACTTTCTCATGAGTCTGAAACTTTTAAAATATAAAAAGTTATTTTTAAAAAGCGATGGAATAATAACCGCAAAACTTCAAAAAGTAGTCACCAAGGGAGAGATTCAGGAAATGGAATAGATAAGAAATATACATACAGATGTAAGTTATTGGTTTTGTTGTAGTTCTAGGTTCACTGGTGAGTTCATGGCTGCTCACTGTTTTATAATGTTTTATGTAGATACAGATGTAGATGTAGATATTTCTAGAGATCTAGATGTAGATGTAGCTATAAATGTAGCCATAAGCTGGGGGCAGTGGCTCACGTCTATAATCCCAGCATTTTGGGAGGCCGAGAAGGGCAGATCACCTGAGGTCAGGAGTTCGAGACCAGCCTGGCCGACATGGTGAGACCCCCCATCTCTACTAAAAAATAAATACAAAATTAGCCGGGCCTGGTGGTGCATGCCTGAAGTCCCAGCTACTTAGGAGGCAAGGCTGGAGAATAGCTTGAACCCGAGAGGTGGAGGTTGCAGTGAGCTGAGATTGCGCCAATGCACTCCAGCCTGGGCAACAAGAGGGAAACCCCATCTCAAAAATAAATAAATAAAAGTAGCCATAGGCATAGAGACAGAGTTAGAGACAGAGATCTCACACATAATCTTCCCTGCACATCAAAACAATGTTTTCAGACCTAATGAAGAAAAATAATTTTAATAAGAAGTTGTAAAACAGTATTGTGATAGCAGCCCATTCTCACTTTCTTTTTAAAAGCTCTATTCCTATATGCACATATATGGGTGTAAATGTACAGGAAAAGGCAGAAAGAATACAAGCTGAAAGACTAGTCGAGAGTTCTGGGGAGAATACTGAGATTGTGCATAGACGGAGAAGGGGAGAAGTAAGAGAGGAGAGTGAATTGGGATATTCCCCCTTTACTCTCTATATTTTATATTTTAAAAACTTTTCCAAGATAACGTATTTGTATAAATTAGGCTTCACTGCACCACTGCTATTATATGTTCTTGCTGAAACAGACATTTATAAGGCATGGGGATGTGCCTTCTGCCCACAGTGCTTCTAATAAAACCATCACCTATGGACTTAAAGTATGCCTTATTCATTTTTATTCACATAGCATTGCTGCTGGTGCTGCTTCCTTTTTTTGTTTTTTTTGTTTGTTTGTTTTTGAGACAGAGTCTCACTCTGTCACTCAGGCTGGAGTGCAGTGGCCAGATCTCGGCTCACTGCAACCTCCACCTCCCTGGTTCAAGTGATTATCCCACCTTAGCCTCCCCAGTAGCTGGGATTACAGGCATGCCACCATCACACCAGGCTAGTTTTTTCTATTTTTAGTAGAGATGAGGTTTCACTACACTGGAAATTCTGATCTCAAACTCCTGACCTTAAGTGATCCAACCGCCTCGGCCTCCCAAAGTGCTGGGATTACAGGCATGAGCCACTGCGCCCGACCCACATAGCATTGCTTCTGACTAAGAAACTGACTTTACAGCAAACAAGGACTGCACTGGGCTATGATCATAGAATTTGCTTGTCTTATCATGTTCCCATCATCCTGAAGCAAGGGTTTCATAGAGCAGTTATTAGCCTTTTTGAAGACTCAGTTTTATCATCAACTGGATGACAATACCTGGGCAGTGCTAGGACAATGTGTACTATGGCACATTGATATAGCTCAATGTGATATCCATTGTGATGGTTAATACTGAGTGTCAACTTGATTGGATTGAAGGATGCAAAGTATTGATCCTGGGTAAGGAGATTAACGTTTGAGTCAGTGGGCTGGGAAAGGCAGACCCCCCCCCAATCTGGGTGGGCATAATCTAATCAGCTGCCAGCTGCCAGCAAGACCAGAATAAAAGCAGGCAGAAGCATGTGGAGAGATCAAACTGGCTTGGCCTCCCAGCCTACATCTTTTTCCCATGCTGGATGCTTCCTGCCCTCAAACATCGGACTCCAAGTTCTTCAGCTTTAGAACTTGGACTGGCTTCCTTGCTCCTCAGCTTGCAGATGGACTATTCTAGAACCTGTGATTGTGTAAGTTAATACTCCTTAATCAATTCCCCTTTTTATATACATCTATCCTATTAGTTCTGTCCCTCTAAAGAACCCTGACAGCCAGGCAAGGTGGCTCACGCCTGTAATCCCAGCACTTTGGGAGGCCAAGGCAGGTGGATCACCTGAGGTCAGGAGTTCGAGACCAGCCTTACCAACATTGTGAAATCCTGTCTCTACTAAAAATAGTCGGAGGTTGCAGTGAGCTGCGATTGCACCACTGCACTCTAGCCTGGGTGACAGAGCGAGACTCCATCTCAAAACAACAACAAAGCCCCAAAAAACAAAACAAAAGAGTAGCACCTCTAAAATATGACTCCATAGAACAGCAATAGAAAAGGTACTCCAAAGCTTTGAAATTCCTGAGTTCCTTAATTTGGTCCTCAGGAATTTGGTTTCTATTAGTAAAATACAAAAGTAGTTTTAAAAAGTTGAATAGAAATAGTCCCTACCAGTGTAGATACTTGGTTGTTTATCTTGCTTATCTGAGGTTAAAATCAAAGATATTAAAGCTTTAAATAGCCATCAAATTGCCTTTTTACCTGGGCAACTTGAGTGTCTTCCGAGGCTCACTTCTGCTTGAGAGAATGAGAAATTTCTGCTGTAGGTGTGCAGATTGAGGTGTGATTAAGATAGACATGGCAGGAAATTCACTACTTCCAAGGACCATGATGTCATGATGATGTAGCTTATCAAGGTCCGTAAGGATGGGACCACATCCCTGGAGGCAAGAGGCTAGGGCTCTTTTGAAAGGTAGAGTCATTTCTGGCACCAATAGGATGGTGAAAATGTAGGTCCTCATATGCAAAGACATCGTTACTCCAACGTTAGTGGAGTTGGTTTGCTCAAGTCTTTATTTTAACAGTGGTAATAAATTTGTGATTATTCATCATCAACTCCCCTACTAACCACTGTAGGCCTTTTTAATTTAATTTAATTTAATTTTGAGACAGGGTCTCACTCTGTCACCCAGGCTGGAGTGCAGTGGTGCGATCTCGGCTCACTGCAGGCTCTACCTCCTAGGCTCGCTCGATCCTCCTACCTCTGCCTCCCCAGTAGCTGGGACTAGAGGCACACTACAATGCCTGGCTAATTTTTTGTAGAGACAGGGTTTCATACCATATTGCTGAGGCTGGTCTTGAACTCCTGAGCTCTAGCAATCTGCCCACCTCGGCCTTCCAAAGTGCTGGGATTACAGACGTGAGCCACTGCACCTGGCCTGTTGGCCTTTTAAAGAGACAAGACTTGTTAAGACTTGTGTCTCTGCAAAGTCGCTTTCCTGTTGGATGAGTTTTCACCTGCCAAAAACTTCCACTGTATCTCCCACCTGGACCTGTTGTTCCTCACTCTGGAAATCTTTCTCCATTTAATCAAAATCGAACGTACCAGCCAGCCATGATGGCACGCATCTGTAGTCCCAATTACTCAGGAAACTGAGGCTGGTGGATCATCAGAGCCCAGGAAGGAGGTAGAGGTTGCAACGAACCATTTTGGTGCCACTGCACTCCAGCCTGGGTGATAGAGATCATTGACCTCTCCCCAGGGCCTGGCTCTCTACCATCTAAGGTGACTGGCTGTTTGACTGATCTGCACTCCAGCCTGGGTGATAGAGATCATTGACCTCTCCCCAGGGCCTGGCTCTCTACCATCTAAGGTGACTGGCTGTTTGACTGATAATTCAACCCTATTTATATGGTAGTAGATGGTAAATTTACAGCAATGATAATGCACAAAAAGCGATAGTTCCTATGACATTAACACTAATCCTCACAGCAGCACTGTGAGGTGGGTTGAATTGTTTCCATTTCATTTTAATTTTTTTTTTACTTTTGAGACAGTGTTGCTCTGTCACGCAGGCCAGAGTGTAGTGGTGCAATCTCGGCTGACTGCAGCCTCTGCCTCCCAGGTTCAAGAGATTCTCCTGCCTCAGCCTCCCAAGTAGCTGGGATTACAGGTGTGCACTACCACACCTGGCTAATTTTTGTATTTTAGTAAAAATGGGGTTTTGCTATGTTGGGCAGGCTGGTCTTGAACTCCTGACCTCGGTTGATCTGCCCGCCTTGGCCTCCCAATGTGCTGGGATTACAGGCATAAGCCACTGTGCCTAGCCTGTTTCTGTTTTAAAGGAATTGCTAAATACGAAAACAGAAGAGAGGGTTAGAATGGAGGGGTTGTCTGCTCCCAAAGCCATACTTGTCTGAAAATCCCAGTGAGGTTTTACAGCTTGCTATAATAACCAATGCCCCCAAATGGCTTTGTAGCAGGTGTCTTTGGAAATAATAATCTTAAATCGTGATTTCCCAAATCTGACTAAAGATAAGAATTTATCTGGCTGGGTGTGGGGGTTCACACCTGTAATCCCAGCACTTTGGGAGCCTGAGGTGGGAGGATTGCTTGAGCCTAGGAGTTTGAGATCAGTCTGGGCAACATAGTGAGATCCCATCTCTATATAAATAAAAAATAAAGAAAAGAATTTATCTGTAAACCAAATTAAAAATACAGGCTCCAGGAAGGCTGGGCGCGGTGGCTCACGCCTGTAATCCCAGCACTTTGGGAGGCCGCAACAGGGGGATTGTCTGAGGTCAAGAGTTTGAGACCAGCCTGGCTAACATGGTGAAACCCCGTCTCTACCAAAAATATAAAAAAGTAGCTGGGTGTGGTGGCATGTGCCTGTAATCCCAGCTACTCAGGAGGCTGAGACAGGATAATTGCTTGAACCTGGGAGGTGGAGGTTGCAGTGAGCCAAGATCGCGCCATTGCACTCCAGCCTAGGCGACAGAGCGAGACTCTTGTCTCAAACCGAAACAAAAAAACAGGCTCCCAGGGCACAGGCCAGGCCACTGAATTCAAGTCTTCAGCTCAGAGGCCAGGGAAGCTGTGCCTTTAGTCTTGCATCCCCATGTGGGAACCACTGTCATAGCTGAAGGAGCACCTTATCAGTTGGATTTCTATCAGCTTGAGAGTTGGGTAAGGTAAATTATTGGAGAACGGTAGGGGGTCCTTAGGAATCTCAAAAATCTCATCAAGTAGAATCCTCCAGCCACTGGGCAGGGAACACTATGGAAGTAAAGTCAGGAAATGAGAGTGCAGAGGTACAGGTTTCCCACCCAGAGGTTTGATCTTGCCTAAAATTCTGCAAATGACTAAATCATGACCTTTTCTTTGAATGAGAATTGTGGAGTCAGACCATCTGAATTTGTACCTGGTTCCCCCAGCTTCTAAACTTTGTGAGCTTGGACAAATTACCTAACTTCTCTATGCCCTGGCTTTCCCATTTATGAAACAGAAATGATAATCATTAATTACCACCTAAGGATGTTATCAGAATTTTAAACTATAATACTTAATATTGTGTCTAGCACATAGTAGGCATCCAACAAATATTATTGGTTATTATGGGGTTAGATAATAATATCAAGTAATAATAAAACTCAGTTCTACATAATGCTTATAGCATAGAAGACTGAACTTCTAAAATACCTCTGGGCATTGCATCAGGTGCTTTACACATAATTTTAAAAACTTCTTATTCTAAATTATAGACCCATAGAAAGTTGCAAAAATATGGACTAATTCTCATTAGAAACAAAACAAACAAAATAAAACAATGACAAAAAAAAGTTGCCAAAATAATACAGAGAGGAAAACGCCTGTGTCCTATTTTCCCAGCTTCTTCCAATGTACCATCTTACACACATACATATTTTTATATATATATATATATATATATATATATAGTTTTGTTTTGAGATGGAGTTTCGCTCTTGTTGCCCAGGCTGGAGTGCAATGGCACGATCTGGGCTTACTGCAACCTCTGCCTCCCAGGTTCAAGCAATTCTCCTGCCTTAGCCTCCTGAGTAGCTGGGATTACAGGCACACACCATCACGCCTGGCTAATTTTTGTATTTTTAGTAGAGTCAGGGTTTCACCATGTTGGCCAGTCTGGTCTCAAACTCCTGACTTCAGGAGATCCACCCGCCTTGGCTTCCCAAAGTGCTAGGATTACAGGTGTGAGCCACCACGCCCTGCCTATAATGTATATGTTTTTAGATGAAACTTTCCAGAAGAAGAAACTGAGGCTGACAAGTGAAGCAACTTACCTAACAACAGACAAACTCAAGGTCTCCAACTAAAGAGAAAAACTGCCTTTAACTTTTTGGCATAGGGGAGTAGCTGACAGGAAAGTGACAATCAGAAACAGAAGCCTGCTTCCCCCGCCCAAACCCGTTATTGAGGTATTATTGACAAATAAAAATAGTGTATATCCAAGGCACACAAGGTGATGTTTTGATATACATATACACTGTGAACTGATCACTACAATCAAACTAACATATCCATCACTTTACCTAGTTAAATTTTCTTTTTTTTTTTTTTTTTTTTGATGTGGGGAGAACACTTAACCCTACTCTCTGTGCAAATTTTAAGAATACAATACATTATGGGTTGGGCGCGGTGGCTCACGCCTGTAATCCCAACACTTTGGGAGGCCGAGACGGGCGGACACAAGGTCAGGAGATCGAGACCATCCTGGCTAACACAGTGAAACCCTGTCTCTACTAAAAATACAAAAAAATTAGCAGGGTGTGTTGGCGGGCGCCTGTAGTCCCAGCTACTCAGGAGGCTGAGGCAGGAGAATGGTGTGAACCCGGGAGGTGGGGCTTGCAGTGAGCAGAGATCGCGCCACTGCACTCCAGCCTGGGCGACAGAGCAAGACTCTGTCTCGAAAAAAAAAAAAAAGGATACAATATGTTACTAACTACCGTTGCTATGCCATACATTAGATCATCAGAACTGAATCATCTTACATCTGAAGATGCATACCCTGTGATCAATATCTCCCTTTTCACCACCTTCAAAAAGCCTCCTTTTGAAGAGGACTGAGTACTCTCACCTGCAAAATGCTTCACCTATTCAGAGATGGTTACATATTTTATATCACATTCAATTCCTGAAAACAGCCCTGTGAGATAGCAGGGTAGATAATGTTATTATTTCAACTTGACATAGTCTAAGGTCACATGGCAGACTCAGATAGAGCTGCCTTTAAAAATGTCCAGAAAAATTGTTACATTAACAGGTACTGAGTCTACCTTTTCATCCTATAATCTCAATACCAACAGAAAATAAACCAGCAAGTTGTCATCTACAAATGAACATTTTGTGGGGAGAACAGAACACCTGGTATGCTGAATATGTGGAAACTCTTACGCATTTCTTTCTAAACTCTTCTGAAATGATAGAAAAATCACGTAACAAATGAGGCAACGGACTCTTGTGAACTTATGGTTTCGGCCTGGAAGCCACAGCACAGGAACCACAGGGAGGAAAAATTGTTCTGGGCTTTTAGATGCCCAAACGCCTCCAAAGACACCTTCATACTGGAAATCATAAAAGTGAATTTGGCTCCCTCTTTAAAGCCCAAGGACCAAACTGGATTTACTGTTTGAGTGCAGGAAACTTTACCAAGATTATGGAAACAGAAAAGAATTCAAGATTAACACATACTGTACATTTCAGTACAGGTGGCAGGACAATTAGAAATCTAGTTAAGCTATGGAAAATCTTCATAAATCTGGGAAGGATTTAGGTCTTGGTGTGCTTTGGTGTAACCCATCATCAGATGCATGTTGTACTCGGTCTCCGTGCATCCAGACTCCCCAGGTGCCGGGGAGATGATGTAAAGGGAAGAATAAAGAAGCGATTTTCTCTGATCCACCTTTTGTGTGGAGCAAACAATTAGGTGGCACTGGTGCCTGCAAGGGGGAACTGAGTAAGTCTCTGAATGCTGCCTTGCGTTAATGTTCTAAAAGTTTCATGCTTTCCTTTTAAAAGTAATTAAGAGCATTCTTATGAAATAAAAAAATAGCTAAGGGAAAAGGAAAAAAAAAATTCAAAAGCAAAGACAACCCTTGACCATGGCGGCTCCAGCCATCTCACTGACATATTCTCTAAAATAAAATAGAATAAAATAAAACAATTATATATTTATTTATAAACAATATATATTATATTCATATATATATATTAGAGACAAGGTCTCATTCTGTTGCCAGACTGGAGTGTACAGGTGGGACTACAGGCACATCCCTCCATGCTCAGCTAGTTTATTTAGTTTTTATTTGTAGAGATGAGGTCTTGCTACATTAATATTTTTAACTGACCGTGAATTGAGCCATGGTCTGCCTACCTGTAAAACCTATTCTGCTTCAGCTATGCCAAATCAGGGCTTTATTTTATCTAGAATCTTGGCCAAGTTTTAACACATTTTTTCTAAGTGCCAGAGGGTAGACATTTTAGGCTTTTTATTATTTTTATTATTTTTTTTTGACGGAGTTTTGCTTTTGTTGCCCAGGCTGGAGTGCAATGAGGCGATCTCGGCTAACTGCAACCTCCACCTCCTAGGTTCAAGTGATTCTCCTGCCTCAGCCTCCTGAGTAGTTGGGATCACAGGCACCCGCTACCAAACCCGGCTAATTTTTGTATTTTTAGTAGAGACGGGGTTTCACCATGTTGGCCAGGCTGGTCTCCGGCTCCTAACATCAGGTGACCCACTCGCCTCTGCTTCCCAGAGGGCTAGGATTATAGGTGTGAGCCACTGTGCCCAGCCACATTTTAAGTTTTGAGGAGTACATGGCCTCTGTCCACTACTCAGCCATGCAGTATCAGTGCCAAAGCATCCATAGACAATACACAAAATGAATCAGAAAGGATGTGTTCTGGTAAAACTTTATTTATAGACATTGAAAATTAAATTTTATATAATTTTCTTTTCTTTTTCTTTTTCTTTTCAGACTGAGTTTCGCTCTTGTCACCCAGTTTGGAGTGCAGTGGTGCAATCTCGGCTCACTGCAACCTCCACCTCCAAGATTCAAGATATTCTCTTGCCTCAGCCTTCCGAGTAGCTAGGATTACGGGCGCCTGCCACCACGCCCAGCTAATTTTTGTATTTTTAGTAGAGAGAGGGTTTTACCATGTTAGCCAGTCTGGTCTCGAACTCCTGACCTCAGGCGATCCGCACACCTTGGCCT